>NC_000011.10:8241818-8544848 GCF_000001405.40 Homo sapiens | reverse complement strand
AACTAAAAGTACAGTAGCAGAATAATGTGTAAACATTTATAATTGACTTAGTGTTTGTAATTTATCCAACATTATGATTTTGGCTAGAAGCATTTTAAAAATAAGTCTCTTTTAGTTATATTGTTTTCCCCCATGCATAAATGGTAGGTTCTTTAAAGGGAAATAGTTTGGGAATTTCATATCTTTATGATTAACTATTGTTCTTAAATTTTAACCCTGGAATAATATATGGTTCTATAGAAAACAATGAGTATATGTCAATTATCCGAGGCTCTATTTCTTTGAATATATAGTTCACTTTCCTTACAAAATTATTATGTAGATAGTAAAACAGTTGAAAAATTTAAAAAGCTATAAAGAAAAAATAAAATTTACTCATAATTTTCTTTAGAGAAACAATCATTATTCTTCTAAGTATTTGTTAATAAAATCAATCTGTAGCTACATGACAGTTAAGGATAAATATGGAATATATATACATGTATTACATATATATAATTATATATATAATTTTATAAATATATATATACATATTTTATATATATATATAAAATTTCCACTTGGGATAGTTTTCATATTAGATTAAATTGGGAATGCCAGAGTCTTATAAGTGGGAGTTGAACAATGAGAACACATGGACACAGGAAGGGGAACATCACACACCCGTGCCTGTCGGGGGATGGGGGGCTATGGGAGGGATAGCATTAGGAGAAATACCTAATGTAGTTGACGGGTTGATGGGTGCAGCAAACCACCATGGCACATGTATACCTATGTAACAAACCTGCACATTCTGCACATATATCCCAGAACTTAAAGTATAATAAAAAAATGGAAAAAAATCATTTAGTATTATTTTGAACTGGCAATTGTGAATTACTATTTAAAAAATCACATGGGCATTTTAACCTTTTCTAGTTGCATTTCTCACACAATGAGTGTTTTCTTTTATATTTTTAATTTTTGTGAGTACATAGTAGGTATACATTTATGGGGTCCATGAGATATTTTGATACATGCATGCAATGTGTAATATGTCATGGAGAATGGGGTATCCATCCCCTTAAGTATTTATCCTTTGTATTACAGATAATCTAATTATACTTTTAGTTATTTTAAAATGTACAATTAAGTTATTATTGACTATAGTCACCCTGTTGTGCTATCAAATAGTAGGTCTTATTCATTCTTCCATTTTTTTAATGTACCCATTAACCAGTCCCATCTTCCCCCTACCACCAACAACCCTTCCCACCCTCTGGTAGCCATCCTTCTACTTTCTACATCTATGAGTTCAGTTGTTTTGATTTTTAGATACCACAGATAAATGAGAACCTGTGATGTTTGTCTTTCTGTGCCTGGTTTATTTCACTTAACATCATAATCTCCAGTTCCATCCATGTTGTTACAAATTACAGAACCACAATGAGTATTTTCTAAAGAGTATTTAAATTTTACTTATTTGGTTTTGACTTGTAAATTTGAAATACGTTGGTTTATCAACAAATGTGGCCAAATAAAATAATAATGTTTTAATTCCCATAGTTAAAAATATATTTTTGAGCTCTTAATCACTGAAGACATTTGAAATGTTTTCACCTGCTGATTTAAGTGACAATTAAATGGTGAATATGCGTCCCTCTTTTAGATTCCTTGGAAAACCATATCATAGGGCAAGATCCTTAATGGACATGTGATTTTTCATCTCTTTGGTCATATTTGTCACCCTAGGGGAATCTAATGAATGAGTAGATACATATTTGGAGAACAAAACAGAGTCTGCATTGGGCGGCATCAAACTGATGGAGATAATAAGAAGCTATAAAAAGTGAAAACCAGGCCGGGTGCAGTGGCTCATGTCTGTAGTCCCAGCACTTTGGGAGGCTGAGGCGTGTGGATTGCTTGAGCCCAGGAGTTCAAGACCAGCCTGGGCAACATGGCGAAACCCCGTTTCTACAAAAAAATACAATAATTAGCTGGGTGTGGTGGTGTGTACCTGTAGTCTCAGCTACTCAGGAGACTAAGTGGGGAGGATCTCTTGAGCCTGGGGAGGCAGAGGTTGCAGCCGAGATCGTGCCACTGCACTCCAGCCTGGGTGACAGAGTGTCTTAAAAAAAAAGTGCAAACTAAATCTTTTCATTTATTAAAATTCATTAATTCATTCAGCAAGTATTTTTGCATCATCCAAGCATATTTGATCACGTGCTTGGCATTCTTTTAGGTCAGTATTTCTCAGCGTTGGCCCTATTGACATTTTGGAGTGGGTAATTCTTTCTTGTGGTGCAGCCATATGCATTTTGGATGTTTTGCAGCATCCTTGGTTTCTTACCCTCTAGATACCAGTAGCACTCCCCTAGTTGTGACAACGAAAGATGTTCCCAGACATTGCCAGCCATCCCCCGGGAGGCAAAATCACTTCCGTTGAGAACCACTGTTTTAGATGACAAACATTTTAAAAGCAATTTTTTTGAAATGTATTTTGTGTTGTTTCCCTATTTCAGATTTGTACATGTTCCATGTGATTTTTGTCTGTCAGTATTTCCTGGTCAGTGCCCTATCTGAAAATTGACTTAGGTTTCGTAATGACATGTGGAACTAGCCACATTTATCGTAGAAATATTGAAATAAAACCCTTATATTTTAAAACTAATAGTTGATTTAATCGTGATTCTGTAACATTTATGACATCCTGAATCAAAGAACCTACTATTTCTTGATCTTTTGAAAAGTACTTTGTACCTATGAGCAAATTCTTACAAAGAAACCTTCTAACGCTTATTTTTCCTCCTTTAAAAATGATCCTATTCATCTTTTGTTTTAAAGGCTCTGTAGCTTATTGGTACTGCATAAAAATTCCATTATTATAGAGACTGTTCTCTTTGCTTCTCTGCTGCATCTTCTTCTGAAGTTATGAGAGATGTGAAACATAGTCTGAAAATTCATTCAAAGCTTTAAAACTTATTATATCCAGGAGAGACAGATTTAAGATTGCTGAGGTTTCTGGTTGAAGTACTTCAAGCAGAAATCCATACTCCATTAGACTCTCTAACACTGTGACCTTAATTTTTCAGATATTTTGCTCTTTAAATTGAAAGTAGTATTTTAATACAATTTAAGTCTTTTGAAGGGGCTTGTAGTACCACAGACAGAAGTTGTGAAACATTTGAACAAATGGAAAGTAAAATAGCAACGAATTTAGGACTATATCAAAGTTTTAAATTTCAAAATATATAGTGATATAAAGATATGTATGGAACATACTTTATGCACTGGAGTTGGGGGAAAAGCTATTTAGTAAGGAGTTGTTCATACTGTACTTAAACAGAATTTCTTTCATTGGATATTTTTCTTGGCATTGCCTAAAGAGTTTCTGATTAGGAGTGGTTGTTAAGTTCTCTGAAGTTAGAAAATTTACTTTGTATAAAACCGTGGTCTGGGTGAAATGAAAGTCTACCTGGACAATAGCTACTGAGTTATCTTGCTTCAACAGATAAAGCAGGAAATGTAAAACTGTAAAACTGTATTATAGTACTGAATCACGAAACTGAGAACTATTTTTTAAAAAACCTCTTTGGAAAAGGAGAGATGAAAAGCCTCTTGTTCTTTTATTAGTAAATTAGGTCAGTTTTTAAATAATATGTTCATTGAAATATACACATTTCTCAAGTAATGATATAATTTAATTCAATTTATATTTTAAAGGCATAACATCTGAACTGAATTCTTTAGAGGTCCTTAATTGCTTCATCTATTTTCCATTGTAAAATGTTGTTTCAAACCTAAATTTAAAAAAATGTGTTATGTATATTTGAGGTTTACAGCATAATGTTATGAGATATATATATATATATATAGAGAGAGAGAGAGAGAGAGAGAGAGAGATAGTAAGATGGGTAGTATAGTGAAGCCGATTCACATATCTCATCTCACATAATTACTTTTTCATGACAAGAGCAACCAAAATTTAGTTATTTAACTAAAATGTCTAATATAATACAATTTGATTAACTTTAGTCCTCATGTTGTGTATTATCTCTAACTTGTTCACCCTACATATCTGGTATTTTGTATCCTTTGATCTGCATCTCTTTGTTTCCTCTCCCGCCCCCTGCCCATCCATGGTAGCTACTGTTTTGTGCTCTGTGTATTTGAACTCTTTTCTTTTTAAATATTCCATGTATAAGTGAGAGCCTGTGATGTTTTTCTTTCTGTGTCTGTCTTTTTTCACTTAGCATAATATCTGCTAGGTTTGTTTTGTAGCAAATGGCAGGATCTACTTCCTTTTTAAGGTTGAATAATATTCCTGTGTGTATATGCGTGTGTGTATACACACCACTGTTTCTTTTTAAAATTTTATTTGTCTTTTTTTTAAAGACTGGGTCTTGCTCTGTCACCCAGGCTAGAGTGCAGTGGTATGATCATAGCTCATTCAAACTCCTGGACTTAGGGGATCCTCCCACCTCAGCCTCCCAAGAAACTAGAACTACAAGTACACCCCGCCATACCTGGATAATTACATTTTTTTTTTTTTTGTAGAGATGGGTTATCACTATGTTGTTTGCCTGGTCTCAAACTTCTAGCCTCAAACGATCCTCCCACCTTGGCTTCTCAAACCACTGAGATTCCAGGCATGAGCTACCACACCTGGCCAACAGTTTCTTTATCCAGTCATTCACTGACAGACATTTAGGTTTTTTCATATCTTGGCTATTGTGAATAATGCGGTAATCAACATGGGAGTGCATATATATTTATGAGGTGAGCAAAAGGTCTTCTCTTTTGGGTATACACCCAGAAGAGGGATTGCTGGGTTGTATGATAGTTCTATTTTTAATTTTTTCGGGAACCTCCATACTGTTTTCCATAATGGCTGTACCAGTCTATATTCCCACCAACAGTGCGCTAAGGATTTCAGGCCTAAATTGATCATATAATCTTTCTTTCAGTTTGCGGCTCACTGAAGGGTGATACATCAAATATTATTTATTTATCTATAGAAGCTTAGCATTTACATTAGCTCCTATTTACGTACTACAGTTATGAGTTAGCTATTAAGGGTGTAATGTAACCTCACTGAGTTCCTTTATGTATATTCATGATAGTTAAATGCCAAATAAATCATATGTCTATCTTAATGCCAAGTAATTATTGCATCAGTTGCTAAGGGGCATTCTTTATGATGAAGAAGCAATTTCAGGTAGATTCTTCGAATCTTTTGCTATCCTGCTGCAATCCGAAACTATTGGGTTGTTTACTCTTATTTATTGGTGTTGGTATTTTAGGGGTGCTCCATTGTTTCAGATCAAAAGTGAACAGATTCCTACCTGTTTGTAGGACATAGCCTGTTTTTGCTGAGACTTTGGTGGTGTCGCTAGGTCAAGTATTTCATCTTCATATTGGCCAGCTGGCTTGCTCCCTTGCCTTGTTCACTGATACACTGATTCTTAAACGATCACTCATGGCCTCATCAGACCAGGGCAAGAGAGATTCATCACCTCACTGAGGGAACATTTTGAGATGCAGCACCGTGTCAGAGATTGCCTTTAAGCCCCTAGAGAAACGGGCTTGATAGCAATGTAAGTCTCTATGATAATGGGCTAGGTGAGAATCTTAATTTTTACTTCGTTTTAAATTTTTGTTTTTTAACAAAGTTATCTACAATTTTGTTTTTTCAGAAAGTCATTATTGTTTTTTTTTCTCCTTCAGAATACCTCTTCTGTAAACTTTACAGGTTGTGTAATAGTAAAATCCTTCTGGCTGGAGCTGATACTTCTTGGATAGGTTACATATCAAGGGACAAAGAGATTCTGGACAAATCTTAAATGTACAAAACCCAGTTTATATTATCAGTAATATTTGAAAACATTTCTCTTATTTTTAGACATCCTTCTTTTGTCAGAAAGGTTAATTGGCCAGATAGCAGTGGTTCATTGGCCTGTAATTATCATCTGAGACAAGCGAGTTCCGGACCCTTGACTTTTAGGAAGTCCTCCTGTTAGAAGATCATAGCTCCATATTCTTTCCCTTTTTGACATTTTAAAAAAGTAGCTGACATCCTGTTTATCGTTCATTCTTTAGAGACATGCATATGTGTGTGTGTTCATTCATTCAACAAGCATTCGTTGAGCACTAGACACATGTAGGAAAGAACACATCTTGTTAGGTTAGGTCGCTCTGCCAAATTCACGTAAAATTGCCTATCTTCTTGAGCCTTTTGTTTTTCTAAAAATATGCCTACTACTGGCTTTTTTCTTTAGTTAGTGGCAACAAAGTAATCTTTTATAATACCTATGATGATGACTAAAATGACAAGATTCACCCTAAAATTTCCCTGTATAGGAAAACAATGACATGTTTACACAAATAAAGCTACAGTAATACATTACTGGGGGCATGATGGCATACTGATTTCAACAGCATGGACTTTGGAGGCAGACGGTTTGGATTCATATTCTAGCTTTACCATTTACTAGTTGTGTGACTGCAGGCAAATTACTTAACCTCAGTTTCCTCATTTGTAAAATTCAGATAATTGTAGTGCCTACTTCATAGAGTTGTTGTAAGTATTAAATGAGTTAATATGTATAAGATACTCATTATAGTGCCTGACACATCATGCTATTTAAGTATTAGCTTTTGTTATTGTTACTCTTTTTTTTTTTTGATACTGTCTGGCTCTGCCACTGAGGCTAGAGTGCAACAGCGCATTCTTGGCTCACTGCAATCTCTGCCTCCCACGGCTGAAACCATCCTCCTAGCTCAGCCTCCTGAAAGCTTGGACTACAGGTGCACACCACCATGCCCAACTAATTTCTTGTATTTTTGGTAGAGACGAGGTTTCGCCATGTTGCCCAGTCTGGCCTTGAATGCCTCGGCTCAAGCAATCCTCCTGCCTCGGCCTCCCAAAGTGCTAGGATTACAGGCATGAGCCACCATCCTGGCTCCTATTTTTTTTTTTTACTCAAGAAAACTTCTGATTCATTAGTTACTTATCCATTTTATTTATTTTTTATTATTTTTTTAATTTTTTTTTTTTTTTGAAACAGAGTCTCGCTCTGTTCCCCAGGCTGGAGTGCAGTGGCATGATCTCGGCCCACTGCAACCTCCACCTCCCTGGTTCAGCCTCCCATATTGGCCAGGCTGGTCTTGAACTCCTGGTCTTGATCTGCCTGCCTTGGCCTCCCAAAGTGCTGGGATTACAGGCATGAGCCACAGCGCTTGGCACATGTCCATTTTAATCTCATGTTATTCTAAACAATAATGTGTACTACAGAAAATCACTTATCATACCAAAAACCAGGGAAATCTCAACTTGATTGAGAAAAGTCAGTAACAGACACCAATATTGAGATGACACAAGTGTTGGAATTATATGACAAGAACTTTAAAGCAGCCATGGTAAAAAATGCTTCAGTGAGTAATTATGAACACACTTGAAACAAAATTTAAAAAAGGCGGGGGCCAGGCATGGTGGTTTACGCCTGTAATCCCAGTACTTTGGGAGGCTGAGGTGGGAGGATCACTTGAGGCCAGGGGTTTCAGACCAGCCTAGGCCACATAGCAAGACCCTGCCAGGCATGGTGGCTCATGCCTGTAATCCTAGCACTTTGGGAGGCTGAGGTCGGCGGATCACCTGAGGTCAGGAGTTCGAGACCAGCCTGGCCAACATGGTGAAACCCCATCTCTACTAAAAATACAAAAGTTGGTCAGGTGTGGTGGCGGGTGCCTGTAATTCCAGCTACTCGGGAGGCTGATGTGGAGAATCACTTGAACCCAGGAGGCAGAGGTTGCAGTGACCCGAGATGGAGCCACTGCACTCCAGCCTGGGTGACAGAGTGAAACTCTGTCACAAAAAAAAAAAAAAAAAAAAAAAAAATCTTTTTTTTTTTTTTTTTTTTAATTAGCTGGGTATGGCAGTGCATGCCTATAGTCCTAGCTACTTGGAAGGCTGAGACAGGAGGATTGCTTGAGCCCAGGAGCTCAAGGTTGCAGTGAGCTATGATCATCATGCCATTGTACTCCAGCCTGGGCAACAGAGTGAGACCTTGTCTCTTCAAACAAACAAACAAACAACAAATAAACAACAACAAAAAAAGAAAAGAAAAAGGGACATTTCAGCATAGAAATAGAAGATATGAAGAAGAACCAAATGAAATTTTAGTAGTGAAAAATACAACAATTGAATAAAAAACTTACTAGCATTTAGGTTCAGACTTGACTAAATTCTACTTCAGTTGTTAAACAATAAAACTTCATAGCTGGTGCTTTGTATTTCCTATTGTATTACATCATGAGCACATAATGGTTTCTGGTTGTCCTACTTTTAAGTGAGGCTAATAGTGATTAATCTGTTCAGGTGGTATCAGCCTGTTCCTTCCATTGTGAAGTTCCTTGACCAATCTTCTCTTTATTCTTGGTGTTCTGAAATTTTACGGTGATTATTGAGGTGGATCTTTTAAAAAAATTAATTTTGCTCTGAAGTCTCTGGGCTCTTTCACTTTGGAAATTCATGTTCTTTTAAAAAATTTGTACAAATTTATGAGATACCTGTGAAATTCTGTTGCATGTAGATAATGTGTGCAGTAATCAAGTCAGGATATTGAAGGTGTCCATCACCTGAGTACAATACATTTTTGTTAACTATAATTACCCTACTCTGCTATCAAACATTGAATTTATTTCTTCTATCTAACTGTATGTTTGTACCCTTTAATTCAGTTCTCTTCATCCTCCCTCCTCCCCACGTTCACCCTTTCCAGTCTCTCTTCTCTACCTTTCACTCTGTACCTCCATGTGATCAAATTTTTAGCCCCCACATGTAAGTGAGAACATGCGTTATTTGCCTTTTTGTGCCTGGCTTATTTCACTTAAGATAATGACTTCCAGTTATGTCCATATTGCTGCAAAATGGTATGACTTTATTCTTTTTTATGGCCAAAGAGTATTCCATTCCAGTATTCTAGTATATATATACCACATTTTCTTTATCTATTCATCTGTTGAGGGACACTTAGGTTGATTCCATATCATTACTATTGTGAATAATGCTGCAATAAACATGTGAGTGCAAGTATCCCTTTGATATATTGGTTTCTTTTCCTTTGGGTAGATACTGAGTCGTGGGATTACTGCATTGATAGTAATTCTTTTTTAGTTTTAGTTTTTGAGAAATCTTCATACTGCTTTCCATAGTGGCTGTACTAGTTTACATTCCCACCAACAGTTTATAAGAGTTCCCTTTTCTCTACATCCTTGCCAACATCTATTATTTTTTATTTTAATAATAGCCATTCTGATTGGGGTAAGATGATATCTCATTGTGGTTTTGATTTGCATTTCTGTGATGATTAGTGATATTGAGCATTTTTTTCACATGTGTTGGCCATTTGTAGCTCTTCTTTTGAGAAATGTTTATTTATGTCCTTTGCCCACCTTTTAGTGGGACTGTCTTTTTTCCTGTTGAGTTGTTTGAGTTCCTTGTATATTCTGGATATTAGTCCCCTGTTGAATGAATAGTATGGGGAGAGGTAATGGTCTGGCTGTGTAGAACCCAGTGATACTTTTGAAATTTTTGCATTGATTGGGAGAACTTAAACCTGTAAAGTGCATTAGTAACATTTTAGAAATAAGCCCAATAACTCAGTATATGGACCATTAATGCTTCTCATACTGAGGCTTAGAAAAAATCGGAAGACAGTACCAGACACTGTGGTGACACGTTCATACCCAAGCAGTCATGGCAGAATATCCATGTTCTCTCGTCTATTTTGTATAAAGGAAATATTTTTTCCTAAGACTCATCTCTGTACCAGGCTTAGGGATGACTTTCCATACTCTCTCTCCCCTTCTCTGACGTCTTTCTAAGGTGCTTAGAGGACGTTATCATCCCAGGGGAATATTTTAACTCTTTTTATTCCTAAACATTTTACTTAGAATTTAACATTTTCCCAGAGACAGTGTGAAGTCCTTTCAATGGCAGCCTTTGATCTCCTTAAGATCTATAGGACTTTATAGGGATACACTTTCATTTATGAGTATTATAGATTGCAGTTCTCTAATTATAACAATTTCATTTTGGTGTGTCTTATGCCACTCAAAACAGTATAATGCCCACTGGAACCACAGATTTGTTTTCAATGGATGATGATTTAATATGTTACAAAGTTGAATCTAGCCATTTTTTTATGCCTTAGAACAATGAGTTCCAAATTGACCCAGACCACCTCAGTATGAAAAAATTTACCTTGACACACACACACACACACACACACACACACACAGAGAGAGAGAGAGAGAGAGAGAGAGAGAGAGAGAGAAATATATATACTTGCTGGAACAAGTTTGAAGAAATAATACCCTTATGATCAATGTTATACTCTTATACTTTCTATTCTATTTAATTTAAAAATGTGTGCCCACCAAAATGACCTATAGTTTGTAAAACATTGCAGTGTGGTTCTTCCTATTTTTGGGGAGTAGAGTGGGTTAGGCTGTGGACTGTTTTGGGACTCTGATGAATGTACTGGAATCTTTCCTCAGAAAAATGCACGTATAAACAATTTTTTTTTTTTTTGAGATGCAGTCTTGCTCTTGTTGCCCAGGCTGGAGTGCAGTGGTGCGATCTTGGCTCACTGCAAACTCTGCCTCCCGGGTTCAAGCGATTCTCCTGCCTCAGCCTCCTGAGTAGCTGGGATTACAGGCGCCTGCCACCACGCCCGGCTAATTTTTGTACTTTTAGTAGAGACGGGTTTTCACCATGTTGGCCAGGCTGGTCTTGAACTCCTGACCTCAGGTGATCCGCCCTCCTCAGCCTCCCAAAGTGCTGGAATTACAGGTGTGAGCCACTGGCTCCGGCACATATACAGTTTGAGGGCATAAACATGGACTCTGTAGTTCTGAATGCTTCCATGCTAGATACAATTTGAAGTTACCTTGCTTTGTTGATACATTTCACCCAGCATGACTGGACAAATATTATCAACTGTACAGCAGATATTCTGCCCTTCTTTCCTTTTGCTATGTATTATTAATACAGGGTTACCAGAGAAACCATGTAATAAATAAAACCACAAACAAAACCATGTAACAAATAAAACTTTATTTTACATATCAAATTCTTGGGGGTCTTTATTTTAGAATTGGAGCCACAGCTCTGTAGGAATGTTTTGGAAGACTGGCTTTTTGTTGTGAACTTCTGCCTTCCCTCCCTTTTACTTTTCATGCTTTCTCTTTCCTTTCTTAAATATTAATGGTGTTTTTTCTGTGTGCCAGGCTTTGTTCGTGCGGAACTGTAGTGGTGAGAAAAACTCCATGTCTGGGCACGCCTGGCTGATCTTCACCTCTTTCTTCTAGGACCTTCCTCTGGGGTTAGTTCTCTGGTGCCACCTTCAGTGATCTGTGTGGCAGCTCTGCTGCTCACTTCTGGCTTTACTGGGTTTTGGTATTTAACTGTTGCTTACGCACACTGGAAATTTTCACCTGCAGTTTTTCTTCTGCCTAAGGTAACAAACATGTACACATATTTTCTTGTGCCATTTTTCTTTTGCCTAGAACAACAGACTTTTTTTTCTTTTAAGTAATAATGTAAATATGCAAATCTTGAAATGTAATTTCTGCTGTTGATATACTCTGGGCCACTATTTTGGAACTAACATCATGGGAAAAGGGTGTTAATGTGCAAAAATTACCTCAAAGTTTAGAGTTAGCATCTTTGAAAGATGTTTTGACAATAAGGACATTTTCAACTGATAAAATGTTGGTTTATAGCATTTGAAACATTATTCATATTCTTTCAAGAGCAGACATCAATCTCAGAAGTCTTGTGTACAAACATGACAGAATTGGTCTGTATTATACTCTGATAAAAATCACAAAATGGTTTTATTTTTCTACTTTTTTATGAGTGTGAAACATTTGCATATTATTGCAATAACTTCCATAGCCTTTGGAGCAAAATCTGATATATTGTTTATGGTGCAGTTAAAAATGGGTGCATTACATTCATATTTTGTTGCAGTTATCCAACAGATTTTGAAAATAATCTTAAACCTTATATATTTTATAATCAGGGTTAGCAAACACACAGCATGCATGCTGCAAGTTACCCTTTCAATGTGTGTAGAAGACATCTCTAATCAATTGCAACGTTGTTTCCTGCTGAGCTTGGGCAGTCTCACATCCTCTTCAACATAGTGATTTGGTTGTTGCTTAGTGCAGATAGCCTGTGCCATGAAAACTATTTGTCATATTAGTTTTGCACCTTAACCAATGGAGCGAATATGTCAGCAGAATATCCAAAAAGTCTGCTTAAGTTTGGAAAAGGGAAAATATAATGAGGTATAATTGAGGTAGAATAAGGTAGTGGTTTAGACAGGGCACGGTAAACTTTTTGGGCAAAGGGCCAGATGGCAAGTATTTTAGGTTCTGTGGGCCATATGGTCTCTGTCATACCTACTCAACCCTGCCATTGTAGTGCAAAAGCAAAGATAGATAATAAGTGAATGAATAAACCTGTATGTATTCCAATAAAACTTTATTTATAAAAGCAAGCGACAGGCCAGATTTGGCCACTGGGCCATAGTTTGCTAACTCCTGGTTTAAATCAGTGCTACTCAAAGTGAATTGTGTGAATAAGTGATGGTAACATCACATGTGTGCATGTTACAAATGTAGATCCCTGTTCTGTACTCCGAACTTACAGAATCAGTCTGGGATGGGGCCCAGGAATGTGTGTTTATTAGCTGGTGAGGTTATTTTGAGGCTCACTAAAATTGGAAAGTCCCTGGTTTAAATAATATTACACTTCTCTTCTTTAAAAGTTTCATATACCCCAGCTGTGAAACTGCCTGATGCATTTATTTTAATGGCTGATCTTTAATCACTTTTCTTATCTCTTCTGTGGCATTTGATCTATCCAAGTTTTTTACTTCTTGGGTCATAATTGGGAATTTACATTTTGCTAGAAAATTATTTCCTCTAGGCTTCATATTTGTTGCTGTGGCGGTTTTAAAACATTTCTGCAAAATTTTTGACATTCCTATCAAGATGTGAGTTTATGCCTACTTTCCTTGGGTCTAGGCAGGCTTATGACTGCTTCAACCACTGGAAGATGGCAGAAGTGATGCTGACTTCCAAGGCTGGTTCAGAAAAGGCTATGCAGCTTTTTCCCGGTTCTGTGGGAGGCTCACTCTGGGGAACTCAACTGCCATGTAAGAAGTCTGGGTCTTCCATGCTGGAGAGCCCATATGTGAGCATCCCCATTGATAGGCCAAGCTAAGCTCCCAGCTCAGCTCCTGCCATCCGCCAGCATCTGTTGACAGCTGGTTGGCATCTTGGATAAACAGTGTAATTTGAGCTTTCACAGAGCTCCAACCCAGCTGTCATCTCAACGTAATCACATGACAAACCCAGCCTAGCTGAGCCCTGTCTGAATTCTTGACCTAAAGCATCTGTGAGCATAATAAAATAATTGTTTTAAACCACTAAGTTTTAGGGTAGTTTGTTATGCAGCATTTGTAAATAGCACGCAAAATTGCAAGTACTATTGTCTTATAATTGCCTTAGTATCTTTCTTACCTGTATTTATGAATTTTTTATACTCCTAATCATTTATATATTTTTCTCTCAGTTTCCTTTAAGCGAAGTTGGGGGGTATTTATTTTATTAATCATTTCAAAGATCAATTTTTAGATTTCTTCATTTTACAATTTGAGATGTTTAAGTTTTATTAATTGAAGCTTTACCTTTATTCATTTTTTTCTTCCTACTTTCTATGTATTTAATTGTTCCTATCCTAGTTGCTAAAAGTGAGCACTAATTTTCTTTTTCATCTTTCTTGCCTCATAAAAAATGCTTTTGAGGCTGGGTGTGGTGGCTCGCGCCTGTAATCCTAACACTTTGGGAGACTGAGGTGGGCGGATCATCTGAGGTCAGGAGCTCAAGACGAGCCTGGCCAACATGGCAAAACCCTGTCTCTACTAAAAATAGAAAAATTAGCTGGGCTTGGTGGCAGGCGCCTGTGGTCCCAGCAACTCAGAGAGGCTGAGGCACGAGAATTGCTTGAACCTGGGCGGCAGAGGTTGCAGTGAGCCGAGATTGCACCACTGCCCTCCAGCCTGGGCGACAGAGCAAGAGTCTGTCTCAAAAAATAAAATAAAATAAAAGAGAAATGCTTTTGAAGCTTGAAGCTATAAGGTTTCCTTTAAGTTTGGCTTTCACGGCATCCTATTAAGTTTGCTATGAAACATTTTCCTCTTCCTTGTCTTCTGTTTGTAATTTCAGTTTTTATATTCTTTTTATCACAGCATTTTGAAAGTGTTTCTAAATTTCCAAATAATTTTTTCTTTTTTATTCTTGGTGGTGGTGGTGGTAGATTTTTTTCCCCCTATTTTTCCAACATGTGTAATAAATACACATTTCTCCACTGGTACAAGAAAATAAAATTTCAACTATTTCCCCCACCAGGACCCTCTCTTCTTCCCTTACCAGTAAATTTCCTTTTATTTTAGAGTGCTTTTACTTCCTGTTTCCCCACCAGAGACATTTAAATGCTCTTTTGTCCGCTATCTCCCCATGTCTGACCTTAATGCTTAATACCTCCTTCCTTAATACCTAAGTGTAAAAAAAACCAGTGTGGTAATTTTTGCCTCAGACTATTATTAGGTTTTTATTACTTATTTTGCACTGATACTACACATTCTTATTCGATTTCAGGACACTGTGTGATGCTCTCCACATTCTCATCTTTGTAGATGCAAAGCCTCTCTTCCATCCTAAGGAGCAGGCAGGACTTCATACACCTTTTCCGCCCCCTCTCGCACCAGCTCATCTGGGCCAGGAAGACCAGCATGTTCATTTAAAAACATCCAGCTCTGTCTGTTTTTTGGGGGAATATACTAGTTTTCTCTTGCTCACGTAACTAATTACCACAAACTTAGTGGCTTAAAACAATATGAATGTATTATCTTATTGTTTTGGAGGTCAGAAGTCTGAAATCAGTTTCACTGGGCCAAAATGAAGGTGTCAGCATGCCTGTGTTCTTCCTCGGGGCTTTTGAAGAAAATGCATTGCCTTGCCTTTCTCAGCTTCTAGAAGCCACCTGCGATCCATGGCTTATGGTCCCTTTTTTTCATCTTTAACGAGTCTTTCTCATACTGTATCACTCTGAGACTCCTATTATAACATCTCCTACTATTACCTTTGCCCTTTTTTTCCCTCCTTATAGGGATCCTTGTGATTACTTAGGGCCCACCAGATAATCACATCAACAACAGCTTTTTGCCATGTAAGGAAACATATTCCCAGGGTCAGAGGGTGAGCTTTTTGGATATCTTAGGGGGAGGGAGGCATTATTATGTCTACCAGAGGGGCCCATAAATCTCTCAAGACCAGGCTTTTCCTAGGAACCTTGAATTCTGAATCTTGTCCTATGGCTCTTTGCCACTAGACCTCAGTATATCTTTTGACTTAGCAGAGAAAAATTTGTCTTACACTAGCTTTCTCTGTGACCCCATAAGAGCAGAGGTTCTACTCACACTCTCTAGGCCCTACCTGCCTCTGGCCCAGGAAGTAAAAGAGTTAGTTTGGAGTTAGGAGA
Source organism: Homo sapiens (assembly GCF_000001405.40). Taxonomy (NCBI): domain Eukaryota; kingdom Metazoa; phylum Chordata; class Mammalia; order Primates; family Hominidae; genus Homo; species Homo sapiens. The sequence goes on along the minus strand of NC_000011.10, from coordinate 8,529,253 downwards.
AGCATCAGCAATTATGTTTTCAGGCTGCCATGTTCCTAGAATCTTTGTCTCTACACTGTAAATATTATTGATGAATAGATGGCCTCTTATACTAAATAGTTTTAGACTGTAGCAGAGAAAACAGTTTAATGGTTAAGAACAAGACGGAATCAGACTGTTGGGATTCAAACCCTAGTTTCGCTGTTTACTACGTATGTGACCTTGGGCAAGCCATATAGCCATACTGACTTAGTTTCCTCATCTGAAAAATGGATAATGATGCTATTATAAAAAACAGGGATAATGATAACACTAGTAATACTCACATAGTGGTATTGTAAAGATTAAATGATATTGTAATTTATAGCAAGTGTTCAGTACACTACCTGGCACATGTTATTTCCTTAAATAAACTAAAATAGGCTCATATGCAAACATTTTGGTTTGTCTTCCATGCGCCTTTTTTGGACTCACCTACTGGCACTGTATACTCCAGCCATACCACAGAATTCACCGTAAAAGCTTTGAGGTGAAAAGCGTGTGCACATGATACAAAGGGATATGGCCACAGAAGGCCAAGAGGTCTTTTTCATAACTGTCGTGAATTGACTAATGTTCCAGGTTTTGGTCTTTAGTCTTAAAGGAATATAAATATTATCTTGTCTTTATCTCAGAATATTTGGGTTCAAGATTACTGATAGATATCATTGACCTAAGGGAAGAAACTGAGGCAAAATTAATATATTTGGGCCATGGTTGAAAACTGAAGCTCAGGAGCTATAGATTGAAGTTGCCCTGAGTATATGCTTGGATTAGCAGCAGTTACCAGTGGGAAAACAAGAAGTTAGGGAGCAGTTCCTAAATTGTTTACCAATCATTTACATTGGTTCATTAAAATAACATAAGTTGTTTGGCTATACATTGTTTTTTGTATCACAAGTTCCAGGAATATGAGGATAATGGTGAAGGACAATTGTACAACTTACGGTAACTTTTTAGATACTTTATCAGCTAGTCTGGAAACTATAGGAAAGGAAAGAAAAAACAAAATGCCTTTAAACAATTACTTGCAGGCATGGGTACAGGGAACCTGAGGGAAGTCTCATGCTCCTGACTCTCTGGGCTTGATACCTTTTGCATAACTCGCATTCCTCAGACTGCTCTGAGCCACTTTTCTTTCTCAATACTAACAAAGCTCGTGAGAAATCCATGTATAACACTACCCAATGCATATTATACTTACATGGACCTGACTAGTAGATTCTCTCCCTGTAGGTAAACATCATGAAAAAACACATTACAACTAGAAGGTTGTGTATGGAATATGAAATAAGAATGGGGATAATTTATATAATTCAAATATTTAATTAGATAATCTATAGTTGCCTTTTGCATCTATTTCTATGATAGCACCATAGGGATTACCTTGTCAGAGGAAATGTAGTAGTGGAAGTGTTTTGGTAAATGGGCTGTTTCCTCTGGAAAATACTCATATAGTCATTGCTATTGTGGTTGCTTCTGTGATTTTACTGTTTCTTCTCTATGCCTCATGTCTATGGAAACTTCTTCTTAGATATAATAATTTTTCTGGTTATCTTGCTCTGGTCTAAGAGCCACCATCTGTTTACTATGTATTGTTTTGTATAAATAAACCCTCAGAAAAGCACAGTATTTTGTTTAATTCCAAGTTCTTGCCATGGGAACAGCTTACTTGTGAACTGTGCCTACTTATGTCTTCCACCCCAACCCTCTTTTCTTCCTGGGGAAATACCTTGGGATACTGTTAAAAAAAAAAACAAAAACTCACTTCTTGTGAAACATAACAGCAAACAGAGAAATGTACAAAGCAAAAATGTACAGGTTGGTGATTTATCACAAAGCGAACACTCATGTAACCCATCACTCAGATCAATAATAGAACATTGTCAACATGCCAGAAGCCCTGCCTCAGGGCCCAGCCAGTTTGTATAGCTTTCTTTCCCTCTATCTTTTAGAATTTGGCTGGGCACAATTGCTCATGCCTGTAAGCCCAGCACTTTGGGAGGTCAAGGTGGGCGGATCATTTGAGGTCAGGACTTCTAGACCAGCCTGGCCAAGATGGTGAAAACCCGTCCGTTCCTATGAAAAATACTATATATATATATATGTTAGCTGGGCATTGTGGCGGGCACCTGTAATCCCAGGCTGAGGCAGGAGAATTGCATGAACCCCGGAGGCGGAGTTTGCAGTGAGCCGAGATTATGTCATTGCACGCCAGCCTGGGCAACAAGAGTGAGACTCAATCTCAAAAAAAAAAAAAAAAAGAGGAAATCTCTGTCTTTACTTTTACAATAATTACCTGTTTTCTTTTTTCCATCTAGGTATGTGTCTCTAGTTTTACCTTTTTTTTTTAACATATAAACAGAATCTTACAGTATCTATATTTTTGTCTGGGTTTTTTTTTTTTGCTCAGTATCATTTGTAATATTCATCAATGATGTCACATATAACTAGTTATTTTCTTTTTGTGTGTGTGTGTGTTTTTAGTGTATATATCTTACACATCTTGCATTAGATTTATACCTAGGTATTTGATAATTTTGATAACTAGTTGTTTTCAAACATGCAGAATAATAAGCCATTGAATGAATATACCATCGTATTCATCCAGCTGTTGATGGCCATTTGGGTTGTCTCCAGGTTTTTATTGCTATGAATTATCCTGCTCTGAACATTCAGGTACATGTATTTTGGAGCACATCTGCAGACTTTTAAGTTGGGAACATACTTAAGAGAGAAATTTTTGAGTTATAAGATATGCGTATATTTAACTTTAATAGATAATAGATAATGCTAAATAGTCTTCCAAAGCAGTTGTACCAAATAACTTTCTTTTTTTTTTTTGAGATCGAGTTTCCCTCTGTTGCCCAGGCTGGAGTACAGTGGTGCGATCTCGGCTCATTGCAACCTCTGCCTCCTGGGTTCAAGCGATTCTCCTGCCTCAGCCTCCCGAGTAGCTGGGATTACAGGCTTGACACCATGACCAGCTAATTTTTGTATTTTTAGAGACGGGGTTTTACCACGTTGGCCAGAATGGTCTCAATCTCTTGACTTCATGAACTTCCTCCCTCGGCCTCCCAAAGTACTGGGATTACAGGCGTGAGCCACCATGCCTGGCCTAAATAACTTTCTTAAGTAGTAGTGTATGCGAGTTCTCTTTTTTCTGCTTCTTTGCCAACATTTGCTTTTGCTAGCCTTTATAACTTTAGTTGTGTGAGTGGGTGTGTAGTGGTATCCTATGGTGATTTTAACATGCTTTTCCCTGACTGCTAATGAGATTAGCACTTTTTATTATGTTTATTGGCATTTGGGTATCCTCTTTTGTGAAGGCCCCCTTGCAGTTTTTTATTTCTTCCAGTTTTCTGTTATGTTGCCTATCTTTTGAAATTAATTTGTAGGAAGTTTTTATACATTCTAAATATAAGCTCTTTATCACGTGTTGCAAATGTCATTTCCCATTTTGGCTTTTCCTTTCACTCTCTTAATGGTATCTTTGATGAACAGAAATTCTTAAGGCTTTATCGTCTTTGCATTTTATTTAAGAAATCTTTTTGTACCCCAGGGTCATAAAGCATCTTCTAGTGTTTTCTTTTGGAAGCTTTATTGTTTTGCCTTTCAGGTTTACATTTATAATCCGCCTGAAATTAATATTAATGTATGGTGTAGAATAGAATTCGGGTTTCCTTTCATATGAATATGTAATTTTCTCACCACCATTTATTCAAGAGGCTATAATTTTTTCACTGCTTTGCAATGTCATCTTTGTTTTAAATCAAGTGACTATATACATGAGTCTGTTTCTGTGTCACTGTTCTATATATTTCATCTGTTTGGCTGTTCTTAAACCAATACTATATGTGCTAATACAGCTAAGTAAGTGCTGATAGCTGATTGAGAAAGTCCTCCCACTTTTTCTTCTTTAAGATTGTCTTTGGCTATCCTTGACAGTTTGCATTACCATATACATTTTGTAATTAGCTTGTTCAACACATATGCATATACACACCTATTGGAGTTTTGATTGGGATCTTATAGAATCCCTAGATCAGCTTAGGGGGAGCTTCATTTAAAAAATACTGAATCTTTCAATCTATGAACATAGTATGTCCTTCCATTTGTTTACATATTCTTTTATATTATTCAAAACGCTTTACAGTTTTCTGCTTAAAGTTCTATCTTTTTGTTAGATTTATTCTTTCACATTAAAAAACCAGTTTTTTTAGGTATAGTTGACATACAAACAGCTGTACATATTTAATATGTACAACTTAATAAATTTGGAGATAAGTGTACAGCTGTGAAACCATCACTGCAGTGTATGCTATAAACATATCTATCCCCTCAAAAAGTTTCCTCTTGGCATCTTTATTATTACTATTATTATTATTTTTGTGATGCAAATATTTAACATAAGATCTACCATATTGGCAAATTTTTAAGTACAGTAAGTCCTTACTTAATGTCATTGATAGGTTCTTGGAAACTTTGACTTTAAGTGAATGAAGTAAAACAAAACCAATTTTACCAAAATAGGTGAATTGATTTAAATAAGAGTGAAATATGGCATATTTATGGTATTATGGCATATTTCTGGTCACAAAAACATTATCAAACTTCTGAATAAAAACTCAAACCACTTCTAACCTTAAACATTGTGTTAAGATAGTTCATCATGGTTTTGATTTGCATTTCCTGGATAATTAGTGATGTTGAGCACATTTTCATATATTGTAGGCTATTTGTATGTCTTCTTTTGATAAAAGCCTATTTAATTCCTTTACCTGTTTAAAAATCAGATTATTTTATTTTTTCTACTGACTTGTTAGAGTTCCTTATATAATTTAGATGTTAATATGTTATCAAATATATGGTCTGCAAATATTTTTTCCCGTTTTTTATTTATTTATTTATTTTATAGTATTTATTGATCGTTCTTGGGTGTTTCTCGGAGAGGGGGATTTGGCAGGGTCATAGGACAATAGTGGAGGGAAGGTCAGCAGATAAACATGTGAATAAGGGTCTCTGATTTTCCTAGGCAGAGGACCCTGCGGCCTTCTGCCGTGTTTGTGTCCCTGGGTACTTGAGATTAGGGAGCGGTGATGACTCTTAAGGAGCATGCTGCCTTCAAGCATCTGTTTAACAAAGCACATCTTGCACCGCCCTTAATCCATTTAACCCTGAGTGGACACAGCACATGTTTCAGAGAGCACTGGGTTGGGGGTAAGGTTATAGATTAACAGCATCCCAAGGCAGAAGAATTTTTCTTAGTACAGAACAAGATGGAGTCTCCCATGTCTGCTTCTTTCCACACAGACACAGTAACAATCCGATCTCTTTCTTTTTCCCACATTTCCCCCTTTTCTATTCGACAAAACCGCCATCGTCATCATGGCCCATTCTCAATGAGCTGTTGGGTACACCTCCCAGACAGGGTGGCGGCCGGGCAGAGGGGCTCCTCACTTCCCAGACGCGGCGGCCGGGCAGAGGCGCCCCCCACCTCCCAGACGGGGCGGTGGCTGGGCGGAGGCACCCCCCACCTCCCGGAAGTGGCGGCTGCCTGGCGGGGGCTGCCCCCCACCTCCCGGACTGGGCAGCTGCCGGGCGGAGATGCTCCTCACTTCCCAGACGGGGAGGCTGCCGGGCAGAGGGGCTCTTCGCTTCCCAGATGGGGCGGCTGCCGGGTGGAGGGGCTCCTCGCTTCCCAGACGGGGCGGCTGCCCAGCGGAGGGGCTCCTCGCTTCTCAGACAGGGCGGCCGCCGGGTGGAGGGGCTCCTCACTTCTCAGACGGGGCGGCCGGGCAGAGACGCTCCTCACCTCCCAGACGGGGTTGCGGCTGGGCAGAGGCGCTTCCCACATCCCAGACGATGGGCGGCCGGGCAGAGACGCTCCTCACTTCCTAGATGGGATGGCGGCTGGGAAGAGGCACTCCTCACTTCCCAGACTGGGCGGCTGGGCAGAGGGGCTCCTCACATCCCAGATGATGGGCGGCCAGGCAGAGACGCTCCTCACTTCCCAGACGGGGTGGCGGCTGGGCAGAGGCTGCAATCTCGGCACTTTGGGAGGCCATCGCAGGCAGCTGGGAGGTGGAGGTTGTAGCCAGCCGAGATCACGCCACTGCCCTCCAGCCTGGGCAACATTGAGCACTGAGTGAGCGAGACTCCGTCTGCAATCCCGGCAGCTCAGGAGGCCGAGGCTGGCAGATCACTCGCGGTCAGGAGCTGGAGACCAGCCCGGCCAACACGGCGAAACCCCGTCTCCACCAAAAAAATACGAAAACCAGTCAGGCGTGGTGGCGCGCGCCTGCAATCCCAGGCACTCGGCAGGCTGAGGCAGGAGAATCAGGCAGGGAGGTTGCAGTGAGCCGAGATGGCGGCAGTACAGTCCAGCCTCGGCTGGGCATCAGAGGGAGACCGTGGAAAGGGGAGACGAGGGAGAGGGAGACCGTAGAAAGGAAAGAGGAAAGAGGGAAAGGGAGAGGGAGAGGGAGGGCTTTTTCCCGTTTTATAGATTGCCTTTTTTTGTTTTGCTGACTGCTTTCATTGTGGTGCAGATTTTTAGTTTGATGTAATCTTGCTTTTCTATTTTTGCTTTTATTGCATGTGCTTTTGGTGTCATATCCAGTAAATCATGGCCAAAGACAATATCAAAAGATTTTCCTCCAGATTTTCTTCCAGGAATGTTACACTTTCATTTCTTGAGTTTAAGTATTTTGAGTTTTTGTGTGTGGTGTTAGATAAAGATCCAATTTCATTCTTTTTTTTTTTTTGGCCCCAGTGTGTGATGTTCCCCACCCTGTGTCCAACTGTTCTCATTGTTCAGTTTCCACCTATGAGGGAGAACATGCGGTGTTTGGTTTTCTGTCCTTGGGATAGTTTGCTCAGAATCATGGTTTCTAGCTTCACCCATGTCCCTGCAAAGGACATGAACTCATCCTTTTTATGGCTGCATAGTATTCCATGGTGTATATGTGCCACATTTTCTTAATCCAGTCAATCATTGATGGACATTTGGGTTGGTTCCAAGTCTTTGCTATTGTGAATAGTGCCACAGTAAACATCATGTGCATGTGTCTTTATAGCAGCATGATTTATAATCCTTTGGGTATATGCCCAGTAATGAGATGGCTGGGTCAAATGGTATTCCTAGTTCTAGATACTTGAGGAATTGCCACACTGTCTTCCACATTGGTTGAGCTAGTGTGCAGTCCCACCAACAGTGTAAAAGTGTTTTTTTTCTCCACATCCTCTCCAGTATCTGTTGTTTCCTGACTTTCTAATGATCACCATTCTAACTGGCATGAGATGGTATCTCATTGTGGTTTTGGTTTGCATTTCTCTGATGGCCAGTGGTGATGAGATTTTTTTCATGTGTCTATTGGCTGCATAAATGTCTTCTTTTGAGAAGTGTCTGTTCATGTCCTTCACCCACTTTTTGATGGGGTTGTTTGATTTTTTTTCTTGTAAATTTGTTTAAGTTCTTTGTAGATTCTGGATATTAGCCCTTTCAGATGGGTAGATTGTAAAAATTTTCTCCCATTCTGTAGGTTGCCTGTTCACTCTGAGGGTAGTTTCTTTTGCTGTGCAGAAGCTCTTTAGTTTAATTAGATCCCATTTGTCAATTTTGGCTTTTGTTGCCATTGCTTTTGGTGTCTTAGTCATGAAGTCTTTGCCCACACCTATATCCTTAATGGTATTGGCTAGGTTTTCTTCTAGGGTTTTTATGGTTTTAGGTCTAACATTTAAGTCTTTACTCCATCTTGAATTAATTTTTGTGTAAGGTGTAAGGAAGGGATCCAGTTTCAGCTTTCTACATATGGCTGACCAGTTTTCCCAGCACCATTTATTAAATAGGGAATCCTTTCCCCATTTCTTGTTTGTGTAAGGTTTGTCAAAGATCAGATGGTTGTAGATGTGTGGTATTATTTCCAAGGGCTCTGTTCTGTTCCATTGGTCTATATCTCTGTTTTGGTACCAGTACCATGCTGTTTTGGTTACTGTAGCCTTATATAGTTTGAAGTCAGGTAGTGTGATGCCTCCAGCTTTGTTCTTTTGGCTTAGGATTGTCTTGGCAATGGGGGCTCTTTTTTGTTTCCATATGAACTTTAAAGTAGTTTTTTCCAATTCTGTGAAGAAAGTCATTGGTAGCTTGATGGAGATGGCATTGAACAAATTATAAATTATAAATAATTTTTATTTATTTATAAATAAATATAATAAATTATAAATTACCTTATAAATTATAAATTTAGATAAAGATCCAATTTCATTCATTATCATTAGAAATCATTTCATTTATTATCGTTATAAATTACCTTGTGCAGTATGGCCTTTTTCACAATATTGATTCTTCCTATCCATGAGCATAGAATGTTCTTCCATTTGTTTGTGATCTCTTTTATTTCATTGAGCAGTGGTTTGTAGTTCTCCTTGAAGAGGTCCTTCACATCCCTTGTAGGTTGGATTCCTAGGTTTTTTATTCTCTTTGAAGCAATTGTGAACGTGAGTTCACTCATGATTTGGCTGTCTGTTTGTCTGTTATTGGTATATAGGAATCCTTGTGATTTTTGCCCGTTGATTTTGTATACTGAGACTTTGCTGAAGTTGCATATCAGCTTAAGGAGATTTTGGGCCGAGACGATGGGGTTTTCTAAATATACAATCATGTCATCTGCAAACAGGGACAGTTTGACTTCCTCTTTTCCTAATTGAATACCCTTTATTTCCTTCTCCTGCCTGATTGCCCTGGCCAGAACTTCCAACACTATGTTAAATAGGAGTGGTGAGAGAGGGCATCCCTGTCTTGTGCCAGTTTTCAAAGGGAATGCTTCCAGTTTTTGCCCATTCAGTATGATATTGGCTGTGGGTTTGTCATAAATAGCTCTTATTATTTTGAGATATGTCCCATCAATACCTAGTTTATTGAGAGTTTTTAGCATGAAGGGCTGCTGAATTTTGTCAAAGGCCTTTTCTGCATCTTTTGAGATAATCATGTGGTTTTTGTCTTTGGCTCTGTTTATATGCTGGATTACATTTATTGATTTGCATATGTTGAACCAGCCTTGCATCCCAGGGATGAAGCTGACTTGATCATGGTGGATAAGCTTTTTGATGTGCTGCTGGATTCGTTTTGCCAGTATTTTATTGAGGATTTTAGCATCGATGTTCATGAGGGATATTGGTCTAAAATTCTCTTTTTTTGTTGTGTCTCTGCCAGGCTTTGGTATCAGGATGATGCTGGCCTCATAAAATGAGCTAGGGAGGATTTTCTCTTTTTCTATTGATTGAAATAGCTTCAGAAGGAATGGTACCAGCTCCTCTTTGTACCTCTGGTAGAATTCGGCTGTGAATCCGTCTGGTCCTGGACTTTTTTTGGTTGGTAGGCTATTAATTATTGCCTCAATTTCAGAACCTGTTATTGGTCTATTCAGGGATTCAACCTCTTTCTGGTTTAGTCTTGGGAGGGTGTATGTGTCCAGGAATTTATCCATTTCGTCTAGATTTTCTAGTTTATTTGCGTAGAGGTGTTTATAGTATTCTCTGATGGTAGTTTGTATTTCTGTGGGATCGGTGGTGATATCCCCTTTATCATTTTTTATTGTGTCTATTTGATTCTTCTCTGTTTTCTTCTTTATTAGTCTTGCTAGCAGTCTATCAATTTTGTTTATCATTTCCAAAATCTAGCTCCTGGATTCATTGATTTTTTTGAAGGGTTTTTTGTGTCTCTGTCTCCTTCAGTTCTGCTCTGATCTTAGTTACTTCTTGCCTTCTGCTAGCTTTTGAATGTGTTTGCTCTTGCTTCTTTAGTTCTTTTAATTGTGATGTTAGGGTGTCAATTTTAGATCCTTCCTGCTTTCTCTTGTGGGCATTTAGTGCTATAAATTTCCCTCTATACACTGCTTTAAATGTGTCCCAGAGATTCTGGTGTGTTGTGTCTTTGTTCTCATTGGTTTCAGAGAACATCTTTATTTCTGCCTTCATTTCGTTATGTACCCAGTAGTCATTCCGGAGCAGGTTGTTCAGTTTCCATGTAGTTGAGCGGTTTTGAGTGAGTTTCTTAATCCTGAGTTCTAGTTTGTTTGCACTGTGGTCTGAGAGACAGTTTGTTATAATTTCTGTTCTTTTACATTTGCTAAGGAGTGCTTTACTTCCAACTATGTGGTCAATTTTGGAATAATTGTGATGTGGTGCTGAGAAGAATGTATATTCCATTGATTTGGGGTGGAGAGTTCTGTAGATGTCTATTAGGTCCGCTTGGTGCAGAGCTGAGTTCAATTCCTGGATATCCTTGTTAACTTTCTGTCTTGTTGATCTGACTAATGTTGACAGTGGGGTGTTAAAGTCTCCCATTATTACTGTGTGGGAGTCTAAGTCTCTTCATAGGTCTCTAAGGACTTGCTTTATGAATCTGGGTGCTCCTGTATTAGGTGCATATATATTTAGGAAGTTAGCTCTTCTTTTTGAATTGATCTCTTTACCATTAAGTAATGGCCTTCTTTGTCTCTTTTGATCTTTGTTGGTTTAAAGTCTGTTTTATCAGAGACTAGGATTGCAACCCCTGCTTTGTTTTTGTTTTCCACTTGCTTGGTAGATCTTCCTCCATCCCTTTATTTTGAGCCTATGTGTGTCTCTGCATGTGAGATGGGTCTCCTGAATACAGCACACTGATGGATCTTGACTCTATCCAATTTGCCAGTCTGTGTCTTTCAATTGGGGCATTTAGCCCATTTACATTTAAGGTTAATATTGTTATGTGTGAATTTGATCCTGTCATTATGATGTTAGCTGGTTATTTTGCTTGTTAGTTGATGCAGTTTCTTCCCTGCATTGATGGTCTTTACAATTTGGCATGTTTTTTGCAGTGGCTGGTACCGGTTGTTCCTTTCCATGTTTAGTACTTCCTTCGGGAGCTCTTGTAAGGCAGGCCTGGTGGTGACAAAATCTCTCAGCATTTGCTTGTCTCTGAAGGATTTTATTTCTCCTTCACTTATGAAGCTTAGTTTGGCTGGATATGAAATTCTGGGTTGAAAATTCTTTTCTTTAAGAATGTTGAATATTTGCCCCCACTCTCTTCTGGCTTGTAGAGTTTCTGCCAAGAGATCCTCTGTTAGTCTGATGGGCTTCCCTTTGTGGGTAACCCGACCTTTCTCTCTGGCTGCCCTTAACATTTTTTCCTTCATTTCAACTTTGGTGAATCTGACAATTATGTGTCTTGGGGTTGCTCTTCTCAAGGAGTATCTTTATGGTGTTCTCTGTATTTCCTGAATTTGAATGTTGGCCTGCCTTGCTAGGTTGGGGAAGTTCTCCTGGATAATATCCTGGAGAGTGGTTTTCCAACTTGGTTCCATTCTTCCCTTCACTTTCAGGTACACCAATCAATCATAGATTTGGTCTTTTCACCTAGTCCCATATTTCTTGGAGGCTTCATTCGTTTCTTTTTACTCTTTTTTCTCTAAACTTCTCTTCTCGCTTCATTTCATTAATTTCATGTTCAATCACTGATACCCTTTCCTCCTCTTTATCAAATTGGCTACTGAAGCTTGTGCATGCGTCACGTAGTTCTCATGCTGTGATTTTCAGCTCCATCAGGTCATTTAAGGACTTCTCTGCACTGTTTATTCTAGTTAGCCATTCGTCTAATCTTTTTTCAAGGTTTTTAGCTTCTTTGCAATGGGTTTGAACATCCTCCTTTAGTTTGGAGAAGTTTGTTATTACCGATCGTCTGAAGCCTTCTTCTCTCAACTTGTCAAAGTCATTCTCCGTCCAGCTTTGTTCCGTTGCTGGCGAGGAGCTGCATTGCTTTGGAGGAGAAGAGGCACTCTGATTTTTAGAATTTTCAGCTTTTCTGCTCTGGTTTCTCCCCATCTTTGTGTTTTTATCTACCTTTGGTCTTTGGTGATGGTGACGTACAGATGGAGTTTTGGTGTGGATGTCCTTTCTGTTTGTTAGTTTTCCTTCTAACAGTCAGGACCCTCACCTGCAGGTCTGTTGGAGTTTGCTGGAGGCGTACTCTAGACCCTGTTTGCTTGGGTATCACCAGCGGAGGCTGCAGAACAGCAAATGTTGCAGAATGGCAGATGTTGCTGCCTGACCCTTTCTCTGGAAGCTTTGTCTCAGAGGGGCACCCGGCTGTATGAGGTATCAGTTGGCCCCTACTGGGAGGCGTTTCCCAGTTAGGCTACTCAGGGGTCAGGGACCCACTTGAGGAGGCAGTCTGTTCGTTCTTAGATCTCAAACTCTGTGCTGAGAGAACCGCTACTGTCTTCAAAGCCATCACACAGGGACGTTTAAGTCTGCAGAAGTTTCTGCTGCCTTTTTTTCAGCTATGCCCTGCCCCAGATGTGGAGTCTACAGAGGCAGGCAGGCCTCCTTGAGCTGTGGTGGGCTCCATCCAGTTTGAGTTTCCAGGGCGCTTTGTTTACCTACTCAAGCCTCAGCAATGGCGGACGCCCCTCCCCCAGCCTTGCTGCCACCTTGCAGTTCAATCTCAGACCACTGTGCTAGCAGTGAGTGAGGCTTCGTGGGTGTGAGACCCGCCAAGCCAGGCACGGGATATAATCTCCTGGTATGCCATTTGCTAAGGTCATTTGGAAAAGTGCACTATTAGGGTGGGAGTGCCCCGATTTTCCAGGTACCATCTATCACGGCTTCCCTTTGCCAGGAAAGGGAATTCCCCCGCCCCTTGCACTTCCCGGGTGAGGTGATGCCCCATCCTGCTCCGTGGGCTGCACCCTCTGTCTGACAAGCCCCAGTGAGATGAACCCAGTACCTCAGTTGGAAATGCAGAAATCACCCATCTTCTTTGTCGCTCACGCTGGGAGCTGCAGACTGGAGCTGTGCCTATTCGGCCATCTAGGAATCTGCCCCCAGTTTCATTCTTTTATATGTGGATATCCAGTTTTCCCAGTGCCATTTGTTGAAGAGACTGTTCTTTCTCCATTGTGTATTCTTAGCATCTTTGTTGAAGGTCAGTTGACTATATATGCATGGGTTTATTTCTGGGATCTCTATTCTGTTCCATTAGTCAATATGTTTATCTTTATGGCAGTATTATATTCTTGATTACTGTAGCTTTGTAATATATTTCCAAATCAGGAAGTGTGATGCTTCTGGCTTTGTTCTTTCTTAAGATTGCTTTAGCAATTTGTGGTCTTTTGTGGTTGCATGTGAATTTTAGGATTGCTTTCTTTTTGTAAAAAATGCTGTTGGGATATTGGTAAGGATTGCGTTTAATCTGTAGATTGCTTTGGGCAGTGTGGGCATTTTGACAATATTAATTATTCCAATCCATGAACATAGGATGTCTTTCTTGCCCCAGATCTTATAAAGCTTTCAGTTTTACGCCTTTGAGTGTGATGTTAACTATGGGCTTTTCATATATGGTCTTTATTACGTTGGGATTGTTTTCTTCTATTCCTGGTTTGTTGAGAGTTTTTTTGTTTTTTATCATGAAAAAGTGTTGAATTTTATCCAAATGCTTCTCTGCATCTATTGAGACAAAGATGTGATTTTATTTTCAATTCTGTTAATATGGTGTATCACATTGATTGGTTTTCATGTGTTGAACTATCCTTGCATCTCAGAGATAAGTCTTACTTGGTCATGGTTTGTGATCCTTTTAATGTGCTGTTGAATTCAGTTTGCTAGTGTTTTGTTGAGAATTTTTACATCTGTATTCATCAGAGATATTGTCATGTAGTTTTCCTTTTTCGTGGTATCTTTATCTGGCTTTGGTATCGGGCTAATGCAGCTCTTATAAAATGAATTTGGAATTCACCAGTGAAGTCTATAATCCTGGGCTTTTCATTGTTGGGAGGTTTTTGATTAATGATTCAATTGCCATACTAGTTATAGATCTGTTTAGACTTTCTGTTTCTTGAATTTATCTTGGTAGGTTCTATGTTTCTAAGAATTTTTCTGTTTCTTCTAGGTTATCCAGTTTGTTGGCGTATAATTGTTCGTAGTAGTCTCTTATGATTCTTTTTATTTCTGTAGCATGAGCTGTAATATCTCTTCTTTCATTTCTGATTTTATTTGAGTATTCTCTTTTTTTCTTAGTATAGCTAAGAGTTTGTCAATTTTGTTTATTCCATATGTCTCTTGTATTCTTTTCAATATTTTGTATTTTCTCCTTGATTTAATCTGGATGCATTTTAATTGTTCATTTTTCTGACTTCTCTTCCAGTTCAGCTGAGTTTAATCTGCTATTATGACCATCCTTTGAGTTTCTAATTTTTGCAATTGCATTTTTCAGGTCTTTAATGTCCTTTTGTTCATTTTTTGTGTTTTCTCATTTATTATAATTTTCTTGTCTGTATTTCTTTGATAGTTAGAGTCTCTATCTGATAACTTTAATGTTTGGAGCCTCAGTTGGTGAGTTTATATTCCTGGTTTTATTCATGTTTGCTTGTCTAGTCATGTGGCTGTTTTAAAAAAATTAAATTGTTTGCCAGACATTATATTTGAAACATTGTTTGCAGAGATAATCTGAGGTCCAGGATGGTGTCATCAACATTCAGAGAAGGATTATGTTTGTTCCTGCTAGCGCCTGTGGGTATAACCAGTCCAGGATCACGTCAACTCAATTTTAGAGAATGAGATGATTTGATGCCTATTGCTGTAGGTTGGAAGTCCTTCAGAGTTCTACCTCAATGTAATAAGGCTCCTGAGGTACTCAACCTTGGTGGACTTTAGACTGTATTTCTTATCCGCATGATCCCTGGAGGCTATCAGTAACATCCCACTCAGTCTATCTGTTGTTTCCTCAGGAATTGGCAAGCATCTCCAAATAGAATCTATAAATTAGTTTTAGTTTAATTTTTTACAGCTCAGATTTTTTTCCCCCATAGAGTGGTTTTATTCACGATGGCTAAGTTTCCAGGCTAACCCACAAAGGTTTAATCTGTTATTGTGTTAAAATGAAATAGAAAATTTGTAGAAAATGTGTTAATAATAATTATAGTCATTTATCAAAAAATAGAAGTTACCATAAATTTGGAAGCAACCTAAGTGTCTGTCAACACATGAATGGATAAAGAAAATGTGACACATATATACAATGGAGTACTATTCAGCCATATAGAAGAATGAGATCCTGTCATTTGCAACAACATAGTTAGAACCTGAAATCATTATGTTAAGTGAAATAAGCCAGGCACAGAAAGACAGACTTAGTATGTTCTCACTTATTTCTGGGAGCTAAAATACTAAGACAAGTAAACTCATGGAGATAGAGGGTAGAAGGATGGTTACCAGAGCTGGAAAGCGTAGTGGTGTGGGGTGGGGTGGGGAAGTGGGGGTGGTTAATTGGTACAAAAAATAGAATGAATAAGAACTCGTATTTGATAGCACTGCAGGGTGACAGTAGTCAATAATCATGTAATTGTACATTTAAAAATAACTAAAAGAGTATAATTGAATTGTTTATAACACAAAGGATAAATGTTTGAGGTGATGGATACCCCATTTATCCTGATGTGGTTATTACACATTGCATGCCTGCATCAAAATATCTCATGTATCCCATAAATATATACACCTACTATATACCCCCAAAAATTAAAAAAAAAGTTACCGTGATTGAAGTAATGTTTTAAAGTCTTGAGTACTTTTGATTTAAAAAAGCAGCCTCAATTTCAGGGGGATGAAAAAGTTGCAAGGATTGTGAGGGGATGGTTTGGATCTACGAGCAGTGTAGAGGTGGATAGCATGATTCTATATGGACTGTAATTTTTACAATCAGACTTATAGTTCTGTTTTTGGTTGATACAGTAATATCAGTAGCACTATAGACAAAACCAGCATTCATGAATAGTGCCTTATTTACACTGCAAATGAAACATATAGAGAGGGAGAGCTTCTTGAGGTATGGGTCAGCATTTGAAAGCAAGGTGGTAGGAACGGGCTACACACAAGCATAAGGGATTCTATTAGGTGGAATTAGCAGTATTGTGATGAGGAAAAAGAAGTGAGATGTTAGGTGAGCAGGGACAAAACCAGCAGGTTCTTGATTTCCTTGATGAGCAGAAGCAAGCTGTAGGGTGGTTAGCTCCACACGCTCTCCATGATGGCACAGGACTCCTTGCTTGCTTTAGTAAATAGTTTTGACTAAGTGGCAAAAAAGTGATGGTATACATTAGCAACTTATATGCATCATTATTCATAAGAGTGCCGCTTATAACCAAAGAATCAATTGTCATTTGTAGAATGAAGGAATATATAAATAGGAATTTCATAATTTGTTTAATTTTTTCTCTATTTGGGCTACAATAGTAAGTCCTTGAGAAATCTAATGTGAAAAGCAACTCAGTGCTAAACCTAGGGGCGCTAAATATGCTAAATATAATGGGAAGTTATAAGGCACAATAGGAAGAAAGAAGAGCAGGGAACTAGGTAATTGTGTACCTGAGGAAGGCCAAGGTCAAAATTTGATCAGAGTGAAAGTAGTTTGTCACTTCCCTAGCAAAGTCATGCTGACTCTATGAGATGGGGAACAAGCTTGTGCAAGAAGAAATCTGAGTCAGCACAGTACAGGCGAGAACCTAAGAAGGACAGTACAGTAAGGTGAAAGAACTAGGCTTTTAGTATTTTATGTATTAGACTTAAAAATAAAAAATATAAGCTTAAGAAGCTCATAAGAAATGAGCTTACAATAAAATTCTGAACATTTTGACCTCCTGCCTCCACAAACACTCTTGCCTTAGGACCATAGCTGTTACAGGAATGCTTTTCCTTCCAGCTTCTGCCAATTTTAAGTGAAATCCCTTTATGGACTCTTCATTTTTTACCTTGCTGGAGATCATCTCTCCCTTCTTTGAGCCAGTAGCACTTTGTATACTTCGTTTATCTGTGTCACATTTTATGTTAGATTGTATTTTTTAGAGACTCTGGTTGATATTTTTTTTGTATATCTACCCTCTATTTCCACAAGACCAAGAACGAGATCTTATATAAATTAGGTGCCCAATAAATACAAACTATGAAAAAAAGAAATTGTATATCATTATGTAAATTTTTGTCAGTTATAGAGAAAAGCATAAGTAGCAAGGAAAACTTAGTCACTAGAAATAAAGGAGAATTAATCTATAGATTATTGACCCAACAGAAAACTACTGTAAAATTCATTAGTCTGTTTTATCTATGAGCATAATCTACTTAAAGAAGATCTACCCTTTGATCTGGAGCTTTATTTGTAATAATAGTTGGCGCAGAAGGAATCATTTGCACATTTAATCCTTTATAAGTAGCTTTCTTTGATCATTTTGTAGAATTTCCATTTTTATATCTTAGAGTTATGACATATTAAGGGCAATACTTTAAAATATTACTGTTTTGATAGATGCAAAAATCTTCAACAAAATACTAGCTAACGGAATCAAACAGCATACCAAAAAGATAATACATCAGATCAAGTGGGTTTCATACTAGGGATGCAGGGATGGTTTAATACAAGTCAGTAAATGTGATATATCACATAAACAGAATTAAAAACAAAAATCATATCGTCATTTGAATAGACACAGCAAAAGCATTTGATAAAATCCAGCATCTCTTTATGATAAAAACTCTCAACAAGATTGGCATAGAAGGGACATACCTCAAAGTAATAAAAGCCAACTATGACAAAACCACAGCCACCATCATATTGAATGGGGAAAAGTTGAAAGCATTTCCCTTGAGAATTGGAACAAGACAAGGATGCCCACTTTCACCACTTCTGTTTAACATAGTACTGGAAATCCTAGCCACAGCAATCAGACAAGAGAAATAAATAAAGGGCACCCAGATTGGAAAAGAGAAAGTCAAACTGTCACTGTTCATCAATGATGTGATCATATACCTAGAAAGCCCTACCAAAAACCTTCTAGATCTGATAAGTGAATCCAGTAAAGTCTCAGGATACAAAATCAATGTACACAAATCAGTAGGACTGCTATACACCAACAATGATGAAGCTAAGAAATCAAGAACTCAGTCCCTTTTAAAATAGCTGCAAAAAATAATAAAATAATTAGGAATATGCTTAACCAAGGAGGTGGAAGATCTTTACAAGGAGAACTACAAAACACTGCTGAAAGAAATCATAGGTGACAAAAACAAATGAAAACACATCCCAACTTCATGGATGGGTAGAATCAATATTGTGAAAATGACCATACTGCCAAAAGCAATCTACAGATTCAGTGCAATTCCCGTTAAAATACTATTGTCATTCTTCACAGAACTAGAAAAACAATACCAAAATTCATACAGAACCAAGAAAGAGCTTCCATAGCCAAAGCAAGACTAAGCAAAAAGAACAAATCTGGAGGCATCACATTATATACTGCAAGGCTATAGTTACCAAAGCAGCATGGCACTGGTATAAAAATGGGCATGTAGACCGATGGAACAGAATGGAGAGCACAGAAATAAAGTCAAACACTTATAGCCAACTGACCTTCAACAAAGCATACAAAAACATAAAGTTGGGAAAAGGACACCATATTCAATGAATGGTACTGGGAAAATTGGCAAGCCACATGTAGAAGAATGAAAATGGATCCTCATCTCTCACCTTATACAAAAATCAACTCAAGATGAATCAAAGACTCAAATCTAAGACTTGAAACTATAAAAATTCTGGAAGATAACATTGGAAAGACTCTTCTAGACATTGGCTTAGGCAAATAATTCATGACTGAGAACCCAAAAGCAAACGCAACGAGAACAAAAATAAATAAATGGGACCTAACTAAATTAAAAAGCTTCCACACTACCAAAAAAATAATCAACAGAGTAAACAGACAACCCACAGAGTGGGAGAAAATATTCTCCAACTACATATCTGACAAAGGACTAATATCCAGAATCTACAAGGAACTTAAGCAAGTCAACAAGAAAAAAACAAATAATCCCATCCAAAAGTAGGCAAAGGACATGAATAGACAATTCTCAACAGAAGATATACAGACAGCCAACAAACTTATGAAAAATGCTCAACATCACTAATTATCAGGGAAACGCAAATTAAAACCACAATGAGATACCTTACTCCTGCAAGAATGCCCATAATTAAAAAGCCAAAAAATAATAGGTGCTGGTGTGGATGTGGTGAAAAGGGAACACTTTTACACTGCTAGTGGGAATGTAAACTAGTACAACTACTATGGAAAACAAGATAGAGATTTCTTAAAGAACCAAAAGTAGAACTACCATTTGATCTGGCAATCCCACTGCTGAGTATCTACCCAAAGGAAAGGAAGTCATTATATAAAAAAGACACATGCACACACGTTTATAGCAGCATAATTCTTAATTGCAAAAATATGGAACCAACCTAAATGCCCATCAGTCAAGGAGTGGATAAAGAAAATGTATGTACACAGCATGGAATACTATTCAGCCATAAAGTGGAATGAAATAATGGCCCTTGTAGCAACTTGGATGGATCTAGAGGCCATTATTCTAACTGAAGTAACTCAGGAAAGGAAAACCAACTATCATATGTTCTCACTTATAAGTGGGAGCTAAACTATGAGGATGCAAAGGCATAAGAATGATATAAAGGACTTTGGGGACTCAAGGGGAAGGATGGATGGGGGTGAGGGATAAAAGACTACATATTAGGTACAGTGTACTCTGCTAGGGTGGTGGGTGCATCACAATCTCAGAAATCACCACTAAGGAACTTATTCATGTAACCAGAAACCACCTGTACCCCCAAAACTATTGAAATAAAAAATGTACTATTTTGTAACAAATATGATGGGGTCATTAAAACATATTCATCATTAGATTCAGGATCTGCTGGAAAACGTTTAATAAGTTATTTAAACCCTACCCGTATTTTATTTGGGTGTATTTTCATGGCCCAAGTATTATGTTTGAAGTGCTGATTTCATTGGGAATTTTGAAAAGAACCATTTCTACACATACAAAGTTATAGAATGGGAGTCGACTATAGTCACATGGAAGGTTTTCATTAAAATGTCTCTTCCTGTAGATTTACCCCAAAAAGATAGGATTTAATCGTTGAACTCTTATCCTTTATATGAGAAGTGTACTTAATATAGATCAGACTATGCCATTTAATGTCTGAACATATTGTAATGAGTGGCTTTTTTTTTTTTTTTTTTTTTTTGAGACAGAGTTTTGCTCTTGTTGCCCAGGCTGGAGTGCAATGGCACGACCTTGGCTCACCAAAACCTCCGCCTCCTGGGCTCAAGTGATTCTCCTGTCCCAGCCTCCTGAGTAGCTGGGATTACAGGTGTGTGCCACCACACACAGCTAATTTTGTATTTCTAGTAGAGACGGGGTTCCTCTATGTTGGTCAGGCTGGTCTCGAACTCTCGATCTCAGGTGATCTGCTCACCTCGGCCTCCCAAAGTGCTGGGATTATAGGCTTGAGCCACTGAGCCCGGCCATGAGTGGCCTTTAGAATTGACTGAGACCTTGATGGTTATTCATTTCAAGCTCCTATTTAGGGAGAAACCCATTCTCCACATTTCCATTCTCCATTGTGTTAAAGTTAATTCCTCACATGTCCCGATTGAGGTTTTTCAATACCAGTTTGGTCAAACTTTGGATCATGACCATTAATGGGTAGTGAAATCAATTTAGTGGGATGAGGGGTGTTGTGACAAGAGTTTTTTAAAAGAGGAATAGAATAGACAAGAAGAAAAGGTAAGGCCAGGCACAATAGCTCATGCCTATAATCCAATGCTTTGGGAGGCCAAGGTGGGAGGATTGCTAGAGCCCAGGAGTTTGAGAATAGCCTGGGCAACATAGGGAGACTCCATCACTGCAATAAATTAAAAAATTCGCTGGCTGTGGTGGTGGTGGGCACCTGTAGTTCTAGCTACTGGGGAGGCTCAGGTAGTTGGATCACTTCAGCCTAGGAGTTCGAGGCTGCAGTGAACTATGATTGTGCAGCTACACTCCAGCCTGGGTGAAAGAGTGAGACCCTGTCTCAAAAAAAAAAAAAAAAAAAAGAATAGAAGGTAGAGTATTTGTTTCAGTATATACATGTATGTGTGTGTTGGGTCATAATGTAAAAACCTATTTGTTGGCTGGGCGTGGTGGTTCACACCTGTAATCCCAGCACTCTAGGAGGCCAAGGTGGGCAGATCACCTGAGGTCAGGAGTTTAAGACCAGCCTGGCTAACATGGTGAAAACCCGTCTCTACTAAAAATACAAAAATTAGCTGGGCATGATGGAGGGTGCCTGTAATCCCAGCTACTTGGGAAGCTGAGATGGAAGAATCGCTTGAACCTGGGAGGCAGAAGTTGCAGTGAGCCGAGATCGTGCCATTGCACTGCAACATGGGCGACAGAGTGAGACTCCATCTCAAAACAACAACAACTACAACAACAAAACAAAACAAAGTAAAAACAAGGTATTTGTTATTGTAGATCAGGTCAAAAGCTTTTGAGAAATACTCAACTAGACTGCACGATCCTTGTGATAGGAGTCGTATTATAGGTGCTCATTAAATGCTTGTGGAATTATTATATTTGCCTCAGTTGTCAGTTTGTATTAAAAAGTAGGGGCTTGTTTACCCAATCAATTTCTGATTGGACTTATGTGGAGACAGAGGTTTTTCATCAGGGGTGCCTTTAAGTGTACCCCCCCATCCCCCTTATTTAGTCTTCTTTAAGATAAATGGGTTTTAAGACATAGACATGCTCTATATTTCCTCCTTCCTCCTTCACCTTTACCACAGGAGTCATCAAAGACTCTTCGCTGGGTAGTGATTTAGACTTATTCCCTGTCTCATACCCCCTTACAATGTGCATTGAGTGTTTATAATTTATCAGGCAGCAGTATAAGTATTTTATATGTATTAACTCATTCACTCCTCATCATAAGCCTCTAGAAGGTGCTCTGTTATCTCCAATTTACTGATGAGTAAACTAAAACACAAATAGATTAAGTGGATTAAGATCACAGGCTTAGTAAGTGGCCAGAATTTGAACCTAGGCAATCTTTGGGTATCGTAGAAAGAACACAGCACTTATCAAGAGCAGTGAGCTAGGCTAGAGGGCTGGTTGGCTCAGGGAGTTTTGCTCAACCAAGGCTCTTTTTGGGGGCAAGGCTGCTAGAAGGCCTTGCGTCATCTTTTTTTGTATTTCAGATCCCTGAAATTAGGTAAATCTGGAAAATGGACTGAATTTTCATTTTTACTTAATATTTTGATGCTGTGTGGACAAAGCCTGAGATAAGTGACCACATGTCACTTAAGATAAATCCATATTTAGTTTGAAAAGCAATGATCAGAATTGGAAATCTGAAGTATAATCTACTGTATAGGATGCCCCATGGCTAGCATGTGAATAGACACTCAGAGTAAGCAGGGGAGAAAGGGATAATTTATTTATAAGCACACACATATGTATGTGCATATGTATGTGTGTGTATTTATATCAAATTAAAAAGGTAAAAGTGTGTATGTGGGTAAATGATGTTGACAAATATAAGAGGGAAAATGGCCATAAAGGAGCTTGTGGTAGGCAGAATAACGGCCCCCCAAAGGTGTCCACGTCCTAATTCCTGGAACCTGTAAAAATGTTACCCTAAATGGCAAAAGAGACATTGCAGAATTAATTAAGGTTAAGGATCTTCAAATGAGGGGATTTTTTTGCTGGATTATCCAGGTGGGCCCAATCTAATCACACGAGTCCTTAAAAAAATCGGAGAACCTTTCCCAGCTGTGGAGAATCAGCATGGAAACAGATTCTCTCCTAAAGCCTCCAGAAAGGAATGCAGCCCCGCTGACACCTTGATTTTAGCCCAGGGAGGCTGTTAGATTTCTAACTTACAGAACTGTAAGATACTGAATTTGTATTGTTTAAGCCACTGAGTTTGTGCTGATTTGTTACAGCAGCAATAGAAAATGAATATAGGGCTCTTTAGTACTGCCCAAATTATCAAAAAGAGAGTTTCTCTGAAGGTAAGTTTCCTTCCACCTCCTCAAAGAAGCTGAAACTGTTTAGCCTTGAGAAGACAAAGTTAGTAAGGGTAACTTAGCTCTGATCTTCACTATTTAAAAGGTTATCATATGGAAAAAAGATTAGATTATTATGTTGAGTTGGAAGAATTTTAGGACAAGAGTTGAATTTACGGAGATTGTGACAATTATAGCTATCAAAATTGGACTGGGTGGCATTGCAAAATGTAAGCTCCCCTTCTCTGGAAGTGCCCAGAAATAATAATACAGTATATGGCATTTTAAAGCCATTTTGCAGTTTACCAAAAGCTTTATGTTCATAAATCATCCCATTTAATCCTCAACAGTGTGGTGAGTTAGTCCTACTTTTTTCATTTTATGTGTAAGTAAACGAAGGCTAACAGAGCTTAACGTAACTTAACAGAGGGCTCACAGCTAGTTAGTAAGGGCAGAGTTGGGAGTTGAGTGTTGTTTTAGGAGTTGAAGTTCAGTGCCTTTCCTACTGCCTAATTCATTCATTCCTTCCTTCATTCATTTGTTCACATTTATAGAGTGCTTCTTTTGACAAACACCTGGATAGGGCAACAGGAGTAAAGTAATGAACGAAGTAAGTGTGTTGCCTGTCCTTAGCGCTTACGGTCTGAGGAAGGAGAAACTGGGAATTTCACAGAGTGTGACTAACGCTGTGTAGGAGGAAGTAGTGTGTGATCCAAGAACACGTGGAAGGGCTACCAGGTCAGCCTTAGAGGTTAGGGAAGCCTTCTTGGAAGAGGTGGTGTTTAAGAGTGACAAAGAGTGATCCAGAAAAAGATGAACCTGGGCAAGGGCAGGATGGTAGGAAGAATGTCCCACGTGGAGGGAATAGCACACGTGGCAGCACAGAGAGGAGAGAAACTAAATTGACATCTGTCCGAGAATGTCAGAGGGGAGAGTCCTTCCACTAGTGAACAGTTTCGATACATGCCTTCTAAGGCTCCTTCCAACTTTAACATTCAATAAATCTATGAAAAATATCAATTTTTAAATAGGTAACAGACTGCGTGGCTTCATTTGGTGAACTTTTATCATTAGCTTATATATCAGGCATATGTAGATGCAAATCAGGATGCTAAGCACTGAATAAGAGTTTCGAAGTGGAACCAATAGGCTATTCCAGAGGAAAAACAGACTACAGTTTATGGCTGTCCAGTGGTGTGTTGGTAAATATTTAGCAATCACCTTTCCAGAAAAATAAGCTCTGATTTATGGCATTTGCCAATTCCATGGTATAAGCACACCCACCATGGCTAATTTTAAGCTGCCATCACTGCTGTGGAGTTGGGAAGAGATGTGCATGAACACACCATTGTGTAGTATTTTCAGCATACAAATGCAGTAGGCACAAAGAACCGCAAGATTGCAGCATAAACTGTGATGAAATGATTAGGAAGTGATGAATTTTGAGTATTTATTACTTTTGTTCCTATATCATTTATTATAAGTTTATATAATTTATTTATTTTCCTTTTTTTTAGGGACAGGGTCTTGCTCTGTCACCCACGCTGGAATACAGTGGCGTGATCGTAGCTCACTGAAGCCTCGAACTCCTGGGCTCAAGTGATCCTCCTGAGCCTCCCAAGTAGCTAGGACTACAGGCACACACCACCATGCCTGGATAATTATTTTTTATTTTTATTTTTTATTTTTCTGGAGATGAGGTCTCCCTGTGTTGCTAGGCTGATCTTGAACTCCTGGCCTCAAGTGATCCTCCCACCTTGGTCTCCCAAAGTGCTGGGATTATAGACGTGAGCCATGGCACCTGGCCTATAATTTAATTTTTAATAGTAATTGTATTTGACAACTATATCTCAAAATTCCTGAAAATTTAACAATTGGCTCTTGCAAGTTGATACAGGCCAGCTTTAGCACATTACAACCGCTACCCCTGGAAATGCTGCTTAGGGTGTTGCCATTGTGAGAATTGACCTAGTTGTCAAAGGGCTCTCTGTGCTTCTTACAAAGCTTACATATTCCCACACCCAATGTAAATAATGATGTATTGGTTCATAACAGCAGTAGCTGTCAGTTTCATGGGAGTGGAGTAGAAAAGCTCCTATCTACCCTTTCCTCTGAATCCTGTTTTTCAGCTTTGACAGGCTTATGTCTGGCTAAAATAGTCTGTTGCACTTATTTTGTTATTGTGTAGAGGAGATAAAACATGGAGCGGGGAAAATTTTCCTATTTTGTATGAGTTCCTGGCAGAGCAAACAAATGACTATTTTTAGCCACTGGGAACTTAAGGAGTACAGTTTTAAAGTCCATTGTGAAACAATTTCTATGTAATTCCTTTTAAAGCTATTGTGTTCCATTTGATGTTTGTTAATTGCTGAAGGAAAAAGAGTCCTACCTATTTAAAACACAGAAGTCAAGTTCAAGTACAGGAGAAGTGTTAGAAAGGGGAGGGAGTCCCTTTATTATATAGATAAGGAGATTGGTGACAAGTCAGATAAAAAGAATGAGACCTAGTGGGCTAAATCATCATAATAAGAGGCTGGAAGGTGTAGACTGGGAGAAATGAAGAAGGGCTTCCCACCCAAGGAAGAAAGAGTAGTGAATTTTAAGTCGAACTGACTAAAATGCTAGTCAAAGACATAGATCCTTTGAGCTGGGAAAGCATTTAGGATTAATAGTTTCAAGATGGAGACTTTTTAACTTTTAGTTTCAGGGGTCCATGTGCAGGTTTGTTACATAAATAAGTTGCATGTTGCAAGGGTTTGGTGTCTATGTTGTTTTGTCACTCAGGTTTGAGCATAGTACCCAATCAGTAGTTTTTTGAATCCTCACACTCCTCTCACCCTCCATTCTCAAGCAGGCCCCAGTGTCTATTGTTCCCTTCTTTGTGTCCATGTGTACTCAGTGTTTAGCTCCCACTTATAAGTGAGAACATGCCGTGTTTGGTTTTCTGTTCCTGCATTAGTCTGCTTAGGATAATGGCCTCCAATCCATCTATGTTGCTACAAAAGACATGATCTTATTCTTTTTTATGGCTGTGTAGTATTCCATGGTGTATGTGTACCACATTTTCTTTATCCAGTCTACCGTGGATGGACATTTAGGTTGATTCCATGTCTTTGCTATTGTAAACAGTGTTGGTGCAATGAACATATGCATACATGTGTCTTTATAGTAGAATGATTTATATTCCTTTGGGTGTATACCTAATAATGGGATTGCTGGGTCAAATGGTAGTTCTTTGAGAAGTCGTCAAACTGCTTTCTGCAGTGGTTGAACTAATTTACATTTCCACCAGCAGTGTATAAGCATTCCCTTTTCTCTGCAACCTCACCACTATCTGTTATTTTTTTACTTTTCAAAAATAGCCATTCTGACTGGTATGAAATGGTATCTCATTGTGGTTTTGATTTGCATTTCTCTAATGATTAGTGATGTTGAGTATTTTTTCATATGCTTATTGGCTGCATGTATGTCATATTTTGAAAAGTGTTCATGTCCTTTGCCCACTTTTTAATGGGGTTGTTTATTTTTTGCTTGTTAATTTAAGTTCCTTATAGATTCTGGATATTTGACCCTTGTCAGTTGCATAGTTTGCAAGTATTTTCTCCCATTCTGTGGATTGTCTGTTCTGTTGATTAGTTTCTTTTTTTCCTCTGTGCAGAAGCTCTTTAGTCTAATTAGGTCCCATTTGTCAATTTTTGTTTTTGTTGCAGTTGCTTTTGGCATCTTTATCATGAAATCTTTGCCAGTTCCTATGTATAGAATGGTATTGCCTAGGTGATCTTCCAAAGCTTTTATGTTTTGGGTTTTACATTTAAGTCTTTAATCCATCTTGAGTTGATTTTTGTATATGGTATAAGGAAGGGATCCAGTTTTAATCTTCTGCATATGGCTAGCCAGTTATCCCAGCACCACTGATTGAATAGGGAGTCCTTTTCCCATTGCTTTTGTCAGCTTTGTCAAAGATTTGATGCTGGTAGGTGCACAGCATTATTTCTGGGCCCTCTATTCTGTTCCATTGGTGTGTGTCTGTATTTGTTCTAGCACCATGCTTTTTTGGTTACTGTAGCCCCGTAGTATAGTTTGAAGTTGGGTAACAGACTTCACTTAAATTAATTTTGGCAAATTTTTAGGGACGACTTAATTTTTAAAAATTTAAATATAATTTATAGACCATAAAATCTACCATTTTAAAACATATATTTTCATGGTTGTACAATCATCACACTATGTAATTGAGAACATTTTCATCTCCCCACGAAGAAACCTCATACCTATTAGTCACTTCCCAAGCCCTGAAATACACTAATCTGCTTTCTGTCTCTTATGATTTGCCTATTCTGGACATTTCATATAAATAGACTCATATAATATATGGGCTTTGTATCTAGCTTCTTTTACTTAGCAGAATATTTTCAAGGTTCATCCATGTTGAATATATATCAGTGGCCAAATAATACTCTATTGTATGTATATACCATGTTTTCTTTATTCATCAGCTGATGGGCATTTTTGCAACTTATTCATCAGCTGATGGGTTGTTTGCAACTTTTTGGCTATTATGAATAATGCTGCTGTGAACATTTGTGTACATTTTTGTGTGAACATGTTTTCAATTATCTTGGATCTAAGAGTAGAATTGCTGGATCATATGGTAGATGTGTTTTACTTTTTGAGGAAATCCCGAACTGATTTCTGGCTATACCATTTTACATTCCCACCAGCAGTATATGGAGGTTCTAGTTTCTCCACATCTCTTTATACACTCTCCAGCACTTGTTATTTTATTTTATTTGTTTTTTACTATAGCTGTCCTAGTGAATGTGAAGTGATATCTCATGCTTTTGATTTGTATTTTCTTGATAACTAATGATGCTGAACATCTTTTCATGTGCTTATTGGCCATTTGTATATTTTCTTTGGGAAAATTTATTCAAATTCTTTGCCCATTTTAAAATTGGGTTGTCTCTTTATTCTTGAGTTGTAAGAATTCTTTACATGTTCTTGATAGTAGGCCCTCATTAACTATATGATTTGCAAATATTTTCTCCAAGTCTGTGGGTTATTTTTCACTTTCTGGATAGTGTCCTTTAAAGCACAAATGTTTCTTATTTTAAAGTCCATGTATCTATTTTTCCTTTGGTTGCTCATGCTTTAGGTGTCATATCTAAGAAACTGTTGCCTAATCTAACATCGCAAAGATTTACCTCTATGTTTTCTTCTAGAAGTTTTATAGTTTTAGCCCTTACAATTAGGTCTTTGATCTATTTTGAGTTAAGTTTTGTATATGGTGTGAGATATGGGTCTACATTTATTCTTTTGTGTGTAGATATCCAGTTATCCCAGCACCATTTGCTGAAAAGACTGTTCTTTGCTCACTGAATTGTCTTGGTACCTACCCTTGTCAAAATTCAATTAGTCACTTGTTTTTTACATGTATATAGTCTCATTTCTGGACTCTCAATTCTGTCCTATGATCTATATGTCTGTTGTAGGCCAGTACCACAGTGTTTGGATTACTATAGTTTTGAAGTAAGCTTTAAAATCATTAAGTATGAGTGCTGTAACTTTGTTCTTTTTCAAGATTGTTTTTGCTATCGTAAATCCTTTCATTTTCATATGAACTTTACAATTATCTTGTCAATTTCTACAAATAGGTAGATGGAATTTCAATAGGGATTACACTGAATTGGTAGATCAGTTTGGGGAGTATTGATTCTTCCAATACATGAAGACAAAATGTATTTCCATTTGTTTCTTTAATTCCTTTCAATGAAGTTTTATAGTTTCATGTGTACAAGTCTTGCACTTATTCTGTTAATTTATTCTTTTTATACTATTGGATTGAATTGTTTACTTCATTTCATTTTCAGATTGTTCATTGTGAATGTGTAGAACTACAACTGATTTTTTATATATTGATCTTCTATAACCTTGCTAAACTCACTTATTAGCTGGTGTGTGTGTGTGTGTGTGTTGGGGGGTGTTTCTGTGTATGTATGTATTCCTTAGGATTTTTTCCATACAGGATCATGTCACTTTGCAAATAGAGATAATTTTTTCTTCTGCCATCATAATCTGGATGCAGTTTATTTTACTTTCTTGTTTAATTGTGCTGTAGTGTAGGACCTCCAGTACAATCTTAAATAGAAATGGTGAAAGTAGATATTCTTGTCTTATTCCTGATTTTAGAGGAAAGCTTTCAATCTTTCACCGTTAAGTATGATGTTACTTATGTTTTTTTAAAATTATATTTTAAGTTCTGGGGTACATGTGCAGAACGTGTAGGTTTGTTACATAGGTATACACGTGCCATGGTGGTTTACTGCACCCATCAACCCATCATCTACATTAGGTATTTCTCCTAATGCTATCCCTCCCCTAGCCCCCCACCCCACGACAGGCCCTGGTGTGTGATGTTCCCCTCCCTGTGTCCATGTGTTCTCATTGTTCAACTCCCACTTATGAGTGAGAACATGTGGTGTTTGGTTTTCTGTTCCTGTGTTAGTTTGGTGAGAATGATGGTTTCCAGCTTCATCCATGTCCCTGCAAAGGACATGAACTCATCCTTTTTTATGGCTGCATAGTATTCCATGGTGTATATGTGCCACATTTCTTTATCCAGTTTGTCATTGATGGATATTTGGCTTGGTTCCAAGTCTTTGCTATTGTGAATAGTGCCACAATAAACCTACGTGTGCATGTGTCTTTATAGTAGCGTGATTTATAATCCTTTGGGTATATACCCAGTAATGGGATTGCTGGGTCAAATGGTATTCCTAGTTCTAGATCCTTGAGGAATTGCCACTCTGTCTTCCACAATGGTTGAACTAATTTACAGTCCCACCAACAGTGTAACAGCGCTCCTATTTCTCCACATCCTCTCTAGTATCTGTTGTTTCCTGACTTTTTAATGATCGCTATTCTAACTGGCATGAGATGGTATCTCATTGTGGTTTTGATTTGCGTTTCTCTAATGACCAGTGATGATGAGATTTTTTCATGTTTGTTGGCTGCATAAATGTCTTCTTTTGAGAAGTGTCTGTTCATATCCCTTGCCCACTTTTTGATGGGGTTGTTTTTTCTTGTAAATTTAAGTTCTTTGTAGATTCTAGATATTAGCCCTTTGTCAGATAGGTAGATTGCAAAAATTTTCTCCCATTCTGTAGGTTGCCTGTTCACTCTGAGGATAGTTTCTTTTGCTGTGCAGAAGCTCTTCAGTTTAATTAGATCCCATTTGTCAATTTCGGCTTTTGTTGCCATTGCTTTTGGTGTTTTAGTCATGAATTCTTTGCCCGTGCCTATGTCCTGAATGGTATTGGCTAGGTTTTCTTCTAGGGGTTTTATGGTTTTAGGTCTTACGTTTAAGTCTTTAATTCATCTTGAGTTAATTTTTGTATAAGGTATAAGGAAGGGGTCCAGTTTCAGTTTTCTGCATATGGCTAGCCAGTTTGCCCAACACCATTTATTAAATAGGGAATCCTTTCCCCATTGCTGTTTGTGTCAGGTTTGTCAAAGATCAGATGATTGTAGATGTGTGGTGTTATTTCTGAGGCCTCTGTTCTGTTCCATTGGTCTATATATCTGTTTTGGTACCAGTACCAGGCTGTTTTGGTTACTGTAGCCTTGTATATAGTTTGAAGTTAGGTAGTGTGATGCCTCCAGCTTTGTTCTTTTTGCTTAGGATTGTCTTGGCAATGTGGGCTCTTTTTTGGTTCCATATGAAATTTATTTTTTTTCCAGTTCTGGGAAGAAAATCAATGGTAGCTTGATGGGGATAGCACTGAATCTATAAATTACTTTGGGCAGTATGGCTCTTTCATGATATTGATTCTTCCTATCCATGAGCATGGAATGTTTTTTCATTTATTTGTGTCCTCTCTTATTTCCTCGAGCAGGGTTTGTAGTTCCCCTTGAAGAGGTCCTTCACATCCCCTGTAAGTTGTTTTCTTAGGTATTTTATTCTCTTTGTAGCAATTGTGAATGGGAGCTCACTCATGATTTGGCTCTCTGTTTGTCTGTTATTGGTGTATAGGAATGCTTGGGTTTTTAATAGATGACTTTTATCAGTTTGAGGAAGTTCCCCACTATTACTTGTTTGCTGAGTGCTTTTTTCTTTTAAAATTACAATAGGTTATTGGTTTTTGTCAAATGTTTTTTTTCTGCATATATCAAAATGATATGTTTATTTTACCATTTATTGTATTAATAATGTGTTGGATTATTGCATTAATATAGTATACTACATTGATTTTTATTTGTTGAACCTACCTTGTATTTCTGAGATCAGTTCCACTTGGTCTTAGTGTGTATCCTTTTTATATGCTGCTGAATTCAGTTGGCTAGTATTTTGTTGAGACTTTTGCATTTATACTCATAAGGGAAATTGGTCTACAAAAGTTGTGTGTGTGTGTGAGATGTCTTTGACTGGTTTTGGTATCACTGTAGTACTGACCTCAGTCTAATCACTTTATTTTTGAAAGTTAGTTTTGCTGGATTTAGAATTCTTGGTTGATAGGTTATTTGTTTTTTCCTTTCAGAACTTTGAATATATTGGCCATGTGTGGTGGCTCATGCCTGTAATCCCAGTACTTTGGGAGGCAAAGGCAGGCAGATCACTTGAGCCCAGGAGTTCGAGACCAGCCTGGGCAATACGGTGAGACCCCATCTCTACAAAAATTAGCTGGGCATGGTGGCATGTGCCTGTAGTCCCAGCTACTCAGGAGGCTGAGGTGGGAGGATCACTTGAGCCCAGAGAGGTCAAGGCTGCAGTGAGCTGTGATCATGCTACTACACTCCAGCCTGGGTGACATAGTGAGACCCTGTCTCAAGAAAAAGAAAAAGAAAGAACTTTGAACATGTCATCGAATTTCCTTCTGGCCTCCATGGTTTCTGTTGACAATTTAGTTGTTAATCTTTTGGAGGATATTGAGGATCCTTTGTATGTGATAAGTTGCTTCTCTCTCACTGCTTTCAAGGTTCTCTTTGATTTTGTTTTTTGACAGTTTGAATAATATGTGTCTATGTATGATCTTTTTGAGTTTATGCCACTCAGAGTTTTTTTGAGCTTCTTGGATGTGCAGACTAATGTTTTTCACTAAATGTAGAAATTTTTGGCCATTATTTCTTCAAATATTATTTCTTCCCCTTTATGTTTCTTCTCTCCCTTGGGTTATGCATATGTTGATACATTGATGGTATCCCACAGGTGTCTCTGAATCTATGTTATTTTTTATTTTTTGTTTGTAATATGTGGAATTAATTTATTATAATGAGTATCAATAATATACAAAAATAAGAAATATTGATAATTTTGTATGCTATGCAAAACTATTCATACATGAAGATAAATCAATGCTTCCTCTAAAAACTGATATGGTAAAAATAATTACTTGTTTTTTTAATTTGGGGGATGCTACCTAACATAAAAAAAATGAAATATCAGCCGGGCGCAGTGGCTCATGCCTGTAATCCTAGCACTTTGGGAGGCCGAGGCAGGTGGATCACAAGGTGAGGAGATCGAGACCATCCTGGCTAACACGGTGAAATCCTGTGTCTACTAAAAATATAAAAAATTAGCCGGGCGTGGTGGTGGGCACCTGTAGTCCCAGCTACTCGGGAGGCTGAGGCAGGAGAATGGCGTGAACCTGGGAGGCGGAGCTTGCAGTGAGCCGAGATCACGCCACTGCACTCCAGCCTGGGTGACAGAGTGAGACTCCATCTCAAAAAAAAAAAAAATGAAATATCACACAGGCTTATTTTAAAAAAATAATTTTTACATGATTGTCCAATCCTAGAGGCAAGATCAAACTTAATTAACATCAGTAGAGATTCCTTAAACACATTAAATTTTGTAAAGTACCTTCTGGGTGACATTATCTGCTATTATACAAAACAGACGGAGAATAAACTAAATTCAAGTCTAATCATAGAAGCACCAGCAATTAAAATTGTTTTCAAATAATTTACAAATACATGTACTGCATAAATTCATTTTTTGCACACAATACACAGCATTAGAATTATAAGAAAGACAAAGTGTATGGCAAAGTTAAATTAGAGGATAACTGCAGTTGTTCCTGAGTGTTCCTTCCCTCTGTAATTTGCATATGATCATATACATGGGATTTATTTCAGCAATCTCCTGGAAAATCAAGTTCACTTCTTTTTTTTTGTCCTTCCTTTTTCTTTTTCTTTTCTTTTTCAAAAAAAATTTTTTATTATACTTTAAGTTCTAGGGTACATGTGCACAACATGTAGGTTTGTTACATAGGTATGCGTGAACCATGTTGGTTTGCTGCACCCACTAACTTGTCATTTACATTAGGTATTTCTCCTAATGCTATCCCTCTCCCAGCCCCCCACCCCATGACAGGCCCCAGTGTGTGATATTCCCCGCCCTGTGTTCAAGTGTTCTCATTGTTCACTTCCCATCCATGAGTGAGAACATTTGGTGTTTGGTTTTCTGTCCTTATGATAGTTTGCTGAGAATGATGGTTTTCAGCTTCATCCATGTGCCTGCAAAGGACATCAACTCATCCTTTTTTATGGTTGCACAGTATTCTATGGTGTTTATGTGCCACATTTTCTTAATCCAGTCTATCATTGATGGACATTTGGCTTGGTTCCAAGTCTTTCCTATTGTGAATAGTGCCACAATAAATATACATGTGCGTGTCTCTTTATAGTAGCATGATGTATAATCCTTTGGGTATATACCCAGTAATGGGATCGCTGGGTCAAATGTTATTTCTAGTTCTAGATCCTTGAGGAATCACCACACTGTCTTCCACAATGGTTGAACTAGTTTACACTCCCACCAACAGTGTAACAGCGTTCCTGTTTCTCCACATCCTCTCCAGTATCTGTTGTTTCCTGACTTTTTAATGATCACCATTCTAACTGGCATGAGATGGTATCTCATTGTGGTTTTGATTTGCATTTCTCTAATGACCAGTGATGATGAGATTTTTTTTCATATGTTTGTTGGCTGCAAAAATGTCTTCTTTTGAGAAGTGTCTGTTCATATCCTTTGCCCACTTTTTGATGGGGTTGTTTGTTTTTTTTCTTGTAAATTTGTTTAAGTTCTTTGTAGATTCTGGATATTAGCCCTTTGTCAGATGGGTAGATTGTAAAAATTTTCTCCCATTCTGTAGGTTGCCTGTTCACTCTGAGGGTAGTTTCTTTTGCTGTGCAGAAGCTCTTCAGTTTAATTAGATCCCATTTGTCAATTTCGGCTTTTGTTGCCATTGCTGTTGGTGTTTTAGTCATGAATTCTTTGCCCATGCCTATGTCCTGAATGGTATTGGCTAGGTTTTCTTCTAGGGTTTTTATGGTTTTAGGTCTAACATTTAAGCCTTTAATCCATCTTGAGTTAATTTTTGTGTAAGGTGTAAGGAAGGGATGCAGTTTCAGCTTTCTACATATGGCTAACCAGTTTTCCCAGCACCATTTATTAAATAGGGAATCCTTTCCCCATTTCTTGTTTTTGTCAGGTTTGTCAAAGATCAGATGGTTGTAGATGTGTGGTGTTATTTCTGAGGCCTCTGTTCTGTTCCATTGATCTATATCTCTGTTTTGGTACCAGTACCAGGCTGTTTTGGTTACTGTAGCCTTGTATATAGTTTGAAGTCAGGTAGTGTGATGCCTCCAGCTTTGTTCTTTTTGCTTAGGATTGTCTTGGCAATGTGGGCTCTTTTTTGGTTCCGTATGAACTTTAAAGTAGTTTTTTCCAATTCTGTGAAGAAAGTCATTGGTAGCTTCATGGGGATGGCATTGAATCTATAAAATTACCTTGGGCAGTATGGCCATTTTCACAATATTGATTCTTCCTATCCATGAGCATGAAATGTTCTTCCATTTGTTTGTGTCCTCCTTTATTTCGTTGAGCAGTGGTTTGTAGTTCTCCTTGAAGAGGTCCTTCACATCCCTTGTAAGTTGGATTCCTAGGTATTTTATTCTCTTTGTAGCAATTGTGAATGGGAGTTCACTCATGATTTGGCTGTTTGTCTGTTATTGGTGTATAGGAATGTTTGTGATTTTTGCACATTGATTTTGTATCCTGAGACTTTGCTGAAGTTGCTTATCAGCTTAAGGAGATTTTGGGCTGAGACGATGGGGTTTTCTAAATATACAATCATGTCATCTGCAAACAGGGACAATTTGACTTTCTCTTTTCCTAATTGAGTACCCTTCATTTCTTTCTATTGCCTGCTTGCTCTGGCCAGAACTTCCAATACTTTGTTGAATAGGAATGGTGAGAGAGGGCATCCCTGTCTTGTGCAGGTTTTCAAAGGGAATGCTTCCAGTTTTTGCCCATTCAGTATGATAGTGGCTGTGGGTTTGTCATAAATAGCTCTTATTATTTTGAGATACATTCCATCAGTGCGTAGTTTTTTGAGAGTCTTTAGCATGAAGGGCTGTTGAATTTTGTCAAAGTCCTTTTCTGCATCTATTAAGATAGTCATGTGGTTTTTGTCATTGGTTCTGTTTATGTGATGGATTACATATAGTGATTTGGGTATGTTGAACCAGTCTTGCATCCCAGGGATGAAGCCAACTTGATCGTGGTGGATAAACTTTTTGATGTGCTGCTGGATTCAGTTTGCCAGTATTTTATTGAGGATTTTAGCATTGATGTTCATCAGGGATATTGTTCTAAAATTCTCTTTTTTTGTTGTGTCTCTGCCAGGCTTTGGTATCAGGATGATGCTGGCCTCATAAAATGAGTTAGGGAGGATTTTCTCTTTTTCTATTGATTGAAATCGTTTCAGAAGGAATGGTACCAGCTCCTGTTCATACCTCTGGTAGAATTCCACTGTGAATCCGTCTGGTCCTGGACATTTTTTGGTTGGTAGGCTGTTTATTATTGCCTCAATTTCAGAGCCTGTTATTGGTCTATTCAGAGATTGAACTTCTTCCTTGTTTAGTCTTGGGAGGGTGTATGTGTCCAGGAATTTATCAATTTTTTCTAGATTTTCTATTTTATTTGCATAGAGATGTTTACAGTATTCTCTGATGGTAGTTTGTATTTCTGTGTCATCGGTGGTGCTATCCCCTTTATCATCTTTATTGTGTCTATTTGATTCTTCTCTGTTTTCTTCTTTATTAGTCTTGCTAGCGGTCCATCAATTGTGTTGATCTTTTCAAAAAACCAGCTCCCAGATTCATTGATTTTTTGAAGGGTTTTTTGTGTCTCTATCTCCTTCAGTTCTGCTCTGATCTTAGTTATTTCTTGCCTTCTGCTAGTTATTGAATTTGTTTGCTCTTGCTTCTCTAGTTCTTTTAATTGTAATGTTAGGGTGTCAATTTTAGATCTTTCCTGCTTTCTCTTGTGGGCATTTAGTGCTATAAGTTTCCCTCTATACACTGCTTTAAATGTGTCCCAGAGATTCTGGTACGTTTTGTCTTCGTTCTCATTGGTTTCAAAGAACATCTTTATTTCTGCCTTCATTTCGTTATTTACCCAGTAGTCATTCAGAAGTAAGTTGTTCAGTTTCCATGCACTTTTCAGGATTTGAGTGAGTTTCTTAATCCTGAGTTCTAATTTGATTGCACTGTCATATGAGAGACAGTTTGTTGTGATTTCTGTTCTTTTACATTTGCTGAGGAGAGCTTTGCTTCCAACTATGTGGTCAATTTTGGAATAAGTGTGATGTGGTGCTGAGAAGAATGTATATTCTGTTGATTTGGGGTGGAGAGTTCTGTAGATGACTATTTAGTTGGCTTGGTGCACAGCTGAGTTCAAGTCCTGGATATCCTTGTTAACTTTCTGTCTCGTTGATCTGTCTAATATTGACAGTGGGGTGTTATAGTCTTCTGTTATTATTGTGTGGGAGTCTAAGTCTCTTTGTAGTTCTCTAATGACTTGCTTTATGAATCTGGGTGCTCTGGTATTGGGTACATATATAATTAGGATAGTTAGCTCTTCTTGTTGAATTGATCCCTTTACCATTATGTAGTGGCCTTCTTTGTCTCTTTTGATCTTTGTTGGTTTAAAGTCTGTTTTATCAGAGACTAGGATTGCAACCCCTGCTTTTTTTTTTGTTTTCCATTTGCTTGGTAGATCTTCCTCCATCCCTTTATTTTGAGCCTATGTGTGTCTCTGCACGTGAGATGGGTTTCCTGAATACAGCACACTGATGGGTCTTGACTCTTTATCTCATTGGCCAGTCTGTGTCTTTTAATTGGGGCATTTAGCCCATTTACATTTAAGGTTAATATTGTTATGTGTGAATTAGATCCTGTCATTATGATGTTAGCTGGTTATTTTGCCTGTTAGTTGATGCAGTTTCTTCCTAGCATTGATGGTCTTTACAATTTGGCGTGTTTTTGCAGTGGCTGGTACTGGTTGTTCCTTTCCGTGTTTGGTGCTTCCTTCAGGAGCTCTTTTAGGGCAGGCCTGGTGGTGACAAAATCTCTCAGCATTTGCTTGTCTAGAAAGGATTTTATTTCCTCTTCACTTGTGAAGCTTAGTTGGCTGGATATGAAATTCTGGGTTGAAAATTCTTTTCTTTAAGAATGTTGAATATTGGCTCTCACTCTCTTCTGGCTTGTAGAGTTTCTGCTGAGAGATCTGCTGTTAGTCTGATGGGCTTCCCTTTGTGAGTAACCTGACCTTTCTCTCTGGCTGCCCTTAACATTGTTTTCCTTCAATTCAATCTTGGTAAATCTGACAATTATGTGTCTTGGGGTTGCTCTTCTCAAGGAATATCTTTATGGTGTTCTCTGTATTTCCTGAATTTGAATGTTGGCCTGCCTTGCTAGGTTGGGGAAATTCTCCTGGATAATATCCTGAAGAGTGTTTTCCAACTTGGTTCCATTCTCCCTGTCACTTTCAGTTTCACCAATCAAACGTAGATTTGGTCTTTTCACCTAGTCCCATATTTCTTGGAGGCTTTGTTCATTTCTGTTTACTCTTTTTTCTCTAAACTTCTCCTCTTGCTTTATTTCATTCATTTGATCTTCAGTCACTGATACCCTTTCTTCCACTTGATCAAATCGGCTACTGAAGCTTGTACATGCATCATGTAGTTCTTGCGCCATGGTTTTCAGCTCCATCAGGTCATTTAAGTTCTTTTCTACACTGTTTATTCTAGTTAGCTATTCGTCTAATCTTTTTTCAAGGTTTTTAGCTTCCTTGCGATAGGTTCAAACATCCTCATTTAGCTTGGAGAAGTTTCTTATTCCTGACCTTCTGAAGCCTACTTCTGTCAACTTGTCAAAATCATTGTCTGTCCAGCTTTGTTCTGTTACTGGCGAGGAGCTGCAATCCTTTGGAGGAGAAGAGGTGCTCTGGTTTTTAGAATTTTCAGCTTTTCTATTCTGGTTTCTCCCCATCTTTGTGGTTTTTATCTACCTTTGGTCTTTGATGTTGGTGACCTACAGATGGGGTTTTGGTGTGGATATCCTTTTTGTTGATGTTGATCCTATTCCTTTCCGTTTGTTGGTTTTCCTTTTAACAGTCAGATCCCTTAGCTGCAGGTGTGTTGGAGTTTGCTGGAGGTCTACTCCAGACCGTGTTTCCCTGGGGATCACCAGCAGAGGCTGCAGAACAACAAAGATTGCAGAACAGCAAATATTTCTGCCTGATCCTTCTGGAAGCTTTGTTCCAGAGGGGCACCTGCCTGTATGAGGTGTCAATCAGCCCCCTACTGGAAGGTGTCTCCAGTTAGGCTACACAGGGGTCAGGGACCCACTTGAGGAGGTAGTCTGTCCGTTCTCAGAGCTCAAACACCATGCTGGGAGAACCACTGCTCTCTTCACAGCTGTGAGACGGGGACGTTTAAGTCTGCAGAAGTTTCTGCTGCCTTTTCTTCAGTTATGCCCTGCCCCCAGACGTGGAGTCTACAGAGGCAGCAGGCCTTGGTGAGCTGTGGTGCGCTCTGCCCAGTTCAAGCTTCCCTGACTGCTTTGTTTACCTACTCAAGCCTCAGCAATGGTGGACGCCCCTCCCCCTGCCAGGTTGCTGCCTCACAGATCCTTCTCAGACTGCTGTGCTGGCAGTGAGCAAGGCTCCATAGGCGTAGGACCTATCCAGCCATGCAGGGGATATAATCTCCTGGTGTGCCGTTTGCTAAGACCATTGGAAAAGTACAGTATTTAGGCAGGAGTGTCCTGTTTTTCCAGGTATGGTCTGTCACAGTTTCCCTTGGCTAGGAAAGGGAAATCCCTCGACCCCTGCACTTCCTGGGTGAGGCAACGCCTCGCCCTGCTTCGGCTCGCCCTCCATGGGCTGCACCCACTGTCCAACCCATCCCAATGAGATGAACCAGGTACCTCAGTTGGAAATGCAGAAATCACCCATCTTCTGCGTTGATCACAGTGGGAGCTGTAGACCAGAGCTGTTCCTATTCGGCCATCTTGGAATGGGATCCTGTGTTGTTTTTTTTTAATTGTTTACTTTTTGTCCCTCAAACTAGCTAATCTCAATCAATCTTCAGGTTTACTATTTCTTCTGCCTGCTCAAAACTGCAGTTGAGCCGCTGTAGTGAAGTTTTCATTTTAGTTATTATGCTTTTTAACTCCAGAATTGCTATTTAATTTAAAAAAATAATTTATGTATCACTAAGGTTTGAATGTGTCTCCCAAAAGTTTATGTGCTGGAAAGTTAATTGTCATTGTAACAGTATTAAGAGTTAGGACCTTTAAGAGGTGATTAGGTCATAAGAGCTCTGCCCTCATGAATATATTAATGCTATTATCATGGTTTAGTTATTACAGCCTTGGGGCTCCTGATAAAATGATGAGTTTGGCCTGGTTTCCTCACTCTCTCTTGCATGCTTGCTTACCATGTGATGCCTTCCACCATGAGATGATATTCACCAGGTGCTAGTGCCATGCTCTTCGACTTCCTAGTCTCTAGAACCATGAGCCAAATAAGCTTCTGTTCTTTAGAAATTATTCAGCCTGTGGTATTCTGTTATAGCAGCAGAAAATGGACTAAAACATATATATTTATTGATCATCTATATTTGGTGTAATATAATATATTTATACCTTTATACTTTCTTTTAGTTCTTTTCTTTTCTTTCTTTTTTTTTTTCTTTTTTTTTTTTTTGGAGATAGCTTCTTGCTTTGTCACCCAAGCTGGAGTGTAGTAGTGTGATCATAGCTCACTGAAGCCTCAAACTCCTGAGCTCAAGTAATCCTCCCACCTTAGTCTCCCAAGTAGCTCAGACCATATGTGCATGCCACCATGCCTGGCTGATTCTTTACATTACTAGAGATAGGGTCTAGCTCTGTTGCCAAGGCTGGTCTTGAACTCCTGGGATCAAGCAGTTCTTCCCCCTCAGCTTCCCAAAGTGCTGGGTTTATAGGCGTGAGCCACCATGCCCAGCCTCTTTTAGTTCTTTAGACATGGTTTCTTTCAGCACTTTGAACATATTTAAAACGGTTCATTTAAAGTCTTTGTCTAGTAAGTTCAACATTTGGGCCTCCTTAGGGCAGTTTCCACTGATTACTTTGTTTTCCTTCTGTATGGGCCATGTTTGCTTGTTTTCTTTCCCATATCTCATAATTTTTTGTTGAAAATTGGACATTTTATATGTGGCAACTCTGGAAATAAGATACTCTCCCCTCCCCAGGGTGTTTTGTTGCTGCTGGTTGTAGTGGTAGTAGTTTGGTGACCTTTCTGAACTACTTGTCTGAAGACTATAATCTATATTGTTTGTGACCATTGAAGTGTCTACTTGTTTATCTTGGTGGTCAGCTAATGATTGGAAAAGATTTCCTCCAATGCCTAGAAGCAATAAATCACCCATTCTTTGCCAAGGAACTCTACGTGCATGTTGGGCTACACTTGCAACACTAAGCAAGGTGGTTGACAACTTACCTTAGCCTTCACTTCCTGCTTGTGCAGAGCTTCCAGGTCAGCCAGAGATTAGAGTTTAGGAGCTTCTCAAGTCTTTCCTGTGCATGCATATAGCCCTATGTGTGTGTGTAGCTTCCTAGATTCCTAGGAATATGTTGGAGTTTTTCAAAGCCCCTACAGAGATCTAATTTTCCAGCTTTTTCTTTTAAACTTTTTGGTTAGTCTGTTGTTGCTCCAAGTGTTATCAACTGCCTTGGGCAACTGTGAAGTTAAAACACCTGCTTGTAATTATTTTCAACAATTACAAATCCCTGGGAAGGAGGCATTTTGTACTGGCAAGCCCTGAGTTAGGCCAAATACAGACTGACTTATAAGTGGGTTATTCCAGGGAACCACTAGATGGTAAAATAATGACAGTTCTTGGGAATGAACATTTGAAAGAGCCCTAGCTCCATTTTCCTTTCTCCAGTAGCTGTTAAGCTGCACCAGGATTGTGGGTTATTACTTTTCACGATTATTTTTATTGTGGAGATAAGGGAGTCAGAGATGGGACTAAGGCAAGTTAAAATGCCACGAAGCTTGTTGTTCTTACTGATATTCATTCATTCACACATGCATGCTTTTTGGGTTACTGCAAGCCTTTAGTTAATATCTAGAGTTATGAAAAAGTTTATTCTGATTTTTTTTGCCATTTTTTCATTGCTTTTGTGGATGAGAAAAATTTTGGAGATCCTTAATCTGCCATTTTTGCTGATGGTATTCCACAGCTCAACTTTTAAATATAATTTTTTAGTCTTCATCTTATTTGAAAATTTTGAGCCATTTGGCTTTTGACCAATCTTCCCTTCAAGAAATGACCTCCTTGCTGCCTTTATGGACACCGTTTCCATTCTTCAGTCCACTGAAGACTTCCTCTGATTATCCTTTAGAAGTTAATGTTATTCAGAATTCTTTTCTTGGTTCTCTTGTTTCCATTCTACATATCCTTCCTGGATGATCTCACCTATATGCATGACTTCAGGTGCCTTTTCTATGAAGTAACTCTCTTTCTCTCTCTCTCTCTTTTTTTTTTTTTTTTTTTTTGAGACTGGGTCTCACTGTGTCACTCAGGCTGGAGTCCAGTGGCATGATCACAACTCACTGCAGGCTTGACCTCCTGGGCTCAGGTGATCCTCCTATGTCAGCCTCCTGAGTAGCTGGGACTACAGGTGTGTCACCACGCCTAGCTAATTTTTGTACTTTTTGTAGAGACGGGGTCTTGCCATAGTGCCCTGACTGGTCTCAAACTCTTGGGCGCAAGCAGTCCACCAGCCTCTGCCTCCCAAAGTGCTAGGATTACAGTCATGAGCCACTGTGCCCGGCCTCTGTGAAATAACTCTTAAATTCATGTTTTCTACCTAGATTTCTCCTTGTCTCTGGTCCTAAATATCCACTACCTCTTACAACTCCATTTTGGTGTAATTAAGACAAAGCAAACTTGGCACATCCCAAACTGAACTGGTTATTTTACTCCAGATCTGTTCTTCCTCCTGTCTTTACTGTCTCAGTAAATGGCTGCTATCTA
The DNA here is from genome assembly GCF_000001405.40 of Homo sapiens. NCBI lineage: Eukaryota > Metazoa > Chordata > Mammalia > Primates > Hominidae > Homo > Homo sapiens. The sequence continues at coordinate 8,486,940 of NC_000011.10, read as the reverse complement.
TCTCAGTTTTCAATGTATTGACTTTTCTCTTTCCCTCATCAGGTCATAACTGATTAGTTACCAAGTTCTATCACTATACATCTTAAATACCTCTAGAATTTGTCTACTTTTCCCATCCCTGATTCTGCTTTCCTAGTTAAGGCCACAATTTCATCTTGCTTAAAACAATTGTAATGATTTGCTGCTTTACATCTCCTGCCTTGTCCTGCCTTCTATACATTCTCTATACTGAAGGTAGAATGTGCTTTCCAAAAAGCACATCTTATTATGTCATTCTCTCACCTGATAAACAGTGACTAACAACATAAACACCATCTCTGCCTTCAGGGAGCTTTGGGTATAGTGAAGGATACAGACAAGGAGGTGACCAAGTACAATTCAGAGTATGATATAGTAAGTGTACATAGGAGAGGCAGAGACTCAACCAAGACTCAAGATTTTAAGAGAATTTCAGGGGAGATGATGTCTAAGCTAAGATTTGCAGGAAGAGTAGGAATTATACAGATGAAGAGAGGAATGGGAAAGAGTGTTCCAGGCTGAGAGTACACATAAGAAGGCCTAGAGAAAGCACTGGATTCCAGGAAATGAAAGAAGTTCTGTATGTTGGCAAATTTTGTTAAGGAAGTAGTATGAGTTAAGCCTGAAGAAGTAAGCTGAGACCATATCACACAGGCTCCTGTATGTCATGTTAAGGGATCACTTTAATCTCAGTGCTTTTGGGAGCCACTGAAGTGGTTTTTGTTGGGAAGAAATATGATCAGATTTGCATATTAGAAAGAGTATTCTGGCTAGAGTATGGAGAAAGCTTTGAGAGTATGGAGATCAGATGGCTTAGTTGGAGTCAGGTTGACCAGTTAGGAAACTCTTGCAGTAATCCAGGCAAGAGATGATAGTGGTGTGGACTAGGATTGTGATATTTGGAATAGAGAAAACTGATGGATTTGAGAAGTGTTTTAGAAATAGAATGGACTTGTCAATGTTGAATGTGGAGACTGAGGGAGAGGGAGAAGCTAAACAAAATTGTTTGCATTATTTAGTTAATAAAGCTATCTATTTCAATAGCTATTTAGAACATAAAGCTATTATATGTTTTCAAGTATGTACATATATTACTGACGAGAAAGTAGTGTTTTGTAGTTTTCTTTGAAAAATTATGCCTGATGTAAGTCTAATGACTTAAGCTCCACTAAGTAGAGTTTACTGTTCATTTGGCAAAAGCTATACAGCCAATGACTGAGTCAACTTATTTATTTCTGTGAGCCTAGCCTTGTATTTCCTATTGAGATTCAGTGATTAAACTGGTCAACTTTATAGTCAACTTTTTCTTTTCTGTTATAAGCATAAAGCTACATGAAATTGTTGCTGTTAGTTTTCCAAGGCTACACAAAGATGTTTCTACTCTGGACTTTTCACAATAAAGCAACCAATAGAACATTTTTGCAATTTTCTGTTTGTAGTATAGTGGAATATCTGACTAAAGTCCTGCTGATTTTAGGTTCAGTTTGACTTGGTCACTTTTTAATAAGACAAATTTATGTCTACATGACTTTTGTTATCTGGTTAAAAAGTGTGCTTTGAAACAACGTTCTTTGAATTTGAAGGCCTGTGTAAAAGTATATAATTTTATCACTAATACATGAAAAGAGAATCACTTACAATTTTTGCAGAAGAGGTCTGGAAACTCATATTTTTAGACTTTATATTCTTCTGCATGGACTTTTTGGAAATTATAAACTTATAACCTCTACTTCCCAAATTATTCTGGTATTTGTTAAATGGCTATGTGGTTGGATACAGTATTGTTCAACAAAAGTAGCTTTCAGTTTAATTTTAATCAGAATCATCAATGTATTTTTATTTTAGGAAATAAAGGAAAACAATATTATTTTTTCAAATGTTACAGAAGACATTTTTAATCTTCATTTTTAAAGGGACATGATGATTTCCTTTTAGAAGAGAAAAATCCCTTGGCTCCAAAAGAGAAATCCTCTCTCTTCTCAGTTGCCTTTAAAATCTTGAACCTGTCAGTGAAATTGTATAATCTACTAATAACATGCCTAAGGCTTATTGCCTTTTCTTGGGCAACAGAATCACCAATTGATGTGCTCTATCGATTTTAATCACACTGTTTTTATAGTTCCATTGCAAGGTTTCAAAAACTCACCAAATAAATCTGTGGATACAGATGCCTCCTTTCTCTGAAAACCTAATCATATATATACTATTCCTTCTCAATCAGTTGTTAAGGTATAATATAGTCAAATAATTTTTATTTGATAGACTTTGGTCTTGGCTAAATTAAAATGTTCTCTTTGCTATTCAGCATTTACATATTTAAATTATACAATTCTTATAAATGTGGTATCTGAGTGCCTTGTAGCATTCAGAATTTAGCATGACAAGTTGCTCGTAGGCTATTCCATCAAGACATTCCCACTACAGCTCAGCTGCAAACATCTAGAGCAAGCTCCCGTAGGGTTGTATTTTAAGCTAGCTGTGAGCTAATTATATGGCAATTTGTATCTTAGAATCCATGTAGAACAATATTTGGAGCATTAGGTTGAGAGATTATGACTGCTAAAATAATTTCCTGATGCTGTCATGCATCGGGTTTTGACAGTTGCACAACAGTAATAAAGCCTCCATTTATTAGGAGCTTAAAACATATCAGGACTTTACATACATGATACCTTATCCCTAAAACAAATCTGCCATTCAGATATATACACACCATCTATACATGTTGCATATGTGGGGGCTGAGACAACATAGGTTACTAGGGAGGAATTTGAGTGTTGGTCTGACAGTAAAGCTTGGGTTCTTTCTACTTTAGCATGAGTACAAACATTTCGTTTTAAGTTTGTGTACATGAAAAATAGATGTAAAATTGTCTCAGAAGACTTTTGAGATTTTAATGTTGAATAACTGTTTAGAAACTTGGGGTCTTTAGACTCTCAAATGGTAGAACATTCATGTTCTATTTCTTAAAATTGATATAGCTTTATTGGCAATAGTACTGAATTTGGAGTAGGGGCATTTGTGTGTATATATGTATAAAATAAAGAACTTAATATTTCATTGTGGAAGTTACAGTGAGAAGCATCCTTTGGTATTTTTTGTAATTTTGGCACTCATTAGAAATAAGCCATTTATTCTGTCACGTTGAAACACTGACTATAGTGAATTTGTCACTAAATTTTAATATGTTCGTTCGGCAGTAGATTTTGATTGATTGTACTGGCTGGAGCCTATTCTTGATGCTCTTTAGCTTTACAGTTTATATTTTCAGCAGACATTGATGCCCTGTGCCCCCTCCATTGCAGAGTTTCAATTGCTTGCTGAAGAGTTAGTGTTGAATTTGGTGGCCACTCTCTGTTCACTAAAACCTGTGTCTGATTAGGGTCAGTTTTGGAAGTGCCCACCTAAGACTATTCCATTACAGTAGCCTTTTCTTTTTTGCAGCTCTTCAGTACAAGAGCCTCATGTCCCACTCCACCCCATCCATCTTTTGTGCCTATTCTTCAGTGAAAATACTCTTATTTAACCCGAATCTTTTCTGAAAGTGCTTCTTCTCACTTCTCATCCCAGGAGAGAGACTCGACTTTCTCTCTCCTATTTTTCTTGCCTTCAAATTGAAACCACCTCCTTCCATTCATCTGGAACCACAGGTTCTGGGCCCTTGCATGTGCTGGTGTCTCTACTTGGAGAACCTTTCCTTGACGTGTTCACAGGTGAACTCTAACTCATTCCTTGTGACTTAGTTTGAGTATTACCTTCCCCATGAAACTTTCCCTCAGCAAGTGAGTAATAATGATTTTTAAAGCAATAATATGTGTCAGACAAAGTACTAGAAACTTTACAAGTGTTATATAGTTAGTCCTCACAACAATTACATAAGATAGTTGCTGCTGGCCGGGTGCGTTGGCTCACTTCTGTAATCCCAGCACTTTGGGAGGCCGAGGCAGGCAGATTATGAGGTCAGGAGATCGAAACCATCCTGGCTAACATGGTGAAATCCCCATCTCTACTAAAAATACAAAAAAATTAGCTGGGCGTGGTGGTGGGCGCCTGTAGTCCCAGCTACTCGGGAGGCTGAGGCAGGAGAATGGCGTGAACCCGGGAGGTGGAGCTTGCAGTGAGCCGAGATCACGCCACTGCACTCCAGCCTGGGTGACAGATCGAGACTCTGTCTCAAAAAAATAAATAAATAAATAAATAAAAAATAAAAATAAAAAAGATAGTTACTGCTGTTATCTTTGCTTTACATACAGGGGAACTGAGCTAATAAGGGATAGGAGTAGAATTCAAACCCTGGTATCTCTCATTCTAAAAATTGTATGTGTCCCACTGGATCATGTTACTTCCTGGGCCACTCCATCTTTTGTATCACTTTTATACTTTGTTCATATTTATTATCATTATCGTAATCATTATGAGTGAAACCTATGCCTTCATAATCTCTTTATCCATAATTCAGTCCTTAGTATATCACAGGTATTAAAGTGTGTGCTGGATATATACATAAACTATTAGATGGCTGGATTCTCATTTGGCCTGTTCTCTTGGACCTCTGATGCTCTTTGCTGGACTCCTAACTGCCCTCTAGATGCTCTTACTGGTCAGACTTATAGAAAACTTGCCATTAAGTGCCTTTTCTTATTGGGTAGTTCTGGTGCCACATGCACTCTTCTCTTCTTTCCTGTTTTGCTGAATTTAACAGCCATGGCACATTTATTCCTCAGCTGTGACATTCTAAATGCTTTTGTTCTGGCTACGAGTCTGGGATTTGTGTGCTGTGGATAACTGGCTCATCACTGGGATCAAAGGAAACAGGCTCTCCCAGAAAACAAGCATTCTTACTTGAAATTACGTGGCTGGGGAGCCTGGAAAGTTATCTTATGTCTCACATGAATCTTTTTGGTCTTAGCTATGATTTACACGCTTTATTATGAAAGAAAAACAAACCAGTTATTGTTAGTTACTCTGTCTGCAAAAATATTGATATTTTGTTGAATATGAAGATATTAATAATAATGTTTATTATGACCAATGCCTATAGATGTTGGGGAGTAGGTAAGGCCAGGAGAAGCCCTTGGGTTTGACAATATGGTCCATCACCAAAATAAATACTTATGTGTTTATATCCTTCTAGACTCCTGAAAACCAAAAATGTTGTCTAGAACATAAGATGGGGGTGCAGTTATAGCATCTTGTCTGATAGGAAGCCTTTCAGAATCAGGTGGAAATTTAGCCTGGCTGGAGTCAGGCTAGGTGTAGGGGTTTTGAAGTTTTGCTCTGAAAGGAAAGCTACAAGATGGAGTGAGGACTGCATTATGGTGGAGGTGCAGTTTTTGGCCTTGGAGACTCCACAGATACATTCAGACTTCTTTTACATGTCAGGTCATTGTCTGCCTTATGCTGGGTACTTGCCTTGTTTATTGTATTTGTAAGCTCCAAAACACTGTTTCCATCAATCAGTTAATGACTTTCAGTCAATAATCCTTACTTAATGGACGTCTTTTGCTGGACATAAATGGCAATGTAAATAGGACATGGTTCCTGCCCTGGAGGGGCTCACAGTTCAGAGTAGTTTTTGTTGTTGTTTCTGTTTTATTAAATTAATATTATTTCTGCTAAAACTTGAAGACAGGGATTTTGGAATCTGTTGTTGGTGTTTTGTTGTAGACTGTTTGGAGTTGTCAAGTTTGCAGAGGTCTGGCTATAAGGGGAAAGTTGCCTGGACCCTTCGATTGTGCTTTCAACCCTTGAAAGTGATCTTGAGGATCAGAGTGCCTTTCCTCATGTGGAATGAAACATCCAAGTCAGAATGTTACATCACACATTTCCTCAGCTAACTACCTAGTTTCCTGGAAAGTTGCTGGCTTTGGACAGCTCCTCTCTCTCGGTACTCTTGAGAATGTTTGACGTAGAGGACAGGCACTCTGACTATGGAATTTTACATTAATATATTTATTAGTGAAAAAGTTTTAATTGGTGCTTGATAGTCAAAGCTAGCAGACTTCCCAGATTTACTCTCAAATTCCTGATCTTATTGATCTTTTGCTTATTGGATTAAGATTCCTGAGTATGAGGAGACTATTTTCTTTTCAGCTTCCTGGATGGAGCACAGCAGAGCCTTCCTGTTTGGATCCTTAGAGTGGTTTTACTTCTTCAAGAATCTATTGAATTTTTTGTCTGCCTTAGCTACATGTGGGCCCCCTTGCTCGCTCTTAGACCTATTCTCTGATTTCATGAAGGGGAAGGCGGGATTATTTCCTTTTTCTTACAATATTTTTTCTTCTATTTTTTATCTTTTTCTTTTCTAGGCAGGGCCACTACTTCTCAGCACATCCGGCCTTCTGGCTCATCTCCTCCCTGCATCTCACTACGCCCCTCCCCACTCCAGGGTAAATTCCAATAATGCTGCTCTGTTCCAGATGGAGTTCATGTTGACTGAGGTGAATTTTAGGGCTGTAACTGGTTTGGTCTGATCTGGATCCCCATTATAATATTGAAATCTCTACAGTGGAGGTGAGGAACACTGCCACTTCTGTTCCTTTAAATGTCTGCTACATCTCAGATGATCGTTGGGAGTGATTCATCTTCATATAATTTTAGGGCTAGAAGGAACCTCAATACGTCCTAGTCTGTGCTTAAATTCCCCCATTGCTTCCCTTCTTCCACCTGATGCTCCAGCCTCTACTCAAACACTTGTAGTCCCTGAGATAGTCTTTCCTTTTATCTTTGACAGCTGTAAATGTCAGGAAGCCCTTTATATTAGATGGAAATCGGCACCCACTGTCTCTTCAAATCACGTAGAAGTCTAATCCCATATGCCTAATCCTCTTCAGAAATGTGAAGAGAGCTCTCACATTCCCTTTGAGATATCTCTTCTCCATATGATCCCCTCATTTCTTTGACGACTTTTCCAATATTCCTGCCTGTTTTTCTAACTAAATGATTTGTGATTCTGGCTCTTTTCCACAAAATCAACACTCAAAAATTTTCATTGAGTGCCTATTATGTATAAGGAAGGGCCTGTGCTGGAGAAAGGTCCTTGGCTTCTGGTTGCTTATTTTTTTATTTGTTATTTTTTTTGAGACAGAGTCTTACTCTGTCACCCAGGCTAGAGTGCAGTGGTGCGATCTCAGCTCACTGCAACCTCTGCCTCCTGGGTTCAAACGATTTTCCAACCTCAGCCTCCTGAGTAGCTGGGACTACAGGAGCACACCACCACGACTGGCTAATTTTTGTATTTTTTGTAGAGACGGGGTTTCACCATATTGGCCAGGCTGATCTCGAACTCCTGACTGCAAGTGATCGGCCTGCCTCCGCCTCCCAAAGTGTTGGGGTTATAGGCGTGAACCACTGTGCCTGGCCAGCTTCTGGTTGCTTATAATGGAGAGGGAGAAAAGACTGATATCAACAGGGAAGAATCAGGGAGAGGGTTTCCTGGTTTATCCACTGTCTCTAAACTGCAATTTCTGTTCTCGCTTTTTTTTTTTTTTTGAGACGGAGTCTAGCTCTGTTGCCAGGCTGGAGTGCAGTGGCATGATCTTGGCTCACTGCAATCTCCGCCTTCTGGGTTCAAGCGATTCTCCTGCCTCAGCCTCCCTAGTAGCCGGGATTACAGGTGCATGCCACCACACCCAGCTAATTTTTGTATTTTTAGTAGAGATGGGGTTTCTCTACTAAAACCCCAGGTTGGTCAGGATGTTGGCCAGGATGGTCTCGATCTGACCTTGTGATCCACCCGCCTCAGCCTGCCAAAGTGCTGGGATTACAGGCGTGAGCCACCGCACCCGGCCTCTGTTCTCGCTTTTAACTGTCAGTATAGGGGCCACATTTAAGACTGTCCTTCCGTATTACTGCTTAATCAGTGAGGAACATCATGCAAATTAAAATAGAAAGGAAAAGTTAATAGTAAACATCACTCAAACATTTAAAAAAATTCTGAAATAATGTGAATTTTAAATATACTGTAAATCCTTTTATAAGACAATACAGACTCATTTTCCTAATCATGCCCTTAATGAAAAGAATAAACAAGTGCTAGTCTTCCTTAAAATATAGCAATATCATCTAGAAAACTCACTGGGCCCTTCTTTAGGCTTTGTAAACATGTTACTAAAGCAGTCAGTCATTTGGCTTGGTCTGCAGAATGTCAGACAATTCGTAAGTTTTTTTTTTTTTCCCCTTTACTTGAATAAAACACATTTTGACTGAATTGACTATTTAGGTTTCTTGTAGACACAGTCTTAGCAAAGAAAACTAAAAAAATTGCTTTTGGAGAAGAAAATTATAGCTAGTTATATCTTATAAAACCATTCTTGTGTTCATTTTCTTGAGGAAATTGCTGTAAGTGTATCTTCTAGGGCCAATATGTAAAAGACCTTTTTATGATTAAATTAAAGCCCAGGGATTTTCATTATCAGAATTGTTTTATTGACTTGCCTTAGTTCTAAAAATAAAATGAAAACCTTAAGCCAAAGGAAGGCTCATGTATTAGTTAAGTACTGACATAATTTGAACTTATTTTATTTGCTTATATTATGTCCAGTACCTATGTATGTCCAATCTTTGGAGACACAAAGAAACATTATTGTATTAGAAGATTCTTTGGTTTTTGTAATACATATTTTTATATCTAAAGTCCTGTTTAAACATAATTCCATGATTCTATAGAAAAAGAGCTATTAATCTTTGTGTTTACATAAGTTTGCAATACTTGATTAATTTTAAGCCTCTAAAATATGAGTGACATCATTTGTCCTGTGAAATAGTAGATTTGTTTTAGTAACAAATCTTTCAGATCAATTCGTAAATGAGAAAGAAATAAATGTGAGTAAACATTTGTTCTATCTTGGTTTTTGTTTAAACTAAAATAATTAGAATTCAGCCAGCCAAAAAGAAGTTAAATTTGAAATCTAATTCTTGTCAAGAAATTTTGCATGCAGCTATTCAACCTGTTGTTTTAGAATTGCTGTGGTAAGAAAGTAGAACATTATTTTGGCAAATATAGCACTTGGTAGACTGGAGAGCAAAAATGAAACTTCTCAGTGAGTAATAGAAAGAAATCCTATGCTTTATGCATATAGCTACCAAGTACTTCTAAGGCAACTGATAAATTAGAAGACTGGAGCGAGAAAGTACTCAGAAGTCTGTGACAATGTCAGTGATATGATAATGACTTATTGAAAAATTGATGAAAATTAAAGGAAATGCTTTCTGAACAAAGCTAAGAAAAGAATAGCTGTTTTTAGATCCCCCAAAATCTATCTTAAAATGAAAATTTTAATATTTAAAGATTCCATTGAAAATTTGTGAATATATATATTTGTAAACCTTGAAGGATATGGTAAGTATGCTTTTAGGAGTACTGTTTATCATGAAAGAACTCAGCTGCAGTTAAATAAACCTGTACGTTACGAATACTTCTTACAATTTCTTATAAAAAGTACCATAAAATCAATATTCTTAATGTATGCAAAAAATGATGTTTTACACATCTGACATGGGACTTCTCTACACCTCAGAGAGAAAGCACTATTTTTCCCAAACAGAAAGCCTATCATTTGCAGATCTACTCCACTGCTCTGAGTCATTGATGGTTATGGGTTTTATATTTAACCTGAAATGCAAAACATTTTCTTCTAGGCCTGAAGTTAAATCATTTTGGAAAGTGATACAGGTACATTCTGAATTTTCTTTGTCTTGCTACATATTCTTGAAAAACCAGGTTAAGTGTTTATAAGAGATGTGTATGTGTGTGTGTGTGTGTGTGTGTGTGTGTGTGTGTGTATTTTGAGTGGCATCAGTTGCATTCTTTTCTTCCTCTGCCTGTCTGGAGGGCACTTTTAATGTACCTGTCCTCATACTCTCCATTATGAGTTTTAATCACAATAGAAATTTTTTTCCCACCACTTTGATGAAAGGTCATATTTATTGGGCAGACTTATCTATTCTATTTAATAATCTTATAATATACTATATACATTACCTGGGGTAAATGTAAGTACAGCATTTAGGATTTTAAAATCTATTTACAAATGAGACTGACCTGTAAATCCCCCTTTTGGGGAATACTACTATGGTCAGATTTTGGTTATTTTAAGTGAATAAAATGAACCGGATGGCTTTGCATGCTCTGAAACCATTTATATAAGAATCATCTGTTCAATAAAAGTAGGAGAGGACTCTGCTATGAAACTTCCTGAGTGAAATGATAAGTGGCATGAAGAAAAACAAAGCAAGGTAAGGGGGGAGAGGGCATGGGCTTGTTGTTTTAGATGAGGTGGTTAGGAAAGCCTTTCAAATGAGCAGAAGCCACAGTGAAGCATGGGAGCAGACCGTGTGAATGTTTGAGGGAAGAGCATCCCAGGCAGAGGAAGCAGAAGGGCAAAGCCTTGAGAAGGGAGTATACTTGGCATATTAGAGGAGCAGCAAGAGGCTACTGTATCTGAGAGAAAGGAGATATGAAAGCTGAGAGGTAGTGAAGAGTACGTTTATTTGGGACCGTATAGGCAAAATTCAACAAAATTTCTTTGTCATTTCTGTTTCTTAAGCTTACTCTTTAATTATGTTTTTCTATCTTTTAGATTTGACTGCACACTTAGTATATTTTTATCCTTTCTCCTCTGATTTTAATAAAGGTTTAAGAATATAAATTTTCTTTTAAGTGCAGCTTTGCCTGCATTCTGTTAAGCTTAATGGCCATAAGTCACATGGCTACCCCTAATCTAAAAGAGAAGCCCGGAAATGTAGGATGTTAATGAGCACATTGCTGCCCCAAAGAAGATCAGGATTCTGTTAGTAAGAAAGAATGAGAGGACAACTTTTAGGTAAACTACTAGCAATATCTTTTATAAAATCGTATGAGCCTGGCAGATTTTCCTGCCAATCACAATAGATAAGGATTTGATAAAAGCACAGCTTTCTGATTAGAAAACCAGGTATTTCTTTAATGAAATAAATATATTTAATTTCCTATTCTAGTCAAGTTTATTCCAGTTCAAAGGATAACAGTATATTGCATATATCCCCAGGTTTATCAATCTATGACTACAGAATCTACTTTTAAAGACTGTCTGAAATGGTATAGCATAAAACCATAATAATGTACTCCCAATTACTTCTGGAAGTTTCTCAAAGTACTCCTTTATATGTACTGCAGAGTGTATTTTTCTTCCTCCTCAACTGAGATCTTTCCAACTTGCCACCATGCAGCTGCCAATGGTCCTAGTTAAGTAAAATGCTGCCATACCTATTTTAGACTCAGGGAAAAATAGCACCCACTCATTTTTATTTTTGCTCAATATAAAAATGAGGATACTTATGAGGATACTTAAACTTTTAGGATTAGCTAGTTTTCTAAAAATCGAATTATTCACTCCTTTGTAAAGTATGTAATAGGAATTTGCTCTAATAATCAATAGATTAAGGTTTAAAATTTGAAACCATAGTAATGTATGTTTAACACCAATATTTTAAGCCTTTTTAAAAACCACAACCCACATTAAGAAATACATTTCATACTGTGATCAAGTACACACGCACACACACACTCTATACATATATGTCTGTCCAATTAAAAGTTTCACAGAAATTTCCAAGGAGGTATGCTAAATATTATCTCTTTGATTCTACTTTATTTTTAAAAAGTGGTATCAACCCACAAAATGGATTTCATAACCCACTACGCAGTTTGATAAGATGCTGTTTTAGACCATGCTTTTCACCAGTTTTGTGGTCCTATTTTGTCCTTTTCATGTCTATACAGGATGCTTCTAGTGCTAGTTGCTAGCTTTTCTCTGATTTCCAGGATGGTAATAGGTTAAGAATTTCTCTAAATGGTTATTTCTTTTCTTTCTGCAGCTCTCACGTGTGAATATGTGTCTAGTGCATCCTTAACCTGAGGACTTCACCAGTTCGAAATTACAGTTTTCACCATCAACTACCTTATCCTTTTTGGCCTGGTTTTCTTCCTCAAACAGTGGAAACATTTTTAAAGTTGCTTTTGTTGCAGAGTTAAACAAATGGCTGATAGTGGCTTAGATAAAAAATCCACAAAATGCCCCGACTGTTCATCTGCTTCTCAGAAAGATGTACTTTGTGTATGTTCCAGCAAAACAAGGGTTCCTCCAGTTTTGGTGGTGGAAATGTCACAGACATCAAGCATTGGTAGTGCAGAATCTTTAATTTCACTGGAGAGAAAAAAAGAAAAAAATATCAACAGAGATATAACCTCCAGGAAAGATTTGGTAAATATCAAAGATTCCACATCTAAGCACAAGTTGACATCCCGTTCCCTAATGGTACTCCTAGCTTCATCCATATCCCATGAGTTCTTGTTAGCTAATTCATTGCCTTCATAACTATTAAACATTTCTTTCTCACAGAAGAGGTGAGTAAATTTGGTTAGTAACTTGTTATATGATGTTTCAAACCACTGCCCAAATTAATTATTTCTCAGGACATGAGGTAATTAAACACGTTATACCAACTTCTTTTTTTAATGGTTTATACAGAAATGAATTGGTTTTCAAGTTGAATTAAATCTGAATTTTTGAGTATTTTCTTCAACTGATGGAGAATTAGATTTATAGTTGTGGTTAAGTAAAGGGTAGTTATGGCTTTGTTATTTAAGTTGTGGTTGTCTAGGTGGAATATCAACTATACTTTACAAAATCAGTTTGCATTAGTTACAAATAATCTATGGCTACCCAATTGTACTGATTTCGATGTATTCATCATTTTTTTTTTTTTGAATTGGAGTTTTGCTCTTGTTGCCCTGGCTGGAGTGCAATGGCACAATCTCAGCTCATCACAACCTCTGCCTCCTAGGTTCAAGTGATTTTCCTAGCTCAACCTCCTGAGTAGCTGAGATTACAGGAATGCACCACCATGCCCAGCTAATTTTTTTGTATTTTTAGTAGAGAGGGGGTTTCTCCATGTTGGTCAGGCTGGTCTTGAACTCCCGACCTCAGGTGATCCACCCACCTTGGCCTCCCAAAGTGCTGGGATTACAGGCATGAGCCACCGTGCCCAGCCATATTCATCTTTATATAGAATAGGCAGTGTGTAAGATTGTGGTTGATACAGCACAACTTTGGAGACAGAGCAATAAGCCTAAGAAAAGTCAGGTTCCCATTCCTCAAAATTTTGCCTTCTTCATATGTTCTCCCTTGACTGTTATTTCTGATTTGTATTATCATATAGTTACTGCCATATGGATGTATCTGAGTGAGTTGTTACTATGTTATTTTCACTCAAAGCATATTTTTGAGTGGCCAATAATTTACTTATAAGCTGTTTGATAATGGTTGTTAAATTGTGAAAGGAGAGTGATTGAGAAAGCTATAAAGTTGCTTTCTTTGATTTCAGAGAATCACTAGGTAAGCTTTGATGAATCTGCTATGCTGGTTATCATGTAGACTTTCCTGGATTCAGGGGATTGGATTGAATATCTTCTTAAGGTCTCCTTTAGCCTAATGAGCCAATGAATTGCATAGGGCTTAGAATTTGAAAAAGACAGTAAACAATCTTGTGCATAGTAAACATGGCACACGTTAAAGAGTTATCAGATTATCTAAATTAGGATTCTTTGTCAACAAAGAATATTACATCTTAAAGTTTTTTTTTTTTAATTTTTTTTTTGGTCCCAGCCCTCAAGAACCTCAAATGTAGAGAGAAAAGCATCTCAGCAACAATGGGGTCGGGGCAACTTTACAGAAGGAAAAGTTCCTCACATAAGGATTGAGAATGGAGCTGCTATTGAGGTATATAGAAAGCAAATGAAGCTACTGTGAACTTTCAGGTTTCTTCTAAGTCAATGGTTAATAGGAAAAATGATTGAAAAATAAATCTCTAAGGAAAGGAAGTAAAGAAAAGAGGAAATGTACCATTTTCAAGTATGTTAACATTTTTACTAAAGAAAATACAGATTAATTATCTTCTGTTTATGGAGGACCAAGTGGATTTTAATTAAAGTGGAGAACATTTTCATTAGCTAAAATGAGGATAGTTTCATCTTCAGGTCTTGGCCGTTGCTGAAAGCAATAGTGGAGTCTTTGTTTAGACCTTTTCATGATGCAGAGATGGACCAGGTAATTTTAGTTTGGCTGTTCACTTCCTTGATAGTGAGGCCAGAATCTCCCTCATGAGCTCCTCCATCTTTTCCATCCTGCGATTGGATAAATACCAATACTATTTTTCCAGGATTCAAATTATTATATAAAATAAGAATTAAATGTTAGAACAATAAAAAAATTAAAATGTGTGTTTTTAACATTAAAGAAACTGCAATAAGAACAACCACAACAAGAAGAAAATTGTGTTAATATTACCATTTAAATTGCTTTGGGGCACCACAAATTGCACCCATATAAGATGGTATACTTAATAAATGTATATGTTCTGATTGCTCAGCTGACTGACCACTCTTCATCTCTCTCCCTCTCCTTGGGCCTCCCTAGTCCCTGATACACAAAAATATTGAAATTAGGCCAATTAATAATCCTACAGTGGTTCAAGTGAAAGGGAGAGTTGCATGTCTTTCACTTTAAATCAAAAGCTAGAAATGATCAAGCCTGATGTCAAAACTTGTTTTAAAAGATATTTGGCAACTTACTTGAAATGATTAGAAAAGCTGCCTGGCCTGAAAAACTCTGACACACACACACACAAGTTTACCAAGTTTTAAATTTAGTCTTGGGCCAGGCATGATGGCTCATGCCTGTAATCTCAGCATTTTGAAAGGCTGAGGAAGGAGGATCACTTGAGGCCAAGAGTTTGAGACCAGACTGGGCAACATAGCAAAACTCCTTCTCTAAAAAAATTTTTAAAAAATTAGCAGGATATAGAGGCATTCGGCTGTAGTCCTGGCTACTGTGGGGTGCTGAGATGTGAGTATCACTTGAGCCCAGAAGTTTGAGGCTGCAGTGAGCTATGATCATACCACTGCATTCTAGCCTGGGCGACAGAGTGAGACCTTGTCTCCAAAAACAGTAAAATAAATAAATAATAAATTTAGTCTTAAGAGCTTTTATAAAAGCAAAATATGTTCATTGTGAAAAATTAGGCAAATATAAGTGTGGAGAAAATAAAAATTATCAACCAGATATAACCAATTTAAAAATTATTAACTTCACTTTTTCTATGCATGTACTAGTTTTATTTTATTTTTCTTTAACATTTTTCCTGTTTTAAATTAGAGGATATTTCAAATATATATACATATTTTAAAGAAGTAACTTTAACTTGGTATAGTTGAAGTTGAAGCTTCTATTCCCCCATAAAATATACTCATTTTAAATATTTTAAACATTTCAGAAGAGTATAAAGAAGGAAATTACAAGCATCCACAATTCTATTACCCTTACATAGCTACTATTAATATTTAGATGAACATTTTCACAGATATCCATGTAAGCACCTCCTCACACACACATTGTCATAATGAAATCATATCTTATATGCTTTTCACACTGTACACTATGTCATGGACTTCTTCTGTGTCAGTAAAAATAGATCTACATTATCATTTTAATAACATCCTTACACAATTATTAGAAATAAGAAACTGTTTTCTCCTTCATCACTATGTGTTAATATCAAAGCAGTTAGTTGAAGAAAGTGATTAGTTTGTAAAAAACTAGTTGGCCATTTCTCATTTTAGAATTCCTATTTAAACAGTATTGAATACTGTCTTCAAATTGTGGTTCTATTTAGAGAGAAAATAAAAGTTTAACTTTTAAAGAACAAGAAAAATTGGGGAAGTGGTTATGAAGAGATTATTTTGTAAATGAGAAAAGGGTAAATGACCATTTTAGTTGAGATTTAACTCACTTTACAAAATATAGGCATACTTCATCATATCATGCTTTGATTTATTGCACTCTGCAGATCTTGTGTTTTTTACAAATTTGAAGTTTTGGCAACTGTGTCAAGCAAGTCTGTTGGTGCCATTTTTCCAACAGCATGTGCTCATTTTGTGCCTTTGTGTCACATTTTGGTAATTCTCACAGTATTTCAAACTTTTTCTTCATTATTATATCTGTTGTGATCTGTGATCAGTGATTTTTGATGTTACTATTGTACTTGTTTGGGGGTGTCACAAATTGCACCCATATAAGATGGCAATAAGTGTTGTGTGCATTCTGATTGCTCCAGTGACTGACCATTCTTCCATCTCTCTCCCTCTCCTTGGCCCTTCCTAGTCCCTGAGAGACAATATTAAAATTAGGACAATTAATAACCCTGCAGTGTTTTAAGTGAAAGGAAGAGTCACATGTCTTTCACTTTAAATCGAAAGCCAGAAATGATTAAGCCTAATGAGGAGCGCATGTTGAAAGCCAAGATAGGCTGAAAGCTAGGCCTCTTGCACCATTTAACCAAGTTTTTAAAGAAAAAGAAAATTTGTTGAATGAAATTAAAAGTGCTATTCCAGTGAACACGTGAATGATAAGCAAAACAGCCTTATTGCTGATATGGAGAAAGTTTGATTTTGGAAAAGATCAAACCAAGCACAAGATTCCTTAAGCCAAAGCCTAATCCAGAGCAAGGCCCTGTTTTCAGTTTTGTGAAGGGGAGAGAAGTGAGGACATTGTAGGAGAAAAGCTTGAAGCTAGCACAGATTGGTTCAGGAGGTTTAAAGAAAGTAGCTGTCTCTATAACATAAAAGGTGGAAGCAGCAAGTGCTGATGTAGAAGCTGCAGCAAGTTATCCAGAAGATCTACCTAAGACATTGATAGAAGATGGCTACACTAAACAACAGATTTAAGCCTTAGAAGATGCTAACTAATCCTTTCATAGCTAGAGAGGAGTAATCAATGCTTGGCTTCACAGCCCCAAAGGACAGACTGACTCTCCTGTTAGTGACTAATGAAGCTGGTGACTTTAAGTTGAAGCCACTGCTCATTTATTGTTTTGAAATTCCTAGGGCCTTAAGAAGTTATGCTAAATTTGCTCTGCCTGTGCTCATTAAATAAAACAACAAAGCCTGAATGATAGCACCTTTGCTTACAGCATGGTTTACTGAAATTTTAAGCCCACATTTGAGACCTACTTCTCACAAAAATGTCTTCTTTCCAAATATTACTGCTCATTGACAATGCGCCTGGTCACCCAAGAGCTCTAATGGAGATGTACAAGATGAATGTTGTTTTCATGCCTGCTAACACAACATTCATTCTGTAGCCCATGGATCAAAGAGTGATTTCTGTTTTGTAGCCTTATTATTTAAGAGATAAATTTCATAAGGTTATATCTGCCACAGATAGTGATTCCTCTGATGGATCTGGGCAGATTAAGTTGAAAACCTTTTGGAAAGGATTCATCATTCTGGATGCCATTGAGAACATTTGTGATTCATGAGAGAAGGTCAGAATATCAACACTGATGGAGTCTGGTAAATGTTGATTCCCACCCTCATGGAAGACTTTGAAGGGTTCAAGTCTTAAGTGGATAAAGTAACTATAGATATAATGGAAACAGCAAGAGAACTAGAAGTGGAGCCTGAAGATGGGACTGACTTTTTGCAGTCTCACGATAAAACATGAATGAGTGAAGAATTGCTTCTTATGGATGAGCAAAGAAAGTGATTTCTTGAAATGGAATATACTCCTAGTGAAGATGCTGTGAATATTTTTGAAATGACAACAAAATTTAGAATATCACATAAACTTAGTTGATAAAGCAGTGGCAGGGTTTGAGAGGACTAACTTCAGTTTTGAAAGAAGTTCTGCTGTGAGTAAAATGCTATCAAACAGCATCACATGCTACAGAGAAATATTTTATGAAAGGAAGAGTCAATTGATGCACCAAACTTCATGGTTGTCTTATTTTTAGAAATTGTCACAGCCACTCCAGTCTTCAACCACCACTACCCTAATCAGTCATCAGTCATCTACATGGAGGCAGGACCCTCCACCAGCAAAAAGATTACAATTGCATTGTTATGTTTGTTCGCATTTTTTTTTGCAATGCAGCATTTTAAAATTTTGTGTACATTTTTAGACATAATGCTATTGCAGTTAATAGATTATAATATAGTGTAAACATAACTTTTATATGCTTTATTGCAATTTTTGCTTTATGGTGGTGGTCTGGAACTGAATACACAATATCTCTGAGGTATCTCTGTATACAGTTGAGAGTTGCATATAAATATAAGAATAAAATTATGTTTTGTACTATTTTATAATTAAGTTTTCTGACTTTAATTCTATTATGTGCTATTAAGTGGTATCAAGGAAGAGAGAAGAGCTAGGTTTTTTTAAGAGATACAAAAGAAACAGCACCTTTAGGAGCTTTTAGACCATCTTGGAAGAAAAAAAAATAAGCCAAAAGGTTTGTAAACAAAAAAGCAATAATATTGTTTGAGGACCAATGCATACATGGTGAAAGGAGTAAAAATAACAGAACAGACACAATTGTGTTAAACAAGGAAGCCCTTCATGAAGGAGGTGAGTAATTAGTTGGGCGTTGAATTTTCTGTTACAAAAGAAGGGAATGTAAGCATTAGAAAATACGAAGACAAGCCTCTAATTTACCTGTTGCATGGTGATATGGTTTGGTTTTGTGTCCCCACCCAAATCTCATCTTGTAGCTCCCATAATTCCCATGTGTTGTGGGAGGGACCCTATGGGAGATGATTGAATCATGGGGGCAGGTTTTTCTCATGTTCTCATGATAGTGACTGGATCTCATAGGATGTGATGGTTTTAAAAATGGGAGTTTCTCTGCACAAACTCTGTCTTTGCCTGCTTCCATCCACGTAAGATGTGACTTGCTCCTCCTTGCCTTCTGCCATGATTGTGAGGCCTCCCCAGCCATGTGGAACTGTAAGTCCAATGAACCTCTTTATTTTGTAAATTGCCCAGTCTCGGGTATGTCTTTATCAGCAGTGTGAAAATGGACTAATACAGTAAATTGGTACCAGAAGTGGGGTGCTGCCAAAAAGATGCCCACAAATGTAGAAGTGACTTTTTTTTTTTTTGAGATGGAGTCTTGCTTTGTCACCAGGCTAGAGTGCAGTGGTGCGATCTCAGCTCGCTGCAACCTTCACCTCCTGGGTTCAAGCAATTCGTGTGCCTCAGCCTCCCAAGTAGCTGGGATTATAGGCACAGGCCACCACACCCAGCTAATTTTTGTATTTTTAGTAGACATGGGGTTTCACCATGTTGGCCAGGATGGTCTCGATCTCCTGACCTCGTAATCTGCCTGCCTTGGCCTCCCAAAATACTGGGATTACAGGCATGAGCCACTGCACCCGGCTGGAAGTGACTTTGGAACTGGGTAATAGACAGAGGTTGGAACAGTTTGGAGGGCTCAGAACAAGACAGGAAAATGTGGGACAGTTTGGAGCTCCCTAGAGACTTGTTGAATGTCTTTGAACAAAATGCTGATAATGATATGGATGATGAAATTCAGGCTGAGGTGCTTTCAGATGGAGATGAGGAACTTCTTGGGAACTGGAGCAAAGGTGACTCTTGTTACGTTTTACTAAAGCAACTGGCAGCATTTTGCCCCTGCCTTAGAGATTTGTGGAACTTTAAACTTGAGAGAGATGATTTAGGGTATCTGGTGGAAGAAATTTCTAAGCAGCAAAGCATTCAAGAGGCAACTTGGGTGCTGTTAAAGGCATTCAGTTTTATAAGGGAAGCAGAGCATAAAAATTTGGAAAATTTGCAGCCTGACAATGCAATAGAAAAGAAAATCCCATTTTCTGAGGAGAAATTCAAGCTGGCTGCAGAAATTTGCATAAGCAACCAGGAGGCAAATGTTAATCCCCAAGACAATGAGAAAAATGTCTCCAGGGCATGTCAGAGGTCTTCACAGCAGCCCCTCCCATTACCCAGAGTACTAGGAGGAAAAAGTGGTTTCGTGGGCTGGGCCCAGGATTCTCATGCTGTGTGCAGTCTAGAGACTTGGTGCCCTGCATCCTAGCCACTCCAGCCATGGCTGAAAGGGCCCAACATAGAGCTCGGGCCATGGCCTCAGAGGGTGCAAGCCTCAAGCCTTGGCTGCTTTAATGTGGTGTTGAGTCTGCGAGTGCACAGAAGTGAAGAATTAGGGTTTGGGAACCTCCACATAGATTTCAGAAGATATATGGAAACGCCTGGATGCGCAGGCAGTAGTTTGCTGCAGGGGCAGGATCTTCAGGGAGAACCTCTTCTAGGGCAGTGCAGAAGGGAAATATGGGGTGGGAGCCCCCACACAGAGTCCCTACTGGGGCACTGCCTAGTGGAACTGTGAGAAGAGGGCCACCATTCTCCAGACCCTAGAATAGTAGATCCACCGACAGCTTGCACCATGCACCTGGAAAGGCCACAGACACTTAATGTCAGCCTGTGAAAGCAGCCAGGAGGGAGGCTGTACCTTGCAAAGCTACAGGGACAGAGCTGCCCAAGACTATGGGAACCTACCTCTTGCATCAGCGTGACCTGGATGTGAGACATGGAGTCAAAGGAGGTCATTTTGGAGCTTTAAGATTTGACTGCCCCACTGGATTTTGGACTTGCATTGGGCCTGTAGCCTTTTTGTTTTGGCCAATTTCTCCCATTTGTAATGGCTATATTTACCCAATGCCTATACCCCCATTGTATCTAGGAAGTAACTAACTTGCTTTTGATTTTACGGGCTCATAGGCAGAAGGGACTTACCTTGTCTCAGATGTGGACTTTTGAGTTAATGCTGAAATGAGTTGAGACTTTGGGGGACTGTTGGGAAGGCATGATTGGTTTTGAAATGTGAACATATGTGATTTGGGAAGGGCCAGAGTTGGAATGATATGGTTTGGCTCTATGTCCCCACCCAAATTTCACCTTGTAGCTCCCATAATTCCCATGTGTCATGGGAGGGAACCACTGGGAGATGATTGAATCAGAAGGGTGGGTCTTTTCCATGTTGTTCTAATGATAGTGAATGGGTCTCACGAGATCTGATGGTTTTAAAAACAGGAGTTTCTGTGTACAAGCCCTCTCTTTGCCTGCTTCCATCCATGTAAGATGTGACATGCTCCTCCTTGCCTTCTGACATGATTGTGAAGCTTCCCCAGTCATGTGGAACTGTAAATCCAATAAACCTCTTTCTTTTGTAAATTGCCCAGTCTCAGATATGTCTTTATCAGCAGCGTGAAAACGGACTAATACACATGGTGAATGTGAAAGTGATCACACATACAGAGAGAGAGAGAGTGGCATTTTGAGAGTGGCATTTCTATGGAAGGCTTTGACTAGCTGACCCAACCAGGGCATTACCTAGTGGCATTAGTTCAGCTGCTCTCCCATGTTCTGGTTCCTATGCACGATGGGTCCAGAAACTCTTGTTAATTCCCTGGAGTTGATTTGGATCAGGGAGACTGACTCCCCCAAAACCAAATTGATAAGAAATGAAGGTGTAAATGAGTTTAGCTGTTTATTATTTACAATGCAAACCAAAATGGTGATGTTGGCAAAACCAATGTATTCTTTCTTTATAAGCAGAAGTTAAATGATAAGAGGATGGATTCTTGGTTTGGATGATGGTTTTATGGGTAGTGGTTATTTTTTTCTCAGTGCTGATCTGTGTTGAAATTTTTGTCACATATTGCTTTTTTTTTTTTAAAGCAAAAGGAATCAAAAGTGATTTTTCATAAGATACAGGAAAAGCATTAGTTGTTAAATAAAGAAACATTTGTTCAGTAGTTACTATGTGTCGATTTTGTAGTATAGCTCTCAGAAATTTGGGATGTTTTGGGGTGAATGTATTTTATATCTACACACACTTATGTGTGTGTATATATATAAATCATTTCTCCTTTTTCTTATGAAGATATTTCATTAATATATTATAGTTTGAAAGAGATTCATTTTTATACTTTTGAGTTTTTCCACATTTCACCATTAGGATTTTTATGGTTTTCCTCCAAAGGACACTTAATAAAATTCATCAACGCTTATTTTGGTTAATTAAGATGTGTTTATTAATATTGAAGCAAATATATAGTGTCTTCTATTTGATTTTAACTTGGAGCAGAATCTCTTTTCCCTTGGGTGAGTATCTGTCAGTATTATATGTTCATTTTTAATAGCTGATGAATGGCATAGAGAGACAACTCTTTTTTTTTTTTTCTCCAGGAAATCTATACCTTTGGAAGAATATTGGGAAAAGGGAGCTTTGGAATAGTCATTGAAGCGACAGACAAGGAAACAGAAACGAAGTGGGCAATTAAAAAAGTGAACAAAGAAAAGGTAAGGCTCATTAGCAGCATCCTACTGAGGGCACAGTGTTAGTGCAGGGTGGGTGTGGACAGTACAGCTTTTTACACTAACACAAGCTGCCTCTCACCCTGAGGTCCCAGGCCTGGGCTGATCCCCCAGAGAAGCGTGGCATTTCTCTAGCCTCCCGGAAAGGGACTAGTTTCTGAACTCAAGTAGGCAAGTGCTGCCTGGAAAAAACAAATGAAAGGAATAACATAACCAATATAACAAAAAATAGGTAAATTTTACCAGAGTTTGCTGAAGATAAGGGCTGGTTCTCAGTGTTCTGTAGGCATAGGGCTGTGGGCTAGAGATATCTTAGCTAGAAGTGCAGATACTCTCTCCTGATTTTGTTTTGATATACTTTTCTCCTATCCTCTCCTTTCATTTCCTCACTGTTCGCTAATTCTGTTTATTCATCCTGCCTGCTCTTTCATGTTGAACCACTTTTTGCTTCAACTAACTACTGCTATACTCTTTTATCTGCTGCACTCCTCACTAGATTTCCTCTTGAACTGGGGAACGACTGAGCTTCTCTTGACGATAAAATCTAAGACCTCAGACTTTACACCTGATCATTTCATCAACCTTTTTCATTTCTGTGCCTGGGAAAAACCAAACAACATTATGGTGTTTTCCCCTAGGATTTGTGATGATAAATACCACATTTAAAAAACAAAATGGTAGGTTTTATGTATTATTTAAAACAAACTGTAGCAAATTACATACCATTTGTCCCTAATGTTTAGTAAGGTAACATATCAATCTTAGTAAAGGGATTAAGAGCCTTTCTAGAAATCTTTAGAATTCGGGTAGCATCCTAAGTGCTACCTAAGGTGTTATTTCCTTTTCTCCTTTGGTGTTAGCTAGGGTTAGGGGTTCAGTTTTTGGGTTATATAACTATCATACCTACTTGCAACTTTAGGAATTAATAATCTTTCATATTTATATTGATGTTGAGAGTTTTTAAGACCAAAAGATAGTAAGATAAAACTATATAGTCAGTATATGAAGTGAATAGTGTAATATTGTGTTATATTCAGGCCAAGCCATTTGGGAAGGGGTGAGAAACAGAATTGAGATGGATATTAGGAGAAATTGGGGTAACTTTCCATATCTAGTCTAGACAAAAATTCACTCCTCACAGTCACTATTTCTCTTGATCCTTTAGGTCGAGGGTCCCCAACCCCCAGGTCTTGGACCGGTACCTGTCCGTGGCCTGTTAGGAACCAGGCTGCACACCAGGAGATGAGCAGCAGGCGAGTGAACATCACCACCTGATCTCTGCCTCCTGTCAGATCAGCAGCGGCATTAGATTCTCATAGGAGTGCAAACTCTACTGTGAACTGTGTATGTGAGGGATCTATGGATCTATGCTGCATGCTCCTTATGAGAATCCAACTAATGCCTGATGATCTGAGGTAGAACAGTTTCACTCTGAAACCATGCCCTCTCCCGCAACCCTGGTTCATGGAAAAATTGTCTTCCATTAAATCAGTCCCTGGTACCAAAAAGGTCGGGGACTGCTGCTCTAGGTTAACCTTTAAATGTGACTTAATCCTTGGGTGGGGCATAGTATGATGGGCAGCATCCCACCCACTCCTGAGATGCTAAAGGTTGAGGAGCAAAGGTAATTGGAAGCTGGAATGACACTAGGTAAAATTTTAATTAGGCAAAATTTGCCTTATGACTAATCCATTTCCACTCCCTTAAGAACCATTATGTACTCTCCCAAATCAGGTGGATGGGAGGTGGAGGAATAGGACCTTTTTTATCCCTTGCAGGGAGATTTTTTTATTAGAAATAAATGAGGACAATGCTTATCCTCAAATAATGACAATTTCAAGATCAATAGGGGTGATGATTTGGCAGGGCGGTGATGGTGAGGGTGGAGAAAGCCCTTCTAGAATTTCTGAGATAGAGGACATTGTAGATTATCAATTACCTACACCCGAATGAAGTCCTTGTGCTCCTTGGAGTGTTACTGACTTTACCTTTTGCTATCTGCATGGTGAGTGTTAAATGTTAGGAGACATCTAACATCTGAAGGCAAGATCTCTCTCTCTCTCTCTGTCTCTGTCTCTCTTTGTCTGTCTGTCTCTCTCTCTTTCCGTCTCTCTCCCTGTTTCTCCCTCAGTTAACCAGGCAGGCCAGGAAGTAACAGTGCAGAGCCGAGTGTAGAATCTCATTGCCTATTATTTTTTCATACATACATATATATATATATGTGTGTGTGTGTGTGTGTGTGTGTGTGTGTATATATGTATATATGTATATATATGTGTGTGTATATATATGTATATATATATATAATCAAATCAAAACAAGACAACAGCAAAACAAAGAAAAACTTTTTGTTTTTTTTCTTCCTCAATTTATGTCCTTGGAAGTAGATTTTGTTTTTATTATGCTAACATCAAGGGATCAACATATTTTTAAAGGAAATATCAAAAAGCCTATTAAAAGTTGGAGTAATTTTCATAGTTTTGTGAGGAGACAGATACCATGTTGTAGCTAAGTTATAGAAACAATTCAAGAAACAGATGTGGCTTGAGGCAAAATTATATGTAACTTAAAATTGGACAAAGGAAAGAAGGGGCATAATTTAATCTGATCACAGGAATAAATGGCATGATATCATTTGAAAAAGAAACATCTCAAAAAATGTATGAATTCACTTCAAATATGAAGTTACAGGAAAAAAAGTAGGAAAACATAAAATAACTTTTCTATCAAGGAATGTAGGAGTGATTTTCATTATGTGAAATCTGTGTTTCTTCATTGATTAAGGCTGGAAGCTCTGCTGTGAAGTTACTTGAACGAGAGGTGAACATTCTGAAAAGTGTAAAACATGAACACATCATACATCTGGAACAAGTATTTGAAACGCCAAAGGTAAACCTCTATTAGGCGCTGCATTTTGAAAGTTGTTATTATTACAAAATGAATATCATTCCATTCTGAAATAATCCCTTTGGGGCACAGTTGCTCATGTCCTTGGCCATGAGTCTGTCACTGGAGATTGATGAGAACATTCTGGAGGACTTTTATTATTGATTGCATAATTAGATGTCTGATGATTAGATTGATGTCTTCAGTAATATGTTCTGGGTGGCATGTTGAAAACAAATGTTTAAAATTACAACAACTTCATACACAACCAAATGGTGATTAGAACTTTCTTAGAGGTGCCTTTCCTTTTGCTTTGATCCTTAGTTTCTCCATTAAAGTTTATTGGAATATTTTCATAATTTTGCAAAGTTAACTACATAATCAAATTGGTATGGGTATATTTTTCACTGCAGTTTGTAGGAGATATTTTTTCATCTATGTCTTACTGATATGTTTTATCTTCATATTTCCCTAGATGCTATCATTCTTCTCTTTACCTGTAATTTTTATTTAGAGTTGTTCAGAAGCCTGGATTATTTGCCATTCTGCCTCCAGACAGTTTAATGCTTGTGGGCTTGGGTGTTTTCTCTTAGAAGAGTAATAATGTACGGATTAGGCGTATGGACTGTGGAATCATATTGCCTGTGCATTTGAATCCTGGCTCCACCACTTCTTAGTTATCCATGAGACCATGGACAAGTTATTCAGCTTGCCCATATTGCAGTTTCCTCATCTGTAAAATGGGCTTGATAACAGTGTTGACCTCACTTGGTTGCTGTTGAAGGATTAAATGAGACAATTGATATAAAGCATCTGTCTCATTAAATGTTTCTCTATTGTTCTTTGTCTCCTAGGCCAGTCTCTAAGGTAGTAATAGTCAATTTGGGTTGTGCCTTATGCTTGATTCATTAGGGGTGCTTGATAACAATTAAAGACCACAGTTATCCTTTATAAGAGCAGTATATGGCAATGATGCCCAAAGTCTCTGCCCTTTTCAGTCTTAGACTTGTGATTTCTTTTATCCCCAAATCTTCTTAGAATAGTTTTGTTCGTTATCATCAGCTTTAAGCCATTTGATTATAATGTGCCTTGATATCATTTTCTTCATGTTTTTTTTTGTGTTCGGGGTTCATGGACTTGTGAGTTTATGGTTTTCATCAATTTTAGGAAATTGGGGGCTATTATTTCCTCACATTTGTATTTGCCTTCCCCTCACCCCACTTTGTGGTCTCCAAGTTAGATTGCTTGATATTGTCCACAGTTCACTGATGCTCTGTTCATTTTTTAAATCATTTTTTATCTCCTTGTTTCATTTTGTATAGTTTCTGTTGTTGTCTTCAAATTCAGTAATCTCTCTGTGTAGTATTGTATGTGTTGTTAATCTCTTCCAGTGGAAATTTGATTTGGTTTTAAAATATATATATATATCTATATATTCCATGTGTCTACTTAACACGC
Organism: Homo sapiens; assembly: GCF_000001405.40. Lineage (NCBI taxonomy): Eukaryota > Metazoa > Chordata > Mammalia > Primates > Hominidae > Homo > Homo sapiens. Next base: position 8,460,349 of record NC_000011.10, on the reverse strand, counting down.
TCGGTCTTCTTGAATAGAGTTATAATAACTGTTTTAATGTCCTTTTCTACTGATTTTGTCATGGGTGTCATTTCTAGATCAGTTTCAATTTATTGTTTTTTCTCCCCTTCATTATGGGTTCTATTTTCCTGCTGCTTTATATGCCTGTTAATTTTTGGCCAGATGCCAGATGTTGTGAATTTTACCTTGTTGGATGCTAGATATTTTAATATTCTAATGATTATTCTTAAGCTTTATTCTAGGATATAGGTAAGTCACTTGGAAAGTTTGATACTTTTTGAAGCTTGCTTTAAGCTTCATTAGGTGGCACCAAAGCAACCTTTAGGACTAATTTTTTCCTGTTACTGAGGGGCTCTCCCCAGTGCTCCATGAATTACGAGGTTTACCTCCAGCTCATGGGAACACAGCTGTTCCTGGCTGTGTGTAAGCTCCAGTGATTGTTCCCTCTGCCCTTTTTGCATATTTCCCCCCCAGCTTTGGGTAGTTTCCTCATACACATGTGTTGATTCATGCTCTCCTGAAGAATTGAGGGGATCCTCTGCAAATCTCTGGAGATTTCTCTCTCTACAGCATTCTCCTCTTTGATGCTCCGTCCTGTGAACTTTAGTTGTCTTGACCTTCCTGGGCTTCCAACTCCATGCCCTCTACTCATGGAGACTGCTAGGCTCTGCTTGGATTCCCTCTCCCTCTTCTGTGGTCTAGAAACTCCCTAGACAGCAAGCTAGAATAATCGTGGGGAATGCCTCATGTATTTCCTCTCTCTCAGGAATAACTACCCTATGCTGGCTGATGTTTAATGTCTAAAAATTATTGTTTTATATATTTTGCCCAGTTCTTAAGTTGTTTCAGGTAGGAAGATAAGTCTGGTCTTTGTTACTCCATTATGGGTACAAGCAGGAGTCTAAATCTAGAGTAAGTTTGAAGGCAGAGGAAACCATCATCTGTGATTTTTCCAATGTATTGCTTTCCCTTAATTCATGTAGATCAGGTCTGACACCCTCTGCCTCATAAATACACACAAGCATGTAGACTTTCTATTGAAGCTATCTTAAGTATTAATAGAAATTGCCACCTGATTGGTTGTGCCATGGTACTGATCATCCAGTCTGACTATGCTATGGTTTCTTGTGAGTCTAAGTGTTCTCCAGGTCTACACAGTTGTTTCTAATAATTATAACACAGTTATAACTTATATAACTTTGACCAACTTATATATTTAAAATTGACCAATTTATATTTCAAGTACTGCTAATCCAACCTTTCCTTCCAAATAGTTCACTTATCATTTTATGTACCAGTGAACTGTACAGTCCTGTCAATGGAAAAAATATGGTCCAGTTCAAAAGCTTATTTATGTGTTAGATTTTGCAGTTACTTTTGAAATTCTAAAACTGCCTGAGATTCAGTGAATCTGAATTGCGCTATAGGAAGAAAGGATGTTAACCTTCGCTTCCTGTTTTCATACTTACTGATTGAACACAGAATTGCACTAACAGTGCTTATAAGAACAAAATCAGACTTCAAGATCTTAAAAACAACAAAAATCTAGCAGCATAGGTTATAAAGGAGACATAAAGGGTACCCTGTGTTTGAATAGAAATATGTATGAAAAAGACTTGCTTTTTAGTTGACTGTGAATCTTTTTTGACTCAATAGATGACTTGGCTGTTGGAATACCTAAAGTGATCTTAATATGGCCCCACATGAACAGCAAATATGGAAGAGGCATTTCAGCTATGACTTCTTACCACTCACACCCAATTAGTCACTAAGTCCCACTGTTTCTTTCTTGTTGGTATTTTTAAATCTTTTCATTTCCCTCCTTCTTGTCTCGATTCTATGCCTCACATCTACCCTCTAGAAACAAAAGTCAGCATACTACAGTTTGAGAGCCACATTGGGCCTGCTACCTGTTTTTTTTTTTTTTTAATGGCCCATAAGCTAAGTTTCTGCATTTCCAAATGGTTGCAAAAATGTAAAAGAGTAATATTTCATGTCATGTAAAAATTCTATAAACCTGAAATTTTCAAGTCTAGAAGTAAAGTTTTGTTGTGTTGTTTATGGCTGCTTTCTCCTGCTACAGCAACAGCACTGAGTAGTTGTGAAAGAGACTCCATGGCCTTCAAAGCCAATAATATTTGCTATTGGGTCTGATCTCTATAGCAAAGGTTTGTTGAGCCCTGTTCTACATTACTGCTAGAATGTTCATTTAGAAATGCACAATTGGTAATATCATACACGTGCACCCCGCAACCCCGGCACTAGCTTAAAAATCTTCAGTGGCTCCTTATTGCATATGGGAAAAAAAATCCATACTCCTTATCATGATATCCAGAACTCTTTACAACCTGGCCCCAACCTGTTCTTTCTAGCCTCACTCCTCACCACTTCATTGTTCTCCACCCTACCAAGTTCTCCATGTTATTAACACTGAGATTATTCTTTTAACAGACAGTGCTGTTTCAAGCTTTGGAGTCTTTGTAAATACCATGTGCTCTGCCTATTCTTTCCCACATTCTCTATCTATAAATCCCTATTCAGACATCTAGACCTGGTCTTAATATTTCTTCTCAAGGGGCATTCTTTAGACAGAGGCTGCCCCTCTTCTGTAACTCTATGGCATTTGGGGCCATTAGCACTTATCACATGATACTGTAATGATAACTATTTGTGAGCTTCTTGGGGATAAATACTATGTCTTTACCTTTTTGTTTCTCTAGTATCCAGTATGGTATCTTGTACATAATAGATAATACTTTTGAATGAATAAATTAATGATTATGACTGTGATTGTATATGTGATATATAACATTTTAAAGATCCCCAGATATATAATTTGCTCTCTCTCTCTTTTATATATATAATGTCAGAAAATGTACCTTGTGATGGAGCTTTGTGAGGATGGAGAACTCAAAGAAATTCTGGATAGGAAAGGGCATTTCTCAGAGAATGAGACAAGGTGGATCATTCAAAGTCTCGCATCAGCTATAGCATATCTTCACAATAATGGTAAGAAGAGGGTTATCCAGCTCATTGACCCCATGAATACTAATGTCACTTTTGTTTAAGGGTAATTGTATTCCAGATTCATAGTCATATAAATAACACCTGCTAATATAGAAGATTTAATTTTTAGTTAAAAATGTTTCCTTTTTAACTTTCTTTTTAGATATGTTTTAATTAGAAATATGAACGAAGATGAAATTATGAACATTTTTTATTCAACAGTTTGAAGAGAAGCTAATGTTATAAAATCAAAAGTAGACAAATCAATGGTAAAGGTGAAGTTTCCCAAAACATCTATTAATCATAACATTAGAATCTGTATGTTCTAGGCATTTTTTTGTCTTTGTAGACTTTATTTTAGAGCAGTTTTAGATTCACAGCAAAACTGAGCCAAAGGTAGAGAGATTTTCTATATACTCCCCTGCTCGCACTTATGCACAACCTGCCCCACTGTCAAAATCCCCCACTAGATTGATATATTGCATTGACATATCATTGTCACCCTAAGTCCATAGCTTATATTAGGATTCACTCTTGGGGTTTTGACAAATGTGTAATGTCATTTATCCACCATTATAGTATCATACAGAGTGGTTTCACAGTACTTTAAAAACTACATTTAAAAATTATTCTAATTGCCTTACTATTCTTAGGTGTTACTGCTGCTGCTCCTCCCCCCGTTTTTTTCCTTCGAGGTTAGTTTGGCTTACATGTGACTTTAGAACCTTCTCACTTTACAGATGAACAAAAACTTTGTTCCAGAGAGGTGCAGTGACATGGTTTGGTGTGCTAGAGCTGGTACTGGAACCCAGTGGTTCATCCAGCTGATAGTTCCCGAGCACCTACTGCATTGAGATTGGTCCTAGATTACAAAGATTAAAAGACAAGGCCCCTGCTCTCCAAGGAACTTGGGCTGGTGGGAGATTGATTATTGAAAACAAGTTGTAATTCAACATGATAATCTCCCCAGTGGAAAGCCATATAAAGCACAAGGATTACAGGAGTTTAAGTTACCTCATTTGGCTTGGAAAGTCAGGAAAGAATTCACTGAAGGAGCAATATTTGATCTGAGGAATACAAACTCAGAAAAAAATTAAAAAGGCAGGCTTTCTAGGCAGAGGGAAACGATTTTTTCAAGGGCTTAATATTATGCTATTGTCAGTCCTTCCCTATTAAGCTATAAATTCAGTATAATTCCAAACAAAATCTTAGCAACATTTTTCATGGAACTTGATAAGATTATTCTCAAATGGGTAAAAATAGCCAACAATGAAAAAGAAGAACAATGGAGGCAGCAGGGAGATCTGCCCTGGCAAGGATAAAAGCATAATGATATGTTTGTTAAAGCTGTGTGGTATTTATGTAAAAAGAGACAAGAAGAGCAATGGAAACAATAAAAATTCCAAAAACAAAGCCTGGGGATTGTGTAAGGGAGCTATAAATGATTAGGTATAATTGCCAGTGCAGGACTCATTCAATGCATTCCTCTAGCAATTATGTGTGTAACTTTTTTTTTTTTTTTTTTTTTTTTTTGAGACAGAGTCTCTCTCTGTTACCCAGGCTGGAGTGCAGTGACACGATCTCGGCTCACTGCAAGCTCCGCCTCCCAGCCTCACGCCATTCTCCTGCCGCAGCCTCCCGAGTAGCTGGGACTATAGGCACCCGCCACCATGCCTGGCTGATTTTTTTTTGTATTTTTAGTAGAGATGGGGTTTCAACGTGTTAGCCAGGATGGTCTTGATCTCCTGACCTCATGATCCGCCCGCCTCAGCCTCCCACAGTGCTGGGATTATAGGCGCAAGCCACTGCGCCTGGCCGTGTATAACTTTTTAAGTCTAGGGAAATGTTTGCAATGGATATGAACTGAATTAATTATTTGCAAAGGAAGTGTTTGGTACATGGTTATTTGTATGTACATAAAAATTGTACCTGAGCTCTGACATGTTCAACTGGAGATTTTGTGTCTCAAGGGTTTTTGTTTGTTTGTTTTTTATTTTACTACATAAAGAGTAGGAAAATGTGTGTTGATGTTGTAGAAAAATATACTGAAATAAGTATAGTTTGTATATATGTAGCCAAGTTACAGTGTGTTAAAATGTTTATGCTGACAGTAACATATGCATAGAAGTAAAGAAGTAATCCTGTATTTGAAGACCGAAGGATATGGGAAACCTGGCTGGGTTTGTGACTAAGATGATCTCCCTCCTCCTGGGAATACCTAAGCATGGGTAGGATCCTCCTTCACACTCCCCAGGCCACTCATCATGAGGAGCAGCCAGCTGGGGTCACAGGGAAATGGGTAGAGGTGAGGGAGTCAAAGAAAATGGCTCCTTAAGGTTAGAAATGTGGAGGAAGCATTTATAAATGAGAGAATAGAACAGGACAGACTATGCTTGGCCCTCAAATTTTTCAACAGCGGATATTAATTTGTCAAATATATTTAATCTATATGTGTCTCTCCTATTTTTCCATTATTCATTTCATTTGATTTGTTGTTTATTTTCTTGGTAGATATTGTACATAGAGATCTGAAACTGGAAAATATAATGGTTAAAAGCAGTCTTATTGATGATAACAATGAAATAAACTTAAACATAAAGGTAAGATTAGCAATGGTGGTAAATATTTGCCTGTAAACAGTTTGATAGCAAAGTGGCAAAGTACATCCTCTTTTTAGACACATGTTGCTAGCTTTTGAGCAGCCAGAAAATAAGTGGCTTGTGCTAAAAAATAAAAATTTCACAAGAGGTTGTAACTGACAAGAATAATTTTGCAAGTTAAGTGGAGCTATTGAATGTGTTTTTAAAGTACATATTCATTTGAATAATTCTAAATCATTAGTTAATAGCAAGCAAACAGATGCTCTGAATTCTAATTAATTTCAAAATTATGTCTGGTAATTTGATGTAAATGTGTTACAGATTTAGAGAAAAGCACACCTTGCGTGTGCTTTTGATACTAAATTAATTCTAAAGTCTGTATTTCTTATTGAAAATTTTCCTGTGTATTAATATTTATGTCCTAAGTACAATTAATGTGCCAAGTGTTTATTCTTGAAGATTTTATTCAAATTAAGTGTTCCCTAATGTCAAATAAATGCTACGATACATTATTTAGCACCATTATAGTGGCTGCTTTCAAAATATATAAATGTGTTAATTTAGAAATAAAATGTTGTCTGTGAGTAACTCACTCTGTTGCAGAAGCTAAGTCCTATGTAATAGAAATAGGTTTAACAGCATTGTTGGTTTACCCAAGTAAATGTTCTGGAACAGTTCCATTGTAAACTCTATGAAGGCAAGAATTGTGCATGTCTTATTCACTTAGTACCTGAAGTAGTGCCTGGAACATAGTATGTGTTCACTTAACATTTGATGAATGAAGGAATAGATGCTCTCCAAAGAACTAAGTTGGATTGTGAAACTTTTTGTATGTTTCATGTGTCTGAATGGATTTTCTGTAAAGAAAGATAGGTATCATATGCTCCAAGTGAGATGTTTGTGAAAACTAATGGAGAAATTGATTCATCTGTTTAGAAAAATGGTGATATCACATGTAAATAGGAGCATTTTCTTACTCCATAAGGCACTGGAAACTTTGCATTCATTGTCTCTGGACAAAGAGCCTATATTTGGTTACTTAATCAATAAATGTGTCTGTTTTTCTGCCTTCAGTCTAAGGGTGTTCCACTTTGGGAGATAATTCCAAAGCCACATACTGAATATTTAATAACTAAATGTTTAATGACCAAGATTTAGAACTGAGCAGAAGGCCTACAGTTGCGGCACTAGGCCACCAGTGTATTTGTAGTTAATACTTGTTGTTGTGGTTTTTTTCCTGTTAATATGCTTGTTGTAGTTTTTAATAGTGTAGTAATTGTTTTAATTAGTATACTCTAGAAACACAAAGGAAACAATAGTAAAGAAAAGATACTGTTTACCAATTATAAATAATTATAAAAAAGGAGAGTTTCAGTGAGTGCTGACAGGGATAATTATTTGCATTTATAACAGTGCTTTAAACTGGAATATAACTTGATTATCAGAAACATAGATAATATGTTAAAGCCAGAATATATTTTACAAGGAAAGAACTTTTTTTAAAAACAAAAATACCTTTTTTATATGAAAAAGATTAAATGCCTCAAAATACAACTTCTCATGTTAGACTGGTGAATTTAATCAGATGGCAAGAATGGTTAAATCATGGTATTCTCTCAAGATTTGAGAACGCAAGCTTCTCTTTACCCAGTTTCTCCTCTATACAGAGAGGTGGGTGGGGAAGGAAATGCAAAATTTTTATTAATGATTCAATTAAAGTCCTCCCACCCCCAAGAACCCCAGAATTCAATGCAAATTCAATGTGAAGTCTTATCTTCAGAATGAGTGAGCTCTAGGACAGGAAAACAGGTGACTGTGCTTGAATTTCTTCTCCCAGGTGACTGATTTTGGCTTAGCGGTGAAGAAGCAAAGTAGGAGTGAAGCCATGCTGCAGGCCACATGTGGGACTCCTATCTATATGGGTAAGTTAGTAGACTTAAAATTAATTTTTGTTTTGAGACAGGATCATCCTCTGTTGCCCAGGCTGGAGTGCAGTGGCATGATCTTGGCTCACTGCAGCCTTGACCTCCTGGGCTCAAGCCATCCCCCCACCTCAGCCTCTCAAGTAGCTAGGACCACAGGTGTATGCCACCACACCTGGCTAATTAATTTTTTTTTGTTTTTAAGAGATAGCAGTCTCACTGTTTGCCCGGGATGGTCTCAAAACTCCTGGGCTCACGTGATCCCTCCAGCCTCTCCTTTCCCAAGTGTTGGGATTACAGGCTTGAGACACTGCACCAGACTTGATTCTTTTATGTGTAAAAAAGTAGAACAACCAGTATGGATTACAGCTTGAACAATTTTTGCCATCATGACATAATGACCCATGATTTAGGCTTTTCTTAGGTCAAGCAATTTCACTTGTTTTAGTATTTTACTTACAGTTCCTACCTTTAAAGATTTAAAAAAATTTTGTTATTTCTCTGGGCTCTTCTTAAAGTTGTTTATATCTCTTAGGTAATCATACCCCAAACTTAATTATTGCTTTTGTTAACTCATGTTAAAATCATGTGCATGTTTTGCTTGTTTGCTTTTTTTTTCGAAACGGAGTCTTGCTCTGTCGCCCAAGCTGGAGTGCAGTGGCGCAGTCTGGGCTCACTGCAACCTCCGCCTCCTGGGTTGAAGCAATTCTCGTGCCTCAGCCTCCAGAGTAGCTGGGATTACAGGCACCTGCCACCACACCTGGCTAATTTTTGTATTTTTAGTAGAGACAGGTTTTTGCCGTGTTGGCCGGGCTGATCTAAAACTCCTGACTTCAAGTGATCTGCCTGCCTTGGCCTCCCAGTGTTGAGATTACAGACGTGAGCCACCATGCCCAGCCCTCTTTGCATTTTTTTATCCAGTTTCATCGCCATCAAACAGTTTTTCATGGAGTACTGATTAGATATATTTTGTAAAGAAAGCAGCAGTTTCCTATTTTTCTAAATGTGAGTTTTAACAGCTTTATTGAAGTTTAATTTAAATACCATAAAAGATATTTGTGCATCCTTTACAATGTAGGATATATTTTTGTTTTACAATAAAAATACAATGATTTTTCATACATCCACAGAGTTGTGCAACCATCACCACAATCCAGTTTCAAAACAAATCTACTCCAAAAAGTTCCCTCAGCTCGTTTATACTCAATCTTATTCCTATCCCAGTCCCAGGTAGCCACTAATCTCTCTAGATTTGCCTTCTTGTCTCTCTAAATGTGCCTCTTTTTTTTTCTTTTCTGCACATTTCATATAAATGGAATCATAAAACATGTAGTCTTTTACATTTGGCTTGCTTTCACTTAGAATAATGCTTTTGAGGTACGTTCATGTTGTAGCATGTATCTGTAGTCTGCTCTTCTATATTGTTGAATAGTTGTCCATTGCGTGGATATACCACATTTTGTTTATCTACTTACCCCTGATGCACATGTGGATTTTTACCAGTTTATGGCTATTATGAATAATGCTGCTATGAATATTCATGTACAGGTCTTTGTGAGGGTATGTGGTTTCATTTAGAAGTATTTTTAGAATTAGTTACTAAGAGTGAAATTGTTGGATCATATGTTAAGTTTATGTTTAATTTTTTATGAAATTGCCAAACTCTTTTACAAAATGATCGTTACCTTCCCACCAGCAATTTGTGAGGGTTCCAGTTTCTCCATATCTTCGACAACTCTTGATATTACCTATCTTTTAAATTATACAGTTCTAGTCCTTAGGACTAGTATCTTAGGAAGTGGTGTCTTGTTGTAGGAAGTGGTATTTTATTGTGATTTTTAATTTGCATTTTCCTAATGATTACTGATGTTGAGCATCTTTCATGTGCTTACTAGGCATTCATATATTGTTTCTGGTGAAGTGTCTATTTAAATCTGTACCTATTGAGATAATCGTATTTTTCTCTTTAAATTTATTAATGAAGTAATTACATAATCAATTTTAGAATGTTGAACCATCCTTGCACATTTAAATTCAACCTCACATGGTTTAATGTACTGCATTATTCAATTTGTCAGCACTTTTATTTAGGAGCTTTGACTGTAGCTTTTCTTCTTTTGTGCTTCCTTTGTCTTTTCTGATGTTAGGGTTATGCTGGCCTCATTTAAAAAATAATTTTTTTAACTTCTTGAACTTTTTTTTTGTTATTGAAAAAATAATAAAAATCATGAACTTTTTTTATTATGATCATGAACTTTTTTTTATTATTATACTTTAAGTTCTAAGATACATGTACAGAAGGTGTAGGTTTGTTACATAGGTATACATGTGCCATGGTGGTTTGCTGCACCTATCAACCCATCATCTACATTAGGTATTTCTCCTAATGCTATCCCTCCCCTAGCTCCCAACCCCCCAACAGGCCCCGGTGTGTGATGTTCGCCTCCCTGTGTCCATGTGTTCTCATTGTTCAACTCCCACTTATAAGTGAGAACATGGAGTGTTTGGTTTTATGTTCCTGTGGTACTTTGCTGAGAATGATGGTTTTCAGCTTCGTCCATGTCCCTGCAAAGGACATGAACTCATCCTTTTTTATGGCTGCATAGTATTCCATGGTGTATCTGTGCCACATTTTCTTTATCCAGTCTATCATTGATGGGCATTTGGCTTGGTTCCAAGTCTTTGCTATTGGGAACAGTGTCGCAATAAACATAAGTGTGCATGTGTCCTTACAGTAGAATGATTTATAATCCTTTGGGTATATATATACGCAGTAATGGATTGCTGGGTCAAATGGTATTTCTAGTTCTAGATCCTTGAGGAATCACCACACTGTATTCCACAATGGTTGAACTAATTTGCACTCCCACCAACGGTGTAAAAGCATTCCTATTTCTCCACATCCTCTCCAGCATCTGTTGTTTCCTGACTTTTTTAATGATCACCATTCTCACTGACGTGAAATGGTATCTCATTATGGTTATGATTTGCATTTCTCTAAAGACCAGTGATGATGAGCTTTTTTCTTTCTTTCTTTCTTTTATTATACTTTAAGTTTTAGGGTACATGTGCACAACGTGCAGGTTAGTTACATATGTATACATGTGCCATGTTGGTGTGCTGAACCCATTAGCTCATCATTTAACATTAGGTATATCTCCTAATGCTATCCCTCCCCCCACCCACCCCACAACAGGCCCCAGTGTGTGATGTTCCCCTTCCTGTGTCCATGTGTTCTCATCGTTCAATTCCCACCTATGAGTGAGAACATGCGGTGTTTGGTTTTTTGTCCTTGCGATAGTTTGCTGAGAATGATGGTTTCCGCTTCATCCATGTCCCTACAAAGGACCTGAACTCATCATTTTTTATGGCTGCATAGTATTCCATAGTGTATATGTGCCACATTTTCTTAATCCAGTTGATCATTGTTGGACATTTGGGTTGGTTCCAAGTCTTTGCTATTGTGAATAGTGCCGCAGTAAACATATGTGTGCATGTGTCTTTATGGCAGCATGATTTATAATCCTTTGAGTATATACCCAGTAATGGGATGGCTGGGTCAAATGGTATTTCTAGTTCTAGATCACTGAGGAATCGCCACACTGTCTTCCACAATGGTTGAACTAGTTTACAGTCCCACCAACAGTGTAAAAGTGTTCCTATTTCTCCACATCCTCTCCAGCACCTGTTGTTTCCTGACTTTTTAATGACCGCCATTCTAACTGGTGTGAGATGGTATCTCATTGTGGTTTTGATTTGCATTTCTCTGATGGCCAGTGATGATGAGCATTTTTTCACGTGTCTTTTGGCTGCATAAATGTCTTCTTTTGAGAAGTGTCTGTTCATTTCCTTTGCCCACTTTTTGATGGGGTTGTTTGTTTTTTCTTGTAAATTTGTTTGAGTTCATTGTAGATTCTGGATATTAGCCCTTTGTCAGATGAGTAGATTGCAACAATTTTCTCCCATTCCGTAGGTTGCCTGTGCACTCTGATGGTAGTTTCTTTTGCTGTGCAGAAGCTCTTTTGTTTAATTAGGTCCCATTTGTCAATTTTGGCTTTTGTTGCCATTGCTTTTGGTGTTTTAGACATGAAGTCCTTGCCCATGCCTATGTCCTGAATGGTATTGCCTAGGTTTTCTTCTAGGGTTTTTATGGTTTTAGGTCTAACATTTAAGTCTTTAATCCATCTTGAATTAATTTTTATATAAGGTGTAAGGAAGGGATCCAGTTTCAGCTTTCTACATATGGCTAGCCAGTTTTCCCAGCACCATTTATTGAATAGGGAATCGTTTCCGCATTTCTTGTTTTTGTCAGGTTTGTCAAAGATCAGATGGTTGTAGATATGCAGCATTATTTCTGAGGGCTCTGTTCTGTTCCATTGGTCTATATCTCTATTTTGGGACCAGTACCATGCTGTTTTGGTTACTGTAGCCTTGTAGTATAGTTTGAAGTCAGGTAGCGTGATGCCTCCAGCTTTGTTCTTTTGGCTTAGGATTGACTTGGCAATGTGGGCTCTTTTTTGGCTCCATATGAACTTTAAAGTAGTTTTTTCCAATTCTGTGAAGAAAGTCATTGGTAGCTTGATGGGGATGGCATTGAATCTATAAATTACCTTGGACAGTATGGCCATTTTCACGATATTGATTCTTCCTACCCGTGAGCATGGAATGTTCTTCCATTTGTTGTATCCTCTTTTATTTCATTGAGCAGTGGTTTGTAGTTCTCCTTGAAGAGTTCCTTCACATCCCTTGTAAGTTGGATTCCTAGGTATTTTATTCTCTTTGTAGCAATTGTGAATGGGAGTTCACTAACGATTTGGCTGTCTGTCTGTTATTGGTGTATAAGAATGCTTGTGATTTTTGCACATTGATTTTGTATCCTGAGACTTTGCTGAAGTTGCCTATCAGCTTAAGGAGATTTTAGGCTGAGACAGTGGGGTTTTCTAGATATACAATCATGTCATCTGCAAACAGGGACAATTTGACTTCCTCTTTTCCTAATTGAATACCCTTTATTTCCTTCTCCTGCCTGATTGTCCTGGCCAGAACTTCCAACACTATGTTGAATAGGAATGGTGAGAGAGGGCATCCTTGTCTTGTGCCATTTTTCAAAGGGAATGCTTCCAGTTTTTGCCCATTAAGTATGATATTGGCTGTGGGTTTGTCATAGATAGCTCTTATTATTTTGAGATACATCCCATCAATACCTAATTTATTGAGAGTTTTTAGCATGAAGCATTGTTGAATTTTGTCAAAGGCCTTTTCTGCATCTATTGAGATAATCATATGGTTTTTGTCGTTGGTTCTGTTTATATGCTGGATTACATTTATTGATTTGCGTATGTTGAACCAGCCTTGTATCCCAGAGATGAAGCCCACTTGATCATGGTGGATAAGCTTTTTGATGTGCTGCTGGATTTGGTTTGCCAGTATTTTATTGAGGATTTTTGCATCGATGTTCATGAGAGATATTGGTCTAAAATTCTCTTTTTTTGTTGTGTCTCTGCCAGGCTTTGGTATCAGGATGATGCTGGCCTCATAAAATGAGTTAGGGAGGATTCCCTCTTTCTCTATTGATTGAAATAGTTTCAGAAGGAATGGTACCAGCTCCTCCTTGTACCTCTGGTATGTTGGCTGCATAAATGTCTTCTTTTGAAAAGTGTCTGTTCATATCCTTTGCCCACGTTTTGATGGGGTTGTTCTTTTCTTGTAAGTTTAAGTTCCCTGTAAATTCTGGATATTAGCCCTTTGTTAGATGGAAAGATTGCAAAAACTTTCTCCCATTCTCTAGGTTGCCTGTTCACTCTGATGATAGTTTCTTTTGCTGTGCAGAAGCTCTTTAGTTTAATTAGATCCCATTTGTCAATTTTGGCTTTTGTTGCCATTGCTTTTGGTGTTTTAGTCATGAAGTCTTTGCCCATGCCTATATCCTGAATGGTATTGCTTAGGTTTTCTTCTAGGTTTTTTATGGTTTTAGGTCTTACATTTAAGTCTTTAATCCATCTTGAATTAATTTTTGTATAAGGTGTAAGGAAGGAGTCTAGTTTCAGTTTTCTGCATATGGCTAGCCAGTTTTCCCAACATCGTTTATTAAATAGGGAATCCTTTCCCCATTGCTTGTTTCTATCAGATTTGTCAAAGATCAGATGGTTGTAGATATGTGGTGTTATTTCTGAGGCCTCTGTTCTGTTCCATTGGTCTATATATCTGTTTTGGTACCAGTACCAGGCTGTTTTGGTTACTGTAGCCTTGTAGTATAGTTTGAAGTCAGGTAGTATGATGCCTCCAGCTTTGTTCTTTTTGCTTAGGATTGTCTTGGCTATAGGAGAAAGTGGGGAAGATCTAAAATCGACACCCTAACATCCCAATTAAAAGAACTAGAGAAAAAAGAGCAAACATTCAAAAGCTAGCAGAAGACAAGAAATAACTAAGATCAGAGCAGAACCCAAGGAGATAGGGACACGAAAAACCCTTCAAACAATCAATGAATCCAGGAGCTGGTTTTTTGAAAAGATTAACAAAATATATAGACTACTAGCCAGACTAATAAGAAAAAAGAGAGAAGAATCAAATAGACACAATAAAAAATGGTAAAGAGGATATCAGCACTGATCCCACAGAAATACAAGCTACCATCAGAGAATACTATAAACACCTCTACACAAATAAAGTAGAAAATCTAGAAGAAATAGATAAATTTCTGCACACATACACCCTCCCAAGACTAAACCAGGAAGAAGTCGAATCCCTGACTACACCAATAACAAATTCTGAAATTGAGGCAGTAATTAATATCCTACCAACCAAAAAAAGCCCAGGACCAGACCGATTCACAGCCGAATTCTACCAGAGGTACAAGGAGGAGCTGGTACCATTCCTTCTGAAACTATTCCAAACAATAGAAAGAGGGACTCCTCCCTAACTCATTTTATGAGGCCAGCATCATCCTGATACCAAAACCTGGCAGAGACACAACAAAAAAAGAAAATTTCAGACCAATATCCCTGATGAACAGCGATGTGAAAATCCTCAATAAAATACTGGCAAACTGAATCCAACAGCACATCAAAAAGCTTATCCACCACAATCAAGTCAGCTTCATCTCTGGGATGCAAGGCTGGTTCAACATATGCAAATCAGTAAATGTAATCCACCACGTAAACAGAACCAAAGACAAAAACCACATGATTATCTCAATAGATGCAGAAAAAGCCTTTGATAAAATTCAATACCACTTCATGCTAAAAACTCTCAATAAACTAGGTATTGATGAAACGTATCTCAAAATAATAAGAGCTATTTATGACACACCAACAGCGAATATCATACTGAATGGGCAAAAGCTGGAAGCATTCCCTTTGAAAACTGGCAGAAGAGAAGGATGCCCTCTCTCACCACTCCTATTCAACATAGTATTGGAAGTTCTGGCCAGGGCAGTCAGGCAAGAGAAAGAAATAAAGGGTATTCAAATAGGAAGAGAGGAAGTCAAATTGTCTCTGTTTGCAGATGACATGATTGTATATCTAGAAAACCCTATTGTCTCAGTCCCAAATCTCCTTAAGCTGAAAAACAACTTCAGCAAAGTCTCAGGATACAAAATCAATGTGCAAAAATCACAAGCATTCCTAGACACCAATAACAGACAGAGAGCCAAATCGAGGGAACTCCCATTCACAGTTGCTACAAAGAGAATAAAATACCTAGGAATGCAACTTATCAGGGATGTGAAGGACCTCTTCAAGGAGAACTACAAACCACTGCACAAGGAAATAAGAGAGGACACAAATGGAAAACATTCCATGCTCATGGATAGGAAGAATCAATATCATGAAAATCGCCATAGTGTCCAAAGTAATTTATAGATTTCGTGCTATCCCCATCAAGCTACCATTGGCTTTCTTCACAGAATTGGAAAAAACTACTTTAAAGTTTATGTGGAACCAAAAAATGAACCTTTTAGATAATAAAAATTATCTAATAATAGTTTGAAATTTCCTCTTAAATTTTTTGGTTCTGCTGCTTTTTTGGGGATAAAGTTTCTATTATTTTTTCAATTTATACTAAATTATCCAAGTTTTCTGCATTTTCTTGAATCATTTTGATAATTTATGTTTTTCTAGAAAATTGTTTCTTTTATTGAGACTTCAGTTTCATTGACATAAATATGCATATTATGTTTACTTATTATTTTCATATTCTCCTGTGTACCTGTGGTTATATTCTCCTATAAATTCAATATGCACTTATTATCTGCTCTTATCACAGTTTCTATATGTATAATAGGAATTATGTCACTCATTTCTAAAAAATTTTTTGAGGACCTACTTAGTGTCAGACATTGTTCTAGGTATTAAAAATACAACAGTGAACAAAACATAAAAATGTTTTGCCTTCATGGAACTTAACATTCTTGTGGCACAAACATTAAACAAGATTTTTATAAATCTGATGTTTTAGAGCAAAGTGCTGAGTACAAAAAAAAGGAAGGGTGATAGGAAGTGTTTAGAAGACAATAGTTTTTTTTTATCAGGTTGACATGAGAATTAAATGAGAAAAAATATATAAAGTGCTTAGCAGTGTCTAGCACTTAGGCCTGAATTTTAGCTCTTTGTAATACTAATAATTTTATCTAGATCAAATTTGTTAGTGGTTAGGACAGTTAATAAATAATAAATAAAGCTCCCAATGGGCTTTTCAAGAACCAGCTCATATCTAATTGTTATTTGGTTTGCTTTTTCATTAATTTCTGCTTTTATTTTTCTGAATTCCTTCTTTGTTCTTTATTTTGGTTTGTTTGTTAATTTTATTTTATTTTTTTGGAACAGGGCCTCCCTCTGTTGCTTAGGCTGGAGTGCAGTGGTGCAGTCACAGCTTACTGCAGCCTCAGCCTCCTAGGCTCAAACGTTCCTCCCACCTCAGCCTCCCCAGGAGCCAGGAGCAAGGAGCACAGGCATGTGCCATCATTCCCAGATAACTTTTTTCTGTTTAATTTTTAGTAGAGATGAGATCTCATGCCCCGGCTGATCTCAAACTCCTGGGTTCAAGCGATCCTCCTGTTTTGGCCTCCCAAAGTGCTGGGATTATAGGTATGAGCCACTGTGGCTAGTGGTTTGTTTTTTATTATAACTTCCTAAGTTGAATACATATTTATTATCAGGCTTATTTTCTATGAAATGCATTGGAGGCTGTATATTTTCCTCTGAGTACCTTGACTTTTTTTTTTTTGCCATACGGTGTTCTAATTGTGATTAATCTCTTGATATACTTTAATTTTAATTTTAGTCTTGTTTAATAGAAAAATTATTTATAAGTGTTTTTAGAATTTTTCCAGGTGGTTGAGATGTGTTTGAAATGCATGGAATGCATGTTAGTTGTCCTAGCCTTTTGGTTTATCTGTCTGGTTTTCTTTATTGTGGTAGGTGATTGCATCTTAAAGGTTTTCAACTTTTAGGAATTTTCTTTGTGACTGAACACATGATCAGCTTTTGCAAATGATGCGTTGGATATTTTAAAAATATGTATGTATACCTGGTTTGTTGAGCATAAAAATTTCTGTGTGTGCTTATTAAATGAAATGTGATATTTTTGTGATTCAGATCTTCCATATTGTTGGTGTATTTTTGCTTGCCACTTCTGTTGATCTCTAAGAGAGTCATTAACCAAGAAAGGTCTTTGACACATTGTTTTTGTACTTTTAGTAGATTTTTTAAAATCTGCTTTTTAGGAATATAGTTTACTTGCAATAGGATGTACACATTTTAAGTTTTGACAAATGCATACACTTGTGTAATCACTACCCCATTATGTTCAAGTCATAGAACATTTCTGTCACCCCAGAAAGTTCCTTTGTGTCCCTTTCAGTCAATCCCCCACCCATAACCACTGATGATTTCTATCACCACAGCTCAGTTTTGCATATCTAGAAGTTTATATAAATTGAATCATACAGTACATACTCTTCTGTGTCTGTCTTCTTCTTTTGTCTTACATCATGATTTTGAGACTTATCCATGTTGTATCAGTAGTTTATTCATTTTTATTGCTGAAGAGTATACGTAATTCGTTGCTTTTTTTGTCTGCTAGATGCATAAAGTTTTGAAATTGTTTTATCTTATTTGGGAAAAGGCTACTTTAGATTCTGTTCATATCCCCCTGTTGGCAAAAGACATCTGGTCTGTAGTTACATGGGGAAAATATATTCAAGCACCCTGAGTTTAATGCCTCCTTATTAGTTGTCTACACTGATAACAAGTGAGAACAAGAGAGAAGACAGATGGTTTGTGGAGCTTTGCTGACTTCCTAAATGGCTTCTTGGCAGTTACTCTGGCCTCTGCATCCCTATGAGGGCTGGGATGACAGTGCAAATCGAAATGCCCCTGATAATTAAGATGACTCTGAAAGAGCGAGGACCAGGATTTCCCGTCCCCTGCTGTGTGCTGCACCAGTGTGGAAATCGTTCACTGAATCTAGTCACAGAATTTGCCCTTGTCATAGACATGTGGCCATAGAGCAACTGGAACTTTAAAAATTCCATATTTAAAGATTTTAAGTAGAGTTAACAAATACAAATAATGGCTTAAAGGGAAATATTAGTTAATTTTCAATCATTTGGAGACAGATTGCTCAGTGTTAGTAATCTGTACATTCTTTCTTCTGTTTAATCTTTTGACCCCTTTTTGTTGCCTTTCATCTCTTTAACACTAGGCAGAGGAAAAAGGAGGAAATGAAATTCCATTTGCTTTTAGTAGTCATAAAAGTGTGTGTGTGTGTGTGTGTGTGTGTGTGTGTGTGTGTAGGTGTAGGTATGTGTAGGTGGGAGAGATTGAAACTTTTCTAAAATAAAAACGCACCTTTTGCATAGGAGGCACTCTGCAGCTGTGTAACATTAGGCAAGTCACTTAATATATGTGAAACTTAGTTTCCTCATTGGCAAAGGGAGTCAAATGCTTACGTATCTATCTCACAGAATTCTTAACATACTTCATACAAATAACAATTTATGCAAAAGTATAAATTTTAAAGTTCTATTGAAATATATACATATATTGTATTTTTCTGCTTATAACTATTTTCTTTTTATTTTTTCTTAAATATATCTGATTCATAGCTATAGAGGTACAATAGACATGTTCCTGCAGTGTCATTTGTGACTTTTTAAAAAGGCAGCCAGCTGAGTGTGGTGTCTCACGCCACTAATCCCACCTATTCAGGAGGCTGAGGTGGGAGGATCACTTGAGGCCAGGAGTTTGAGGCCAGCCTGAGCAGCACAGCAAGACCCCATCTCTAAAATAATTTTTAAAAAACAATTAGCCAGGCATGATAGTATGCACCTGTAGTCCTAGCTACTCAGGAAGCTGCGGTGGGATGATACCTTGAACCTAGTAGTTTGAGGCTGCAGTGAACTGTGATCATGCCACTGCACTCCAGCCTGGACAATAGAGTGAGACCCTGTCTCAAAAAAAAAAAATACACACACACACACACATATATATATTTAGTATAGTCTATGTCCTGTGACTAGTTGGCTTTTTGATCCAGTTTTATAGGAGCTCTCTCTTTGTCTTGGCTTTCTTATTTGAAAATGCAGAAAATAGTTCATATTCTGTTATAGGAGTGATGCTATTATTATTTTACTAAAGTGATTTATAACCACGTACCTTAGTTTTTCTGTGAATCCAGATTTCCACATATTGGGCCTGCATTATGTTACATCTACTTAAGGCATATATTTAATTCTATTTTGTGGAAAGGGCTGGGATATTGTTGTCTTCTACTATAACTACAGAATCTTTGCAAAATCATTTCTTAACAATTTAAAGAAATAAAGGGTAGTGCATTTAGTTATACAGTTTACACCATTGTTCCATTAGAAGCTAAATGATAGGAGTGAGGTTACAGTGACATCAATTGTTAAGGCCTGTGCATTATTCATTTAAGATCTGCTGTTGGTTCTCTTTTCCCTATGGGGGAATAAATTACAGCACATCAGCACATTTTTCATGCTTGTGTTTAAGCATTTAAAAGACATTTATTGTATTATTAATGTTATTTTATATCTGCTTGTTTGGCAGCCCCTGAAGTTATCAGTGCCCACGACTATAGCCAGCAGTGTGACATTTGGAGCATAGGCGTCGTAATGTACATGTTGTAAGTAGCCTGCTAAATGTACACTTTAAGATGAGTGGATAGTTTCTAACAGTAGAGTGATATAGACTTTAAATTAAAACTAATATATATTTTTAAAAAGTGATTTAAAAACCAATTGGGAGATCATTCTAAAAGCTCTCTTATTAGTTGTCAGGTATACATACATCCCTGAGGTATTTTTTAATACTGTAAATTTATAACTTTCAGCTTTGGTTTTCATTGATCTATAAATACAACAATATGATCTGAGCAAAATGAAAAATCTTAACACCTTCCGTATCCTTTGCTACAAACCAAAAGCTTCTTTGTGTTTTCTCATGAGGTTCACTTATAGCTTATCAGGTGTAGGGAGGTACTGTGGCCTGGCACTTGTTCTACCCATACAGGCAGAGCATAGGTGGGAGTGGGCACTAACTAGGCAGAGGGTCACTTAGGATCTAGGGAGTATTCTACAGTTCCCAGTTCCCATAATGATGTTGTGCTGCTGGAGCTTTCAGTCATTCTTGTTCTTCCTTCTCTGTCATTCTCAAGATTCAGTCAAACTCCATGTCCTGCTCATTTTTCCTTTGAAATATCCTTACCTATTCTTTGATTTCTCTTCACCTGTATCTTTTCTCCTTATGATTCCTTTTCTAGACTATTGCAGGGTCTTTCTGACTGTTCTCCCTACTTCTGGTCACCCTCCCCATGTTTGTCCTTCACGTTGCTGCCAGGGGTGTCCTTTCAAATCACAAATCTGATCATACTGCTTTCCTGATTAAAATCCTCTGATATATATATAAAAGCCTCTGATATATATATATATATAATTATAATATAATATATATGTAATCTAATACATATATATATGTATTTGTATACGGAGAAGTGTCAGAGCATCTTGGCATGGCATGGCATGGCATAGCAGAGCAGGTCTTTCATGACCTGATTCCAGAATGCCTTTCCAGTTTGGGGCTGGATATGTATTCCTGTGCACCTACACTGTGCTATAATGATTCCAGGTCACATTTCAATACTCGGACACACCCTGTGTCATATGCCTCTGGAGTGTGTATGGGTATGTGTGTATTCTTTTTCTCTGTAAGATTCTCTCCTGGGTGGACCCAGCTCAAACATTAAGGCCTTCTATTTCTCTACTCCTACTTTACCCCACCATAGCAGAGTTCCTACATTTATTAGGTATATACTTTCTCATGCTCCACAAAAGATTTTAAGGTATCATGCAAAACAGTAATGTTGAAAGAAAAAATAATAAAATAGGAACATTTAACCAGGAAGGTTTACACATGTGTAAATCCAATAGAATTCATTGTTCCCTTTTATGTATCCTCATAAAGCTTTTAAAAACCATATTATAATATTATATATATTGTATCTGTTTTCCTTGTTCTAAATTCCATGGAGGACAGAGACCTTAGATTATTCATCTTTGCATTCCTGGTATCTGGTATAATAGACATACATTCAGTGCTCAATATGTTTGTTAAATTGAATTAAAGTGAATTTTCTAAGAGGTGTTCTGAAAAGTTAGTGACCATTGTTCTGCCTCTTGCTGAATGTGAACATTTTTATGTTGATGCAACATTAGTTTTATGGTCATATTGAAGATTTCACTATGCACTGCCTCTTCCAGATCATTTCTAAATATTGACATCACAGTAGTTACATTTTCACAGTTGTGTGAAATGGAATATACAGGCAGTAGAAATTGGATGATGTGATTGTAGCTGTAACTCAGCTGGTCAACACACATCGTTGCTTAGATTACATAAAGTATAAAAGTATTCAAAAAGTTTTTGATCATCGTTTTGTGCTGATTAAAATCATAGTGCAAAAATTCTGAGCCTTAGTCTTTAATTCAAATATAACTTTTAAATTAGTCTTTTATACTCTGAAGACTTTCTAGAAACCATGAGTCAAACATCCTATATATAATCTAATATTATGCAATTCATGTAGTGTTTGCTGCCTTCTTAGTTTGAACTTGGTGTTAAGGAAAGTGAATGTATTATATCTTAAATATCTTTCTCTTTCTTAGAAATATAATTTTAATTTTTCTGCTTCAGAGTGTGACTGCATATCACCATAATAATGTTGTCTTCTCTTTACAGTAGACTCTTACTTAGCTAATCAGTGCCTATTCATTAATCTGTCTGAGCCCAATGGTGTTATAATTTCCTTAATCAAGAGCACAAACATATTACCTTCTCCAGGGGGTTTATTTTCTTGTTTATCCGTTACCTTTGATTCATTTCTATTTAATCAGATGGTGATAACATACTTTCTCAAGGTGAAGTTAGCATAAGTAAATATTCTTTGTAGTTTTTGTCCTCTGCTGTTTTGATTTCTATGAATGCAACAAAATAGTAGGAAGACTTTAAGAGATATTTTTCGTGTCTTGGATTCCCTTTTCTGGATGTGCAGGAAATTGCTGTCATAAAATTTTGTATGCTGCTGATTGACCAACCATTAGATACATTTTTATGTAAATAAAATTGCAAAGAACAGAAAAAAAAGTGAATTTTTTAAGATGTAGCCCTTAAGCTATAGTTGCATGCTAGTCAGGCAATGCAGAGGCAGCTAAGAAATTGGTGGATGTGCATATCACTGGTTGATAACAGGCTCAATGAACTAGGCCTTTGCTGGCCTGCACTGTTTTAATAGATAGTAATTGTCCAGAAGGCCATTTTTCTGGCTATTTTGTTTTCCATAGCTTTTTAAATTGCATTTTAAAACTAAACAATAGCAAGGTGAATAGGATGAGAGAGAGGAAATCAGAATGAGCTAGAGAGATAAAAAGTATTAAAATAAGAGTTTGCAGAACAATATGATACTGATAAATACTTAGTAAGAACCTATTGGTAAATGAAAAAGCTCTATTGTCTGGTCTAGTTTGATAAACCACTAGGATGAAAGCAACTTTTCCCCCCACAAAAGTCATCATAATCATCATCATTACTATGAAAAAATCAAATTTTGACTTATTCAGAAAATGTTCATGAGTTAGATTTTTAAATAAAGAAAAATATAAAGAAAATTAGTAAAAATGTAACTGTTAAAAGATGTAGAGATTATTATACTTATGTACAGTGTAGACCAGCAGTTTGGGAAGTATAATGAAATTATGCCATTTTATTCTTTCATCAATGAAGTATAAAAATATATTCCTGAGAGTTGAAGAATAGACACAGAGTTGCCCCTGTGATGAATCTAATTACATCTGTCTGGTTGTCATTGGACAAATCTGGTTGTTATCTATAGGATTGCCCTCAGATGTTGGAGTTGACAGTAATGAGGATGGCTGACATTTGTTGATATTGTGTTATGAAGAATTGAACTCAGCTTTTAAGCTTGTTCTTGTAGTTTTGACCTAGATCACTTATTGAAGTAATAGCTTTACAGGCTTGCCATGTTCTATTAAGAGTCTAAAGGTACATTGTTTCTGTATTAAAGAATGTGAAAACAAGTCCATGTTCACTTTATACACAGTGCTCATGGTTTTACTGATGTTGGTCATTAGGTACACTTAGCTTTCACCCTTTCAGGCCAAAGGGTCAAATTATTGTCTGATTTTTCCACATTCAGACCCTTTTGATTTCATATACAATTTTTGATGAGTTGTGTCCGTTTTAATGGCTTTTTGGCATTGACTTAGGTCCTATAGAAATTCCCAGGGTTAGGGCTGGGTGCGTTGACACATGCCTGTAATCCCAGCACTTTGGGAGGCCAAGGCAGGTGGATAACTTGATGTCAGAAGTTCGAGGCCAGCCTGGCCAACATGGTGAAACCCTGTCTGTACTAAAAATACAAAAACTAGCCAGGTGAGGTGGTGCGTGCCTGTAATCCCTGCTACTCGGGAGGCTGAGGCAGGAAAATGACTTGAATCCAGGAGGCGGAGGTTGCAGTGAGCCGAGATTGCACCACTGCATTCCAGCCTGGGAGACAGAGTGAGACTCCATCTCAAAAAATAAAAAGAAGAAATTCCCGGGGTTAGTCTTGGTTTATTTTTGTTATTACTAACATTTGTACAGTATTTTACTATGGATAAAAGCCTTAGGTGGCCATTAGACTTTGGTAACTAGTTAGACCCTGATAACTCATTGTATTTTTCAGTTGAGTCAATTTGCATTATGTTCCTTAAGGTATTACCTTCCTGTTGCTCACTCCAAAGTGTATCTCCTGTATTAGCTACCACTATTATTGTACACTTACACTCACCTTCCCGTATTTTAACCCCATTTAAGCTTAGTGTTTCCCCACCTGCAAGAGCTTTGGGTCATTTGCTGATCTGGAGGTTTCAGTGTATACTTGCATACTTCCTTTACCAGATCCTTCCTCTCAATGTTGAAATAAGAGCCTAGCACTGATCTTGGAAAACCCTGTTGTTTCCATTTTTACTTCCAGGGAGGTACCCATCTCTTCCCATCCTTTCCTTAAATATGAAGCAACACTACTTCCAAGTCCTATGGAAACTTAATTTTAATAGGCTTATTTTTATTATTTAAAAAATTTAAACAAAGTGATTGCCTTTGTTGCAGATTACGTGGAGAACCACCCTTTTTGGCAAGCTCAGAAGAGAAGCTTTTTGAGTTAATAAGAAAAGGAGAACTACATTTTGAAAATGCAGTCTGGAATTCCATAAGTGACTGTGGTAAGTATAGATGCGTTATTATTTACTAAAGCTAATATAAGTAACATAAGAAAGTTGGCCTGTGGTTAAAATGTTTTAAATCTCTGTTTAGTCATTAAATTTACTTGTGGAAATGAACACTATTTACTTGTGGAAATAGCGATATCTTCACTGTGATTGTTCATCATCAAAACTTTCAAAAACGGAAAATACATAGTAAAAGTTAAAGAGGAAATTTGCTGATCATCTAGCTAATGTTTACTATAGACCATTAAACTAGGTAATCCAGGCAATAAAACTTCACTTTAGGCTTTAAACTATATTTATTAGGCATTTATACTGATGATTTTTATTGTACACTTGGCATCTTTCTTTCCTGTTATACTGACCTAATCCTAAAAAATTGTAAAATGTATGCTATTAATTGTAGTTAAATAAGATTTTTCAGGATTTTTTTCTTATTTTTAGCTAAAAGTGTTTTGAAACAACTTATGAAAGTAGATCCTGCTCACAGAATCACAGCTAAGGAACTACTAGATAACCAGTGGTTAACAGTAAGTTACAATATTACTTTTTTCTTTCTGACATGCTACCATTGCTCATTTCTTTTTATTTTGTCTTGGAGTTTTCTTCATAGTCTTAAAACAGTCAATTAGTTTGATTTTCTGTCAAATTAAAAAACATTGAGTCTTGACAAATTTCTGAAAATGGGCATTTTCAAACTGTTAGAACTGTTGTCACAGTTGTTTATATATATTTATAGAGGTTTAAATGATCTTTGCTCAGTGTCATGAAAGTATCATGTCCAATAGAACAGAGCTGAAAAATGTCCAGTATTATAGCTGTGGAAAATTGAAACAGTCTGTATAGTTCAGTGATGTAAAACACTGGAACCACTCACCTCTCTTTCAACTCTTGGGGTGTAGAAAATCTTTGGGGACTCAGAAAAGCCATGATCTCCAAACAGTGGCAGTCTCCTGGTTTGGAATTTTATTTATTTACATATTGTTTTCTGCCATTAGACTAATGCTTCAAGCACAGACCTTGTGTCTTACTGATCTTCGTATCCCTGCACCCGAACATTACCTGGCCACAGCAGGAACTTTGGAAAAGGCTACTGCTTATCCCTCAGTATTTATTCTTCTCCTTCTATAATAATAAGGATTCTGACTGTTAGTTGGAAACATTGCTGTCCAGTTAAAAGGCTCTTCCCCAGTGTTCTTTGCTAGTTATCGTGATGGTCAGTGAGATGCAAGTCGAAGTGGGTGCAATTTCTGGGAAGTGTCCTTAAATGGATCTGATATGGCATTTCTCATGTCCTTCCTCTTTCCTGGTAGATGCAGGTGTGAGTTTGAGTAGCCATATTAGATTATAAAGTGGAATCTGGAAATGGCAGAGCAACAAGATGCAAGGAACCATAATAGCTCACAGAGCTGCCATGTGAATCCTTCACTGCCTACCTCCAGAATTTTTTATATGAACGGGAAACAGACTTCTGTCATCTTTACGATATAGTGTGCAGCTGGACCTAATTTCAATTAATACAATACTCAAACAATTGCTGAATGAGTGAATGATTCAGTAAGTGGATAGGTCTTTAGGTATCTCAGAAATTTTTCTGAGAACTGAGATTAGAAATTATTAGAGATATATGGGAATATTACTAGAGAGTATTCATCTATTAAAAATTATAAATCTATTATTTGCTATACACTGTGTTAGGTATTGGGGATACATGATATAATTACATTTAAAATATAAATTAGCATATGATAATATTCTTTTTTTTTTTTTTTTTTTTGAGACGGAGTCTCGCTCTGTCACCAGGCTGGAGTGCAGTGACACAATC
Organism: Homo sapiens; assembly: GCF_000001405.40. Lineage (NCBI taxonomy): Eukaryota > Metazoa > Chordata > Mammalia > Primates > Hominidae > Homo > Homo sapiens. The sequence continues at coordinate 8,434,198 of NC_000011.10, read as the reverse complement.
TCGGCTCACTGCAACCTCTGCCTCCTGGGTTCAAGTCAACTGCAACCTCTGCCTCCTGGGTTCAAGTGATTCTCCTGCCTCAGCCTCCTGAGGGACTAAAGGCATGCACCACCATGCCCAGCAATTTTTTGTATTTTTAGTAGACACAGAATTTCACCATATTGGCCAGGATGGTCTCGATCTCTTGGCCTCATCATCTGCCCGGCTCGGCCTCCCAAAGTGCTGGGATTACAGGTGTGAGCCACCATGCCCGGCCGATAATATTCTTAAAAGATCACTCTGACTATTGGGGTGGGGGGGAGTGGCTTGGAAATAGGGAATTAGATAGATGTTGAAGTAGTACTGTTGAGAGATAATAGTGACTTGGATAGGGTGGTAGCAATAGCGATGAAGAGAAAAACCTGAGATATATTTTAGAGGTATAATTGATAGGAGTTGATGACGGATTCGATGAAGAATGAGGCTAAGAGAGGAAATAAGGGTGACATCTAGATTTTATTCTAACAACTGGTTGGATGTTGGTGCCATTTACTGAGATATGGAAGACTGTAGGAGAAATAGATTTATTTCTGGGACACGGATGGTGAATCAAAGGTTCTATATTAGATAGGATCAGTTTGCAATGCTTATGTGGCATCCAAGTGGTGATATCAAACAGATAATTGAATATATGAGTTTGAAACTGGAAAGATTTAAGATGAAGATATAAATTTGAGAATCATGAGTATACAAACACCACTTAAAGCCACTGGGCTGAAAAGATAAATAAGGAAGAAAATACAGATAGAGAGAAGAGGTCCCAGCAACATGTCTTTAGGCACTAAAACATTAAGAACCTCAGATAAATTTAGATACATAAATATATAGTGATATCACTCTCCTTTTAAATTATCTAATTTTCCTTTGGCAATTTCTAATCATTTCTTTGAATAACTTTTTTTTTCTTTAAGGGCTAAAAATAGTCTTCACCCAAGAATGAATTATGTTTGCCCTCTTCCATGAATGTGTTGCTCTCTCAAAGGATTCTGTGCAACAGTTATTTCTGGCCTAAAGTAATTGTGCAAATGAGTTAGCAGCTAGATCACTGCAGAACTATATTGAGTAGGTTTGTAGTACAGCAAAATAAACTGTAAAACAGATGGTGTGCCTTAGAAATTTATCTCTTTTCAGCATCACACAACATTCGGGTTGGGCCATTTAATTATTTGTTTTCTAATTAGCACATACTTTATTTCTGGCTTTGGTCATTTTTCTAGTAGTCTCCATTTTTGAGCCTCTGTAACATTTGTCTCTATGAAGTCTTTGCCAAATGGATAGAGAAGTGACAGATATTGTATACTATATTGGATTGTCCTAAGGAATTCAGTGGATGAAATTTAGAATACTGGCATTTTACAAACTTCTGAAAGGCAAAACTCTTCTTAACCACTTGAAGTCTTACTTTCTATGATTCATATCCCCTGTTTGAAGTAATCTAAAGAAAATATGTAGTTCTCTCAGCGCCCTGCTGCTTTACAACCAGAGCTTACCTTTTGTAATACCTAACACATAGTAACATTTTTCTATAAAGTTTCTATGGTTTAGCCTATGTACTGTGCATTTTGAAATGTGGTAAATATCTGAAAAGTATTCTAAGAAAAATAACTATTTCTCTTGTACATTTAAGGGAATGGAATTTCAAATAAACACATACATATTGTCATCCTGATTTAAAAAGTCAGTGGTTAGATGGAAGGAAAAATACCCAATAAATGACTTTCTTGCAAAGGAAGAGTTTGACTCTAATGGCCGGAGTATGCCGGTTCTTTTCTTTCATTCATTTCTTCCTTGTTTCCTTTTACTGTCAACTGTGGTTCAGGAGTTAATTGCTTCTTATTAGATAATTGCCTTGGTATTCCTTCAAGTCTCCTGGTGACAAATAACACCAAGAATTTACATTTTTAACAAGTTCCCCAGGTATTTCTTCTGCCCACTTATATTTAAAAGCCACTGCTATAAATTAAGGAAGTCAGTTTTTCTTTTATGTCTTGCCATAATGTAGTTTGAGCTTTAATGATATTCAAACATTAATTCCTTCAACACATTGTGTGTACACGCACGTGTGCCCCTACCAGGTACTAGGTGCTAGGTATAAAATATAGTTAAAGCCACGTAAGACGTGGTCTCTGACATAAGGAACTTACAATTTAGTAAGGAAAACAACCTATGTATAAGATTTAACGCAAGGAAGAAAATGATAAATGACTTAAGAAATTACAAAATGACCAGAGGTATGGAGGCAAGCAAGTATGAAGTCAGAAAGTTTAATTTGACTGGCAGATAAGAAGCTTGAAGGAAAGAAGTGAGAAATGAGACCAGAAAAGGAAAGAAAATTGTGAGACTAAGAAAAAAAAGAAAATCGTGAGTGGACTTGAACCAGGGTTACAATTTTAACTTCATTCCATAGGTAGTAAAGAAGAGTTGTATGCTCTTAAAGAAATTATTAATATTGTTAAAGTGCATCAGTCTTGCCAGGTGGCTTATTTTAAATAGGACATCAATCACTCAAATGTCTATATTGATTGTTGCAAGTATCATTTTATTTAATCCATCAGGTACTAGAGGGGTACAAAGATGAATAAAACGGTTCCTCTCCTTGAGTAATTAATTTACCACAAGTAAGTCTGTACTTTGCTTTATAGTCACAACCTTGCAAAAGCACTTTGTAATCAAGGTGTAGGGACTAATTTCAGAACGGTCTTTCCTAATGTATGAACAGGGCCTTTGTTCATTAATTTATGTATTGTTATTCGGGTTTTGATCATTGGCTTTTGACCTTTAGCTTTAACATATATACTCTATATAAGAGGATGGAAATTTTCTGATACCTAACTGTTGGCTGTTATTTTCTCCTTCTGTATATTTTCATCCTAAATATGTTAACTCTTACCTTTATTTTACTATATGTAGTTATTCATACATTCTGAATTATCTTATGTATATGAATATATTTTTGAGTCTCTAATGAAGCCTTCTATAAAAATTATGTTAAGGAGGCCGGGTGCGGTGGGTCACGCTTGTAATCCCAGCACTTTGGGAGGCCGAGGCAGGCGGATCACAAGGTCAGGAGTTTGCGATCAGCCTGGCCAATATGGTGAAACCCCATCTCTACTAAAAATACAAAAATTAGCCAGGCGTGGTGGCGGGTGCTGGTAGTCCCAGCTACTTGGGAGGCTGAGGCAGGAGAATTGCTTGAACCCAGGAGGTGGAGGTTGCAGTGAGCCAAGATCGCACCACTGCACTCCAACCTGGGTGACAGAGCAAGACTCCATCTCAAAAAAAAAAAAAAAAAATTATGTTAAGGAAAAGCTCATGAGCCAGGACACTTGGGGATTTACTCAGTATTCAATTATTGGTATATACTCAATAATTCAACAAATATTTATTGGATAGCTACTATGTGCTTTGGAGGACACAAGGATCAGTCTGGCATGGTCCCTGCCCACAGGTTGCCCACAGCCTAGTAGAGGGTTTAAAACAAAAACACGGGTAGAGAATGATAGATCAACAAGGATGTAAATGTACTACAACAACTACTACTAAATTTCCAAGAAGAGAGCTATTATTCTTTTAAGCAAGCTTATCCAACCCACAGCCCAGCACAAACTTGTAAACTTTCTTAAAACTTTATGAGATTTATTATTATTATTTTTCTTTTTTTTTGCTCTTCAGCTGTCATTAGTGTTAGTGTATTTTATGTGTGGCCTAAGACAATTCTTCTTCCAGTGTGGCCCAGGGAAGCGAAAAGATTGGAAACCCCTGCTTTAGGGGATTATAAAAATTACTTAAGGGTGGAGGTAATATGTGATCTGGCTTTTTAAAAAGTGGGTAAAAATAGAAATTCATGTAGGAGTCGGGGTAAGGAAGGTAAGAGAATTCTAGATAGAAATAACTTTTCAAAGGCATAAAGATAGAAAAAATATGAAGTATATTCAGAGAATAATTTGTAGTTCCTTTTTTTCTATAACCATAGAAGGCATACAGGAGAGTAGTGGGAAATTATGTTGAAAAGGAAGGTTAGAGCTATTTTGTTCTAGACCCTAAGAGTTTACATTTGATTCATTTGGCAATGACTTACTACTGAAAGGCACTCAAGTGCCATGATTGCTGCTGTGCTTGTGTGAGTTTTCTCTTTTGTCCCTCTCACCCTTGGAGCGTTATGTGAGTGGACTTGGATGAGGTCTGTGGGCTAGAGATAGTGACTAGATTCTGAGGGAAGAACTCGAATGTAGTATCTTGCCTGAGATAGTCTGAATCTCAGTTGAATCTAGGAAGAGCCCTAGGAATAAATTGGAGTTGAAGGTCTTGAGGGAGCAGGTGGTGGCTAAAGGGTGGAAGCAGGGTCTTAACGAGGAGGTGAACCAAGAGTCAGGAGTTAAATAGAAACAAGATGAGTATTGGAACAGGCTGGGAACAAGTAGCCAAGTGTTTGAGACTCTATCAGTTAGTGAGTTGGTGGATGCATTGTTTGCCAGGACAGACGGAACTTCAGTAAGAGTTATCTGGCAACAGTGTGTGATATGGTTGTCGTGGTGGCAAGCAGAAACCGGAGAACTGAAGTAGGACTGGGGTAAGATAACGAAGACTGAAACTAGGGCAGTGAGTGGGAACAGAGAAGAGGGGAGAAAGAAGACCTGAGAAAGAAAACATAATTTTGTAACTAAGTAGAAGTGTGAGGTAAGAGAGTAAGAGCAATCAAAACTGCTTCTTAGGTGACTAGGAAAATGGTGTGAGACAAAATTAAAGTCTAGAAGTGCTGGTTTTGTAGATTGGAACAAGAATGAAGTGTTTTTGGAACAATCTGTTCAAACTTTTATGCTTGAATGATAACAAAAAAGAATTTTGAAAAATGACGAGTCTTCTCAGATATTTTTAGGTTGAACTTTAAAAATTTTCACCATAAATGTAATTAATTGCAAGGGGTATAATTTATCATATAAACATTTGTAATTAAAAATAAAGCTAATATCAGTTTTTTACCCATATGGGACATCCATCTCATTCACTTTTAGATATTTATGAACAAGTTCTTCTTTAACAGAAACTAGGTTATTCATTCTTCTCTTTGAATTTGTGTCTCTATTTTTCTATTCTACTTCTTCCACAGAATTTTATCCTAATGTAATATTTTTGCTTGAATGGATTTTATTAATCACCTATAATTTGTCTCATTTTACAAAAAAAGTTCAAATTTATATTTAAATTTTTTTTTATTTCCTGGGACTCTAAGGCTCTATAATTTCTAAAAATTATTTAAGAATGACTTTTCATTATGATTATTATCAGTAGTATATAATTGATCAAGAGAACATGATTATAATTTTTTAGAATTACTAAACATAACAGTATCATATTGGAAATGCTTTAGTGGATGGATAGGGCTGCTTTCCCTCCCAATTAATTCATTCATACACGATTGAATATTTCTATTGTTAGAATGAGACAATATTCAGCAATGTTGTATTGTTTTTAGTTTTAATAGACACTGAGAACCTTATATAAATAAGTGGATAGGAACGGAAGGAGTTTTGACATAGTAGTGTCATGCAGTTCATCACAGCTGTTTGAGTTACGTTTCAAGACCACTCAGTGAAGGGCCTGCTGGAGGAGACTCTGGTTCCTGCCAAGATACTGTGTCTTCTCTGAAGATTAAACCTAAAGTAACTTTAGAGAGAAACCTCATGATACCAGGATTCAGAGAAGAGTGAGAAATCCCTGGGAAAATAAAGGGATAGCTTGAGCTGGTATGGATAGTGGGTGAGGCTGCAGCCAAGGCAGGGAATTAAAATAGAAACACAAAACAACCCGGTTTTTCCTTTTTCCTCTTGTCATTTGCTTTGGGACACCAGTGCTTACATATCCCTTCACAAGGGTCTGAAGTAATAAAGTCGGAGCAGCACTGAAGCCGTGCCTGAATGAGAAGCCAAGGAAAATGTGTGGGAATTAACTCGTTGTAGGCATTGACTTCTTACCTCTTGGCCTCCAAACTCTAGGACTCCTGGCTGATACTTTTGGTGTACTTTAGGAGTACCTCCTCCTCAGATTATTTCTCCTGGCGGGAGGAGGTGGGTAAGTGTGAAACCCTGAACTGAGGAGTTGCTTAGTGGGGCAGGTTTTTGGTGTCTAAGGTTCTTCCCCATACTCTTCCTTGATCTCCCAAGGCCAAGGGCCAGGACTGGCTCTAGATCCATGCCTTGTCTTCTGGGGTGCCAATGCTTCCTGGGAAACAGGAGCTTAGGGGCCAAGTTTCAAACACCATTAGAAGAGAGTTTAGAATACACAGTCCTAGAATTTAAAAATTAACAAAGTGAACATACTAAGAGAGATAAGGGAAGATGTTGATAATATGAAGCAAGAATAAGAAATAAAAACAGAACCAAGTAGGTATGAAAAATATAATAGTTGAAATATAGAATGCAGTGATATAGGATACATAGTAGATACAACTAAAGAATGAATTTTAAAACTAGATGATCAGATTGTAGAACTTTATACAGAAGGGAGCAGGAGAGGATAAATAAGTTGAAAATATAAAAGAAAAGATATATGGGGTTAAAAGTAAAAGTGCCAAAATCCATCTAATAGGAGTCTCAGATTACAAAAATAAAAAGGGGGAGGAGGAAATCGTTTAAGAAATAATGGGGATAAATTCATCAGAATTAAAGAAAGACCTTAGCTTTAAAGAGATGATAGACTACCCAATAAGAGAGAAGAAAAAAACTGACAAATAGACGTAATGAAATTTTAAAACATCAATAAGAAAAATTCTAAAAGCTCCCAGAGAGAATGAGCAGATCATATAAAAAAGAACAAGAATCACATTGACATCCTACTTTTCAGCAGCAACATTGGATGCAAGAATAACTGGAGTAATATGTTAACTGTATTAAGGGAAAAAGAACTTTAAAGTTAAAATGTTATATCTATTCAAATTGTTATTCATATTAAAGGGAATGATTAAGATATTTTCAAATATACAAGAGCTCAGAGGGTTTGCCACAGGAGTTAAAACACATGGTAGAAGTACTTACAGAGGAGGAAAAACAAATCCAGGAGATGCCACAAGAGCCATGTGCAGCAAGAGTCTTTAAATGTCTTGGTAGAGTTCGCTGATATCAAAAAATACAAAAACAAAACACAAAACCAAAGAAGAGAAAACATAATCATGATAACCCAGAATTAAAATTCATGATAATATCCACATGAGGAGCACTGGGAAGGGGGCAAGGGCATGGGAGCAGCACATGAAAGTGTGCTAAAGGAGAATATGGAGGCATCAGATTTTTAAAGTAGGAAGGAATGAAAAACATATAAAGAGTGGGAGAAACTGAAATAACAATGATATGGAAGGGGGCAGAGACTGAAAATTAATGATATCTAACTTAACATTCCAGAATTTTAACAGAGTAAACCCAAATAAAGTAGTAGGAAAGATAAAACTAAGAGTGAAAATCAACTAAATAGAACTCAAAGGTAAAATAGAAAAGATCGACAAGGTCAGTATTTGGTTCTTTGAAAAAAACACAAAATAAATACATCTTTGGAAAAATTAAGACAGAAATAGAGAAAACAGGCTGGGCATGGTGGCTCACGCCTATAATCCCAGCACTTTGGGAGGCCAAGGTAGGTAGAGGAGGGCATAGTCCCTGGCTAGGGCTCCACCCCCAGGCATGTGCCCACAGACCTAGGTGAGGACAGGCATTTCTGTTTTCCTGCCTAAATGTTGCATTTTCCAAGACCACCCCTGCCTGACATGCCCCCATCCTGGGCCTGTAAAAAACCCGAGACCCTAGCAGGCAGACGCACAAGCAGCTGGACATTGAGAGTCACTCCGCGGCATAGGGCCAGCAGGCCTGCAAGCCATCCACCGGCAGAACAATACGGAGTTTGGCTGGGGCAGTTGGAGGAGAGCCCAGGCTGCTGAGCTGCCTGACTCCAGGGGAAAACCACCTTCCCACTCCATCTCCCTTCTGGCTCCCCATCCATCTGCTGAGAACCTCCACTCAATAAAACCTTGGACTCATTCTCCAAGCCCGCGTGTGATCAGATTCTTCCAGTACACCAAGGCTAGAAACCCTGGGATACAGAAAGCCCTCTGTCCTTGTGATGAGGCAGGGGGTCTAATTGAGCTGACTAACACAAGCCACCTATGGATGGGTAAACTAAAAGAACACCCTGTAACACACACCCACTGGGGCTTCAGGAGCTGTAAACATTCACCTCCAGATGCTGCCCTGGTGTTGGAACCCCACATGTGCCCATCTGCATCCTCCCTCTAGAGGTTTGAGCCGCGGGACACAGAAGAAGCGAGCCACACCCCCCACTGCATGCCCTGCCAAGGGGATGAGGGAACTTTTCCCTTTTCAAAAACAGGCTTAGATAGGAGAAACAAGTCCAAATACAGAAATAATTACAAGTACATTGGTTTAAAATACCTGTTTAAAGGTATATTGTCTAATTGAATTTTTTAAAAATCTAGCTCTCTACTATTTATAAGAAGCATATTTGAAGCAGAAAGACATGGAAATATTGAAACACAAAAATGGAAAAGGACATATCAGGCAAACACTAACAAAGAAAACCTGTATAATGGAATTAATACCAATTAAATATACCTTAACACCTACCAATGACTTTCTTCACAGAATTGGAAAAAACTACTTTAAAGTTCATATGAAACCAAAAAACAGCCCACATTGCCAAGTCAGCCCTAAGCCAAAAGAATAAAGCTGGAGGCATCACGCTACCTGACTTCAAACTATACTACAAGGCTACAGTAACCAAAACAGCATGGTACTGGTAGCAAAACAGAGATGTAGACCACTGGAACAGAACAGAGCCCTCAGAAGTAATGCCACATATCTACAACTATCTGATCTTTGACAAACCTGACAAAAACAAGAAATGGGGAAACGATTCCCTATTTAATAAATGGTGCTGGGAAAACCTGCTAGCCATATGTAGAAAGCTGAAACTGGATCCCTTCCTTACACCTTATACAAAAATTAATTCAAGATGGATTAAAGACTTAAATGTTAGACCTAAAACCATAAAAACCCTAGAAGAAAACCTAGGCAATACCATTCAGGACATAGGCATGGGCAAGGACTTCATGTCTAAAACACCAAAAGCAATGGCAACAAAAGCCAAAATTGACAAATGGGATCTAATTAAACTGAAGAGCTTCTGGGCAGCAAAAGAAACTACCCTCAGAGTGAACAGGCAACCTACAGAATGGGAGAAAATTTTTGCAATCTACTCATCTGACAAAGGGCTAATATCCAGAATCTATAATGAACTCAAACAAATTTACAAGAAAAAAACAACCCCATCAAAAAGTGGGCAAAGGATATGAACGGACACTTCTCAAAAGAAGACATTTATGCAGCCAAAAGACACGTGAAAAAATGCTCATCATCACTGGCCATCAGAGAAATGTGAATCAAAACCACAATGAGATACCATCTCACACCAGTTAGAATGGCGATCATTAAAAAGTCAGGAAACAACAGGTGCTGGAGAGGATGTGGAGAAATAGGAACACTTTTACACTGTTGGTGGGACTGTAAACTAGTTCAACCATTGTGGAAGTCAGTGTGATGATTCCTCAGGGATCTAGAATTAGAATTACCATTTGACCCAGCAATCCCATTACTGGGTATATACCCAAAGGATTATAAATCATGCTGCTATAAAGACACATGCACACGTATGTTTATTGTGGCACTATTCACAATAGCAAAGACTTGGAACCAACCCAGATGTCCAACAATGATAGACTGGATTAAGAAAATGAGGTACATATACACCATGGAATACTATGCAGCCATAAAAAATGATGAGTTCATGTCCTTTGTAGGGACATGGATGAAGCTGGAAACCATCATTCTCAGCAAACTATCGCAAGGACAAAAAGCCAAACACCGCATGTTCTCACTCATAGGTGGGAACTGAACAATGAGAACACTAGGACACAGGAAGGGGAACATCACACACCGGGGCCTGTTGTGGGGTTGGGGGAGGGGGGAGGGATAGCATTAGGAGATATGCCTAATGTTAAATGATGAGTTAATGGGTGCAGCACACCAACATGGCACATGTATACATATGTAACAAACCTGCACAATGTGCACATGTACCCTAAAACTTAAAGTATAATAAAAATATATATATACCTTAACACAAACAAATCATCATTAAGGGATAGAGAAGGTCACTTTATAAGGATTAAAGATTCAACTCAAAAAGATTATATAGTAATTTTAATAATGTATGCAACTAATAAAATAACCTTAAATATATATCAAAAATTGACAACATTGCATGGAGAAATTGGCAAATCCATTATAGTAGGAGATTGTAATGCACTTCTCTCAACTACTGATATATGAAACAAAGAAACAAAAATATATGGATGATTTTAATAATATGACAAGCTTATTCTAGTAGACACATACACAGTTCTCTAATTAGAGAATGTACATGTTCTCAAGCACATGTGGAATATTTACCAAAATTGGTCTTGTCCTAGGCCGTGAAGCAAGGAAGCCTTAATAAAGTTAACACAGATCATGTTCTCTAATAATACGCAGTTAAAAGCCAGTAAACAACAAGATTAAATATCTGCATATACCTGGAAAATAAATCACATGCTTCTAAACAACTCATAAGTTAAAGAATAAACCCCAATAAGAAAAAATTTAAATTCCTAGAACTGAGTGATAATGAAAATACAACATACCAAAACTTGGAGGATACAGCAAACATGTACTTCAGTAGAAGTTTAATATTTATATTAGAGAAGGAGAAATACAGAAAATTAATGATATCTAAAAATTTCAGAATTTTAACAGAGTAAAACCAAATAAAGTAGTAGGAAAGATCAAACTAAGAGCGAAAATCAACTAAATAGAACACAAAGGTAGAATAGAAAAGATCAACAAGGTCAATATTTGGTTCTTTGAAAAAAAAACAAAATAAATAAATCTTTGGTGAAATTAAGAAAGAAACAGAAAACAGGCTGGGCATGGTGGCTCATGGCTATAATCCTAGCACTTTGGGAGGCCAAGGCGGGTGGATTGCTTGAGTCCAGGAGTTTGAGACAAGCCTGGACAACATAGTGAGACCCTGTCCCTACAAAAAATTTAAAAAATCAGCCGGGCATGGTGGCCCATGCCCGGCTGAGTTTTAGTAGTAGTCCCAGCTACTCGAAAGGCTGAGGTGGGAGGATTACCTGAGTCTAGGAGAGCGGAGGCTGCAGTGACTCGTGATTGCATTACTGCACTCCAGCCTGGGTGACAATGTGAGACCCTGTCTCAAGAAAAAAAAGAGAGAGAGAAAAAAAATCTTACATATGGAAAAGGGAATATAGCCGTAGATAAAGGAGAGATTACAAAGATAAGAGAATACTACTAGGTAATACTACTAGGTGTATGCAAATACGTCTGCAAACTCAGTCAAAATGAAAACAATTCTTTTCCTAGAAAAATATAGTTATACAAGACAGTCTTAATAAATAGAAAACTTGAACTGTCTTGTAATAATTAAATAAATTGAAGCAATAGTTCAAAATCTTCTACAAGCAAAACACCAGGCCCAAATAATTTTAGAGTTCTACCATACTTTCATCTTAAACTTATAACTCTTCTTCTACCCCTCAAAAGAGAAAAATTTTCCTAATTTATCCTAAGACTATACCTTCTAAACTGCAGGATACAAAACTATACCACGACATTGTGACAAAGGAAAACTATCCATTTCACTTACTAATATAGATATAAAACCTTAGACATACTATTAGCAAGTTGGATGTAGCTGTTTATATTAACAGATAATATATCTTGGCCAACTTGAGTATCCCCAACAATACAATGATGAATTAATTTCAGAATCTGTAAGTATAAATCCCCACATTAATATATTAAAGGAAAAAATCATATGATCATTTCAGAGAAATCATTTGTAATAAGACTCAACATGTATTCATGATTAAAAAGAAAAGAAAACTTCCTTAACCTGATAAAATGTTGCAGAAAATGTCATTCTGAATAGGAAATGCGAGAAGGATTTCCTTTAAAATAGAGAATAGTCAAGAAAGTCAGCTTTTTTTTCTTCCAACATTGCTGATCTTAGTCAACTGAAGACTAAAGTGAGACTTGAAAAACAGAAATAAGATTTATTATTTATAGTAATCTACAAATAAGTTATTAGAAATAGGAGAGCTGAGAAAGGTAGCTGGATTTAAGATTAATATACAAAAGTCAATTGCACTTCTACTCATTAGCAACTAACAATAGAAAATGTAATAAAAATGAAGACATCATGTAAAATAGTAGCAAAGAATATAAAACATCTAGTAATAAACATGACATAAGATTTATAAGACCTCCTTGGGGAAAGTTAGAACATTTTATTGAAAAACATTGAAGAATACATAAATATAAAGATATATCACAATCATGTGTCAGGAGACTTAATATCAAAAATTAATTTTTCCCGTATTGATATACATATTCAGTGCAAATACAATCAAAATTTCACAAACTTTCCTGGCTATAAAATTTATGTGGAAGACTAAAGGATCAAAAATAGCCAAGAAATTTCTGAATGTCTTGCTCTACCGGATATTAAGACTTATAAAGCTATGTTAATTAGGGCAGTATGATTATTGACAAACAGAATAAAACAGAGTACAGAAACATATCCAGGTGTATCTGGAACTTTTTCTGACAGTCGTCGTATGGAAGATGAGAGGGGAGAAAGGAGGGACTATTCAATAAATGGAGCTGGAATCAAGAGTTCTCCATATGGAAAAAGTAAAGTTAAATTTCTATTTCACACCACAGACAAAAATCAACTCCAAAGGAATCAGGGACTTATAGTAAAAACCAAAATGTTGAAACTCTAAGTGGAAATATAGGTGAATATATTCTGCATCTTGGGGTGTGTAGGAAAGGATTTCATAAGCAACATAACCAAAGGCACTAACATAAAAGAAATGATGGATTAGCTTGTCTATGTTAAGAACTCTTGTTAATAAAACAACACCAGAAGGAAAGCTGATAAGTTATAAACTGAGAAAAGGCTTTTGTACTGGAAATAAGCAAAAAAGGAATAATATTATGAAAGTTAAAACAACTAAAACAAAAAATATTCCCCCCCTCCCCTTTTTTTTTTTCAGACAGGGCCTTGCTCTGTTACCCAGGCTGGCATGCCCACTTCAGCCTCTAACTCCTGGGCTCAAGTGATCCTTCTGCCTCAGCCTCCTGGGTAGCTGAGACTACCGGCATGCACCACCATGTCCAGCTAATTAAAAAAATTATTTTTGTAAAGTAGGGGTATCCCTATGTTGCCCAGGCTGGTCTCGAACTCCTGAGCTCAAGTGATCCTCTGGCCTCATCCTCCCAAAGTGCTGGGATTACAAGCTTGAACCACCTCACCTGGTCAATATTCCTTTTTGAATACACATGGTTGTGATAAAAAATATATACAAAACAAAAGCAAGGGAATGTTAATCACAAGATTCTGGATAGCAGTCACCTCAGGTGATAGAAGGCAGGAAGACAAGAAGGAGGAAAACTAGGTGTATGGATGCAAGTTATTGTTTGTTTTCTAGTTTTCTTGTTTTGTAGTTGCGTGGTTTAGAATACACTGAGTAGAAGGCTCAGCTATACCTCTCACTAGAAATTCTTGGCAGGCAATTCGAAATGCACTTCTGGAATAAGGGTAAATTCATTAATTTCTCAAACCGTTTTCTCCTGAAGAATAGGAATATTAATAAAAAAGCCTTATCTACTCACATAGTTACTATACTTGTGGAAAAAAATCACTGAGGTGATTTTGTTAGGAAAAACATGAAAGTGGTACACAGTTGACTACTTTACTTATTATCTTGATATTCTGCTGCCTTGGACTCTGAAACACTTCAGGACATGTTTGGTGATTTTTTGGGTGCTTTCAGTCCTCTTTGGGTATCTAAAACTTACATCATGTCTTTTCTTACTATAATTTACATTGATTATTAGTCATGTAAAGGTAAAAGGTAATAGTCGAGGCTGGGCACGGTGGCTCACACCTGTAATCTCAGCACTTTGGGAGGCTGAGGCAGGAGGATCACTTGAATCTAGGAGTTCAACACCAGCTTAGGCAACATAGTGAGACTCCTCTACAACAACAAAAATAATAATAAAATAAATTAAGGTAATAATTGAGATTATCCATGGTTAAGTGAGTAAACAAAATGGGAAAAATAACTTGCTTTCTCCTCTCATTCTCTCATTCCCTCTCACTAAAGATAACCATCATTAAGTCTTTTATGTATGCTTTCAAAAAACATTCCATACATTTTTATGTAGATACTTTACACAAATGGGTTCATATTATGCAACTATTTTCACTTAATATATAGGGAAGATTTTCTTAAAAAAAACGGAAAAGCATTACATGCTCATGGATCGGAAGAATCAATATCATTAAAATGACCATACTGCCCAAAGCAGTTTACAGATTCACTGCTATGCCTATCAAATTACCAGTGACATTCTTTGCAGAACTAGAAAAATCTATTTTAAAATTCATATGGAACCAAAAGAGAGTCCAAATAGCCAAAGCAATCCGAAGCAAAAAGAACAAAGCTGGAGGCATCATGCTACCCAACTTCAAACTATACTACAGGGCTACAGTAACCAAAACAACATGGTATGGGTACAAGAACAGACACATAGACCAATGGAACAGAATAGAGAGCCCAGAAATAAGACCTCACATCTGTGACCATCTGAACTTCAACAAAGCTGACAAAACCAAGCAGTGGGGAAAGGACTTTCTATTCGATAAATGGTGCTGGGATAACTGGCTAGCCATATGCAGAAGATTAAAACTGGACCCCTTTCTTACACCATATACAAAAATGAGGTCAAGATGGACTAAATACTTAAATGTAAAATGCAAAACTGTAAAAACTCTGGAAGACAATCTAGGCAACACCATTCTGGACATAGGTACCGGCAAAGATTTCATGAGGAAGACGCCAAAAGCAATCACAACAAAAGCAAAAAATGACAAGTGGTATGTAATTAAACTAAAGAGCTTCTGTACAGTACAAGAAACTATCAACAAACAGCCCACAGAATGGGAGAAAATATTTGCAAACTATGCATCTAACAAAGGTCTAATACCCAGTGTCTAAAAGGAAATTAAATTCACGAGAAAAAAAAACAACCTCATTAAAAAGTGGGCAAAGGACATGAACAGATGACGCTTTTCAAGATGGGGCATATATGCAGCCAACAAGCATACGAAAAAAGCTCAAGATCACTGATTATTAGAGAAATTCAAATCAAGACCACAGTGAGATACCATCTCACACCAGTCAGAATGGCTATTACTAAAAAGTAAAAAAATAACAAATGCTGGTGAGGTTGTGGAGAAAAGGGAACACTTACACACTGTTGCGTGGAGTGTAAATTATTAATAGTTCAACCATTGTGGGAAGCAGTGTGGCGATTCCTCAGAGAGCTAAAAACAGAACTACCATTTATCTCAGCAATCCCATTACTGGGTATATACCCAGAGGAATATAAATCAGTCTGCCATAAACACATATGCACATGAATGTTAACTGCAGCACTATTCACAATAGCAAAGAGATGGAATCAGTCTAAATGCCTATAAATGACAGATTGGATAAAGAAAATGTACATATACACCATGGAATTCTATGCAGCCATAAAAAAGAATAAGATCATGTCTTTTGCGGGAACATGGCTGGAACTAGAGGCTGTTATCTTTAGCAAACTAACGTGGGAACAGAAAACCAAATAGCACATGTTCTCACTTAGAAGGGGAGCTAAATGATGAAAACTCATGGACACAAAGAGGGGAACAACAGACACTGGGACTACTTGAGGGTGGGAGGAGGGAGAGGACCAGAAAAAAATAACTATTGGATAGTAGGCTTAGTAACTAGGTGACAAAATAATCTGTCCAACGAACCCCTGTGACACGAGTTTACCTATATAAGAAACCTGCTCAGGTACCCCTGGACCTAAAAAAAGTTAAAAATTAAAAAAAAAATGAAAAGCCAGCATTATATCCCAAACTATAAACTATTTTGTAAATAGTCCCTGTGAATATTTAAATTGTTTCAGATCTTTTCTATTACATCAGTAGTACAACAGATGTTCTTGTAAATATGTGTTTGCATACTGTGCCAGTTTATATAAGATAAATTTTAACAGTGGACTTACTGGTCAGAGAGAATGTGCATTTTACATTTTGATCAAGTATTGCTAATTTACCTTCTCATAAAAAGCAAGTAAGTGAGAGTGCTTGTTCCTCCACACCCTCACCGACACAGGGAATATCAAACTTAAATTTTTGTCTATCTATTAGGTGAAAATTGACACCACATTGTTTTGACTTGAATTTTATTTTTTGAAGTTGGCCATTCTTTTATATGTTTTTAAATAAAGTGTTCCATTTTTCTACTGAAAAAATTTACTCCTAGGAACTTTACAAAATAAAGTCTTCTAGCTCTTTGCAAAAACAGAGAATGGTGACTGCATGCTAAAGATCCAGAATGTTTCCTTTAGCTTCGCCGATTTGGACTCATACCATCTCACCCCAGCTCATATGTATTATTCATTCATTTATTTTAAAGAGCTTATTAAGTGCTTACTGTTTACAAAGCACTGATAGGCACTATCTCTTAAAAGGCAGTATTTTTTAGATGAGGAAATGTGATTGGGTCTCCATTATGGGGCCTGTCTACTAAGGGATTAAATTCAAATCTTAGTATTTAAGCAGTTCTTCTCTTCCATGAGTTTCATTTTTCTAGTTGTTCGATATTAAATTAATAGTCTCAACTATCTGTTGGTTAAGCAAGTGGAAATTTATTTATCCAAAAGGCTGGTCTCTACCTGTGATAGCTTCAGATGATCAAACTATTGCTACTGCTTTCTTGTCATTTGTTATTTTGTAATTGATGAGTTCAGTATTTGATCACCTAGATGCAGCCAGTAAAAGGAGTTCAGAGGTTAGTGTTCTGATGGTGAGGTGACATGTACATCTACAGTGTCTGCCCTAACAGTTCTGCCCCAGTTTTGTTTGGTTGCTTCATTTGTAATTTCTGTTGAACTAGAAGGCTCATGATACATTGTTGTGGACCACTTATTATTGGTTAGTCCAAGTATCTGATACAATTTATCCTTCAGCTGCTAGCAAGCAAGAAGTAGGTGGTATAGTAAGTTATCCAGATGCACATTAGACAACAGGCAAAGCCTGGACTCTATACCACCTAGTCCAGGCTTGATATCACAAGTGAGTATAGGAGGCAAAGAGCTAAAAATTTCCACATAGGAAATAGGGATAATACTCTTATTCTGGATCCTTTGCTTTTCTCCACAGTCTCTATAGAATGAGAAGTAGGGTCATTTCTTCAAGTACTAAGGCACTCTCCTTTAGACATGTAGAATCTCAGCTACCAAGCTCTTGGGTGTATGTGTATGTGAACCAGGCATTTGAAAGATTGCTAGAGATGCAGATTCAAAATAATGTAGGCAATCCTTGCTTTGTACAGTAGTGTGGGACAGTAAAATAGCAGAGCAGTATGAAACTGTGAAAAAATGATCTCAATAATCAATGTGAAAAGTTATGATTGTTTCATGCCCTTTACCTTTTTGTCAAAATCTTAATAACTCTCTGTTGGTTATAAATATGTAGGGAAATGAGACAAAAGTAAAGCTGATGTTCATTTAGTACACTGTAATTTAGAATGTTAGAAATACTGAGAATTAAAGTGTCTTTTTAAATAAAATACTTAAGATTCATTTAAATAGTGCTTACCTTCTTCTTACCATATAACTTATAAGACAGAGGGAGCATCTTTTTTATGCCTTGGCAAATACTCTGTTGAACGGTGGTAGTGTCAGCATTCCCAGTCAGCAATTTCTTCTGTTACTCCATTCGTATTTTATTCAGTTTTCACTTTCGGCATTATCACTTTTATTTTCTTTGCTGCACTTTCATCTTTGTTGGCTAATTCCCTGGGAGAAAAGGAGGCAACACAAATACACACTTTGCTGTCTATGTGTGAACTGAATAGCAGATGCCTAATGTCTAATCACCAACAGCCTTTGAGAGAAGTGACAAAATTGGTCACTGATCATGATATGCGTTTGTGTGCCTTGTGGACTGAAGAGCTAGCAGTGCAGTTTGAACTTTATGCAGTTATAGTTCATATACCATGTTGACTGAAATTTAAACTGCTCTTGGGGGACTAATGCTGTTTAAGTAAATTATAACTGAAATTCAGGCATATCAGGACTGTGCAGCGCAAGAACTGCCTAAATAAATGAGCTGTCACATCATATTGGTTGCATATGAGTTCTGTAGTAATTATAATTTTGTTGGACCTGATGGTTTTACAATAAAGTCACTCTTTTTAAGGCTTCTTAGAGGTGATTTACAGAATGTAAATGTTTGCTTTGGTATCTATATCAAGGTAAGCTAGATTATGCTTGGGTGATGACAAATGACACCCAAATCTCAGTGCTCTTAGTACCTTCCATGACCAATTGGCTGGGAGGAGAGGAGGAGGTTCTGTTTCACTTTGTCCTTACTCAGGAACCCAGGCTGAGGGAGACTCCATCTCTATGCTTCTGTAATTACCAGTTCAGGAATTGGAAACATGATGAATTGCATACTATCTCTTAAAGTTTTCACCCAGAAGTGATACATACCATTTCCAATCATGAATCACTGGCCAAAGTAAGGCACATGGTCATGTCCCAAAGTGGATAGAGAAGTGAAACTCTACCATGAGCCTAGAAGGAAGAAATGCTGGGCGAGTAGCATTAGTGACCACCACAGTTTCCAAAGACTTAACCTGGAGAGGGCTTGTCAGGGAGGAGCCACTGAGAACTGGTATTGCAGACTTAGATGTGTCAGATTGTCACTTTCTGCTAGTGAAAGAATCAAGTTGAGGCAAAGTTGTATGTACTTGCATTCCAGGACCCTGGTCACTGATTTTATGAAAATTAAGTTAGAGGTCAGGATGAAGCCAAGAAGTTGTAAGAGAGGAGAGATGGATCATAGGGACCAAGCAGAGCCCTGGAGAGCAGAACCCGTTCAGATGAGTGCTCTGAGACTATCTACCATTCTACCTGATTTCAGCTCTTTAATGGTTACTGTCACTGAGCCACTGTCTGTTTTCACTTGAGTTGACTACATAGTTGGGAATTCTGGGATATCTGACAGAAATGGATCTTAAATTGAACCTTCAAGGAAATGTAGGCTCTTGCTATGGACTGGCAGGAAGAAATGGCAATGGCATTCTAGGAGTAAGTAGGTAAGGGACAAACAAGTGCAAAACCAGTGTAAGGTGTAATGGGATGTTATGAACGTGGTAGGAGTACTGAGCTTCTTAAAACAAGGGGACAGAGAAGAATCACAGAGAATTAATTGCGTAGTGATCCTCATTTAGTTATTAGCATTCCATATTTAGTGTTTGTCTATGTCTTTAGCCACAAATACATTAAACTCAACAAGTCCTCAACAGTGTATTCAGATGGGTACCCCTAAAGTACCCTGTCTTATAGTTTTCTGTGTCACTGATGCTAAACATTTCAATACATCCATATACCAGGGTAATTTAGAATCGCTTCATAGCCATGCCCACACCTGAACTTCTCATTTTAATCTAAATATGATCCATTTTTTTGTCTAAATTTTTTCTAACAGTATGAGGTAAGAACAAAAATATTTAAGACACACCTAATCAAGCAGGAGCTATTTGAGCTTGCATTCATATATTTCTTGGCACATTACATGGGGTATTATATTTGGGAAAATACAGTTAATATAAAATGGTCAATTTTGGCATGGTATAGTCATATGCTGGGATAAGAACACTGTACCAAGTCAGTTATAATCAAATGACCACATTATATTTAAATCTTCCAGACAGGTAAGGGATTTCCAATTAAATATCTATATTCTTAGACACAGTGCTTGACTAATTGACTGAATTTAGATTTTTTTTTGCCTAGATATTTGGATGTTGTATAGACTCATCCTTAGCACTGGACGCACTGGCGTTTGGGCAACTTCTTTAGTTCTTTCAGCCTCCCTCTCAATTTTCTAAGAACAGCGCTATAGGGGTATTTGGGTTCCAGGAAATTGCCCTGTGTAGTGTTCTTTGCACAAGCATGCTGCATTGTTCTTTCAAGCCTGAATATTTCCCCTGTTAACTTGGACATATTACACGTGATATCATGCAAGGGATGTGAGCCATGTGAGTACAGGGGTTGTACTCCAGTGGTCATCAGAAGTTTTCATATTTATTCAGCATTATAATCTTTTCCATGTGACTATTACTGAATTTGGGAGACTGTCTCGCTAAATGATGTAGGTATCGTCTCAATTCTCTAAGTTGTTTATAACACCAAAAATTGATTGTTAATATTAGGGCAATAAACTTTCTTCGGTGAGACCAACCAATGTATTAGAGATGATGAAGGAATGGAAAAATAACCCAGAAAGTGTTGAGGAAAACACAACAGAAGAGAAGAATAAGCCGTCCACTGAAGAAAAGTTGAAAAGTTACCAACCCTGGGGAAATGTCCCTGATGCCAATTACACTTCAGATGAAGAGGAGGAAAAACAGGTAGGAAGAATCATTGCTGCATTTCTCCCAAGTGTAAAATACCCTCACCACACCTGGAACATTTTTTTTGCAAATCTGTCTTTTTGTTGTTAGTTTGTAACAAAGGCCGAGCGTTATATAGCAAGTAAAGTTCTTTCTGCCTTATAAGGCTAGCATGATTTAGCGAGGTGGCCTACATGTTTATTTTAAGGTTGGTGATTATGTAGGGCAGGTGTCTGCAAACTTTTTCTGTAAGGGAACAAACAGTAAATATTTTAGGCTTTGTGGGCCCTAGTAGTCTTTGTCACAACTACTCATCTCTGACGTTGTAGCGTGAAAACAGCCATAGACAACAAATGAATGAGTGTGGCCATGTTCCAACTCAACTATTTTTTCCCCCAAAACAGATGGCATGCCAAATTTGGCCCAAGAATCAAAATTAATAATTTTTGTACTCTACCAGACTATAGAATTTGGAATGGATCTATGTATTACTTAGAAAATGATAATTATTCAGTTATTTGTGTCTGAATTTATGGTAACAAAAACTTTTTATATAGGTTTATTATTTTACCTTATTAGTTCTGAATGCAGTTTTATTCTTTTTAATGAATAGAATTGAATAACATTTTGATTAGTTCTAGATTGTGATCCGTTAACTGGATATCCTGACAAAGTTTACCCAAAGGTCCTCTTCCCTGCTTCCTTGTTTGTTTCTGAATTTGCAGAAAATTTCTCTGTATGTGTTTGTTCTCCTTCCTGTCTTGAAATCTAATTAACATATCTGAACTATTATTTAATAATTGAGCATCCTGCCAGCAGGGACTGTGTTCACCTCAGGGTAGCCAGACTTCTCGTGAGGAGTCACTGGTTTCTGATTCTAGAAATCAGAATTAGGCAGAGTGCAGAGAGGGACTGCCAGGGTAAATCCTGGACCAGATTCAGGGAGGTGCAGCATTGCTGGCCTACACCCCTCCATGCCAAGAATCCTCTCAGTAACTTACAGAAAGGGACATGGTAACATGATCTATTCATTGATTTTGATTTAGTGGTTGAGAACTTCTTCATTACTTTATAGCAAATGTTTAGATAATAAGCATAACATAATGATTTAGATATTTTGAGATTATAATATTTTTACCATAATGTAGACATAAGCTCATTGAATTCTTTTTCCTCTCTAGTGTGTTAACTCCTACGATGCTTAGCTCTTGAGTGTATTTTATATTCTCCTTAAAAATAATATCATAAAATTCCATGTTTGCATTTCTTATTGAACATAGTTTGAAGATTTTTGTTGGCTGACTTGGCATTTTGTACAGATATACATACTTATGCACACACATACACATATACATGTATACACATATACTCACATATTCTTACACATACATACATCTACATATACTCACATATGTACAATTATACACACGTTTTGTGGCCTTGAGTTGTATTTGTCACTGCATCTAACATAAAATATGCTTGCGAACCAAATGTCTTCCATCCCCTTTTCCATTGCCGTGTCACACTTTTCCCCTCCCACTCCTCCAGCCGCCCCTGCAAGTCACAAATTAATGAAACTTATGATGTGATTCTCAGCTACATCAACTAGGGAACAGAAGAATTGGAATTTGAATTGTTTGTGGATGCTAGAACTATACCAGTGGGTTGACATTTCAAGAATATAGAAATGGTAAGAATGTTGGTTGATATTTTAGGAATGTAGGTTTCATCGACAGGAAAAATTTTTCCATAGTCAGAGTTCACCAGCAATGGAAAAAGGCTGGGCCGTGGGTAACAAACCTTCCACCTCCCCATCATTGGAAGTATTCAAGCAGACTCTGGAAGGCTACTTGTTATAAATGCCATAACAGTAATTCTTGCAAGGTGGGTAGGAGCTTGTCTTCCCTTGATGTCCTCTAAGGAACTTTCCCATGCTTAGGTTTGGGAATTTCTCAAAAGCCAGGGTAATCACACCTTTTGAAACAATGGCAGAGCTCTTGGAAAACTAGCAGACAGGGTAAGTGAGGATGTGTTAAAAACAAAAACAAAAGCAAAAGCACTTGAACTCAGCACCTTCCTCCTTCCCTAAATAATGGTCCCTTAGTTCCAAATGCCTCGGACATTATGGGAAAATGCAGTCTGCATCTCCTCATTGTTCATATTTGGACTAAGATATCACACACTTGTTTCAGATTTGTTTTCAAATAGTTGGCACTTGGCAATGTCCTTTTGTTTATTTCCACCATTGGTTATGGTATTCTGAGGACAGTAATGTTCTCTCATGTATATCTTGTTTCTCACATGCCGAGGACATCTAGATAATGTTTTGTGCTATTGGTAATCCTCTGAATTCTCTAAGACAAAGTCTTTATCAGCTTTACTGGATAGACTTGACTTTCACTCCTGCAATAGCATTTGCTCATCTTCTGATGAGACACTTGGCAGACCACTGCTTATTGCAGTAGTGTGCCTTTTAACATTAGGTCCTTAATGATGCCTGATAAATGGTATATGCTTTCATTATTCATAAGCTCAGAAAACAATTGGAGAGAAATGAATGTCCATAATTAAAGTATACCTCCCCATAACCATAGAGGAAGGGACTGGAATCTCTAGATGCAATACAAGTATATTTCCATTATGGAATTCTTGCTTTGTAATGGAGAAACTTCCTAGTTATAAAATTGTTTATTTAACACAGTCTTGAATGAATTTGTTTAATGAAAATAGAAGATTTTCAGGCCAGGCGTGGTGGTTCACGCCTGTAATCCCAGCACTTTGGGAGGCCCAGATGGGTGGATCACCTGAGGTCAGGAGTTCAACACCAGCCTGGACAACATGGCGAAACCCTGTCTCTACTAAAAATACAAAAAGTAGCTGGGCACAGTGGCAATCACCTATAATCCCAACTACTTGGGAGGCTGAGGCAGGAGAATCGCTTGAACCCAAGAGGCGGAGGTTGCAGTTAGCCAAGATCACGCCACTGCACTCCAGCCTGGGCAATGGAATGAGACTTTGTCTCAGAAAAAAAAAAAAAAAAAAGAAAAGAAAAGAAAATAGATTTTTGCCATTATTTTCTTTTGTGATAATTTTTCCTTGACTGAAAACCTAGTTGTTATAGTATTGTAGGAGATAGTACATGTAGCAGTTGCTTTATCTAGGCTAGAAAGTAGAAAGGCATGGTGGTTTAAAAACTTTGAAAAATTATTTTGATAAATGGTATGTGTTCGTAAAACATTTTTTCAAAGACAAGAAATGTTGACATTTAAATAACATTGAAATTTAATACTTTGATATGTTGATAATGTTTCTGTGAGGAAAAACTTAAATTTTCGTGATATTTTAGTGAGTGGGATAAAAATTTTCTTTTCCTGAAAATTACATTTTAGCTTTCTGAGTCCATGAGAACTATCATATGAAAATGTGACAGTACTTGCATAATTGTGGCACACTTTCTTATCCCAGTATTGAAGCATTGCAATATGGCATATGTACCCAAGCACAGCCCTTAAAATATCATAATAGTTAAAAGTATAACTTCGGATCTAGGCTGCCTGGATTCAGATTCTGGCTTCACCACTTACAAGCTTTATGATGTTCGGCAAGTCTCTAGGCCTCCATTTTCTCATCTGTAAAATAGGAATAATAATCTCACCAACTAAGTGCTAGGTGAAATCATGCACGTAACACTCTTGTCACGTGGTAAGTACTTATTAATGTTAGCCATTAATGCTTTCATTATTATATTACTAAAAATGTATATAGAATATTACTAAAATTGCATATATTTTCCTGGCTGTATCAAGGCTCCTTTGGGTATAAGTGTGGGAATAAACTAGTAAACAGACCAAGAAATTTCATTTTCAGAAGTGATAATGTGCTGCTTCTAACCTTGTTTGCCCTCTGAGTTTGGTGAGTTACTTAAGGTACTGTGGAAGATTGGATTCTTGTTTCCAATTAATTATTCCTTTCCTGTAAATAATTTGTACATGCATATCCTTTGCCATGTGACTTTGCAGTTCTCCCTGGTAGAACTGTTGAAGGCT
The DNA here is from genome assembly GCF_000001405.40 of Homo sapiens. Classification (NCBI taxonomy): domain Eukaryota; kingdom Metazoa; phylum Chordata; class Mammalia; order Primates; family Hominidae; genus Homo; species Homo sapiens. Next base: position 8,409,466 of record NC_000011.10, on the reverse strand, counting down.
ATTTTCTCATCCTACTAATGTTGGTCTTGGCCGTTATTCTGGCTGATGGAACGTTAAAAGGGTGTAATGAAAGCAGAGACCTTAAAAGTGTTTGCATGATTTAGCTTGCTCTCTTCTATTTCTGTCACCTGCCGTGAGAAGAGCATGCCTGCAGAAAGCCACAGGTTCCAGAATTGTGGAGATTTGTGGAACAGATCTGAATTCAGTCTAATACTTGAAGTTTAGCCTGGCACAACCAAACTGAAATTAATTGAGAAAAATAAATACTTGCTGTTACAAGATACTGAGATTTTTGCAGTTGTTTGTTGTATAGTTGTGCAGAAAAGAGTTAAATAGGTGGCCTCAACTGCTATCCTTCAAAAGACCTATTTATTTGCAAGGTTGACCCTTGGCTCATTTCTGGGAACTTAGCTAATTTTGTCTAAACTGTTTGTGCAAACAATATGGTTTATGCTGAATACCTACTTTCCTTCTGGGAGTCTGGGATTTTGGTAGATGCTAGGCAGAGGCTGCCTACGTGACCATGGATGCTGAGTCTCCAATGGGCTTCCATGGTTGGCAACATTTCACATATGCTGTCACAACTAATTGCAGGGGGAATTAAGCACATCCTCTGCAACTCCCCTGGGAGAGGACACTTGGAAGCTTGCTCGTGGTTTCTCTTGGATTTAGCCTGAAGTGTCTTTTCCTTTTGCTGGTTGTGCTTTGCATCCTTGCACTGTAATAAGTCATAGCCATGAGTACGAATATAAATGTCAAGTCCTGTGAGTCCTCCCAGTGACTCATTGAACCTGGGGGTGATTGTGGGGACCTCTCAAACATAGTTGAATAACTACTGCAATAGCAGACTAATACAGGTACAAATAACTAATTGTGCTAACATGAATCTTGACCTGTTATTTGATCTAATGCTGCTTGCAATGCGAGTTGCTGGCCTGGATTCATAGGCTCCCATAAACAAGGCTTTTGTTCTAAGGGGATATTTTGTCCCTACTTCTACTCCCACACAAGAGCTTTTTGTATAAGGCTTAGGTTTTACCACAGGCTTAACCAGATTCCCATTTTTGCAAAGATGTATTAGTGAATCCTTTAAATCACTTCCCTCTCTTCCCAAGCCTGACTTTTGCTCAGCTCCCCTTAGGGCCTATAGCTGTCTGGCCATGCTATGCATATCCTTTCTCTATAGAGAACCAACCCATTGTGTTGGGTTATAACAAGTATTGCTTCAATTTCAAATGTATTAATTTGGGTCCATTTATCTCTTACCCTACCTTTATGCTATAAGTGTTACATGTATTATATCTACATAATTATAAACCCCACAAAATAATGATATAATTTGTGCTTTAAATTGTCATGTATGTTTTCAAGAAATTAAGAGGAAAAATTTCTTATATTTATCCAGATAGTTATCATTTCTGATACTCTTCTTTCCTTTTTTCTTAACTTTTGATCATTTTTTCTGATGAACTATCTGTGGAAATTTGAAATGTTCTTCACTTATATGTATTGTGTCACTTTTCTCTGGATGCTTTCAAGGTCATCTCTTTATCTTTGATTTTCAGCAGTTTAACAATGCTATTGCTAAGCGTGTTCTTCTTCACTTTTATCCTGCTTGGGGTTTGCTGAGCTCTGTGAATCTGTAAATTTGTACCTTTAGCCACGTTTTGGAAGTTTTGTCATTACCTTTTCCTTTTTTTTCTGAGACTCCAATTACTCATATATTAGACAGTGTGATATCGTTCTATAGGTTCCTGAGGCACTATCCATTTTTTAATCTTTTTTTTTCTATTCTTTACATTGGATACTTTCTATTGATCTATCTTCAGGCTTACTGGCTCTTAATGACTTAATGCCAGTACATTGAGAAATTTATATGAAATGGTCAAATTTCTTTTAAAAGTACAAAAACAGTTACACAAAAATAGAAAATCTGAATCGTTCTGTATTTATTTTTAAAATCATGTCTGTAGTAAAGAACTTTACTAAAAAGAAAACTTTATTCCCAAATGATTTCACTGTCTAATTCTTCTAAATCTTTGAAGAAGAAATAAGAGAAAACTTATACACCAACTCTTGAGAATATTTCCCAACTCATTTATAAGGCATGTTTGCCTTATAAATAACAACAATACCTAAACATGACAAGGATGTTACAAGAAAATTATTAGCCAATATCTCTCATAAATTATAGACGTAAAAATTTCAAATGATATTAGCAAACTGAATCCAGAAATATATAAAAGAATAGCATATCATAATTAAGTGTTTGCAGTGTATTCCAGGAATGCAGGTTTGGATTAACATCCAAAAATCAAACAACATAATTCACTATGTATAGATAAAGGAGAAAGCTATATAATTATCTCAATGATTTTGGGAAAAGCATTTGATAAAATTCAACACTCAAACATGAGAAAATCCTCTGCAGACTAGGAATAAAAGGGAACTTCTTTTACATAATAAGAGATTTTACAAAAAAAAAAAATCCAAAACTACAATTAGTATCATTCTTAATGGCAAAATATTGAGTATTTTCATGCTAAAGATAGGAGAAAGGCAAGGAACGATGTTCTCTCTCACTAATTCTCTTTATCATTGTACAAAAGGTTCTAGCTGATGCAACAAGGCAATTAAAAGAAATAAAATTATATATATTGTAAAGGAAGAATAAAACTGTCTTTACTTGCAGATGACATGTTTGTATACATAGAAAATCCCAAGGAATCTACAAAAAGTGAATTAAAGAGGTTGCTGGATGCAAGATCTATATATAAAAATTGTATTGTTATATATTCGCAGTGAACAATTGGGAAATAAAATTTTAAAATACTAATTGCCACAAAACATAAAACACTTAGTGAAAAATCTAACAAAATATATGCAAAATATTTATACCAAAACCATGAAATGCTGTTGAGCAAAATTGAAAAAGACTGAAATAGTTGGAGAGATATACCATGTTTATGGTTTAGAATATTTGGTACTATTAAGATGTCAGTTCTCCCCAAATTAACTTACATGTTTAAACCAATCCCAGTTGAAATCTAGAACACTTGCTTTTTTGTTATAAATTGACAAGATGATTCTAAAATTTATTTGGAGATACATAAAACCTGGAACAGACAAAATAACCTAAAAAGAACAAAGTTGCAAGACTTATATGACTTGATGTCAACATTTACTACATAGATACAGTAATTAATACAATGTGGTATTGATGTAAGGATAAACAAATAGATTAGTAGAACAAAATTGGGAGTCTAGAAATAGACCCATGTTTATACAGTCAGTTGATTTTTTTTTTTTTTTTTTTTTTTTTTTGAGACGGAGTCTCGCTCTGTCACCCAGCCTGGAGTGCGGTGGCGCGATCTCGGCTCACTGCAAGCTCCGCCTCCCAGGTTCCCGCCATTCTCCTGCCTCAGCCTGCGGAGTAGCTGGGACTACAGGCACCCGCCACCATGCCCGGCTAATTTTTTTGTATTTTTAGTAGAGATGGGGTTTCACCATGTTAGCCAGGATGGTCTCGATCTCCTGACCTCGTGATCCGCCCACCTCGGCCTCCCAAAGTGCTGGGATTACAGGCGTGAGCCACCGCGCCCGGCCCAGTCAGTTGATTTTTGACAGAGATTTCAAAGCAATTCGAAGGGGTAAATGATAGTCTTTTTAATAAATAATGCTAGAACAATAGTAGATATATATGAGGGAAGATGAAATTTGACCCCCTAGCTAAAACTGTACACAAAAATTAGTTTGAGAAGGGTAGAACTAAATCTAAAAGCGAAACTGTAAAGCTCCTAGGATAAAACATAAGAGACTATCTTCCATCCAGCAGATAGTCAAAGATTCTTAGAACATAGACACAGAAAGCACTTTTAAAAACTGGTAAAATGATTCCTAAAAATAAAACACATTTGCTCATCAAAAGCATGTTAAAAAATAAGCCACAGACAGGGAGAAAATATTTGCAATAAATATATATGACAGAAGACTTGCATGCAGAATATATAAACAACTCCTACATTGCAATAAGGCAATCCATGTTTTAAAATAGTCAGTAGACTTGAACAGACACTTCACATAGGAAGATATACAAGTAGTCAATAAGCATATGAAAAGATGCTAAACATCATTAGTCATCAGGAAAATGGAAATTAAGTCCACCACAGGATATCACTACATACTTTCTAGAACGGCCAAAATTAAAAACTAACAAGTCCAGATATTGGCAAGGATATGAAACAACTGGAATTTTCCCACCTTGCTGGTGGGAATGCAAAATGGTACTATTCTTTCAGAATATAGTTTGGCATTTACTTTTTTTTATGTGTGTGATGGAGTCTTGCTCTGTCACCCAGGCTGGATTGCAATGGCGCAATCTCAGCTCACTGCAACCTCCGCTTCCTGGGTTCAAGCAATTCCTGCCTCAGCCTCCTGGGTAGCTGGGACTACAGGTGTGCCACCACACCCAGCTAATTTTTTGTATTTTTAATAGAGATGGGGTTTTACTGTGTTAGTCAGGATGGTCTCTATCTCCTGACCTCGCGATCCGCCTACCTTGGCCTCCCAAAGTGCTGGGATTACAGGCGTGAGCCACCGCGCCTGGCTGGCATTTACTTTTAAGGTTAAGCATTCATTTACCATTTATCCAGCAATCCCAAGTTCACAAAAAGATTTGTAGTATATGTTTGTAGCGGATTTATGTATAAGCAGCCCCAAACTGGAAACATCCCAAATATTCATTAACAGAAGAATGAGTAAACAAATTGTGGTACATCCATACAATGGAGCATTACTTGGCAAGAAAAAAGAAATGAGTTACTATTACATAGATGAATCTCAAAAACCTATGTCTCAATAGCATGAGAATCTACGAATATCTGAATAAAAATTCAATTAAAAATGTTAAGCAGAATAACTCAGATATAAAAGAGTACATAATGCATTCTTTTTCATGTATATGAAGTTTAGAAAAGGCAAAGCTAATTTATGTTGAAAAAATCAGAATAGTTGTGGCCCCCAGGAGAAGAGGGTTGACTGGGTTGTGGCAAGAGAGAACTTTCTTGGTAATTGTTCTATTTCCTGATTGTGGTGTTGGTTATACAGGCCTAAGTGTTTGTCAAAACTCATCAAACTGTACACTTCAGATATGTGTATTCTGTATATAGATTATACCTCAGTTACAAAGAAAAGAAAGATATTTATATTTTTCTCTAATTTGCAAGTTAGATTTCATTTCTGTTGACTCCACACAAGACCCAGATCTTTATGCAAGTAACCTTAGAAGTCTATATATTTGGAAGTCAATTTTTCTTCTTCCCTTAGCTTTTCTTTCCCTTCCTTCTTCTGAAAACCATAGGGATGTGAGGAAGGTGGGTAGCCATTACACACAAAACTATAGCATTAAACTTATATCAGAATTTTGTCATTTGGACCTTGTGCAGGCCTATAATTTGAATGTGTGACTCTAGAAATTGTTGCTATGGTGATAAACCACTTTACTTAAATAGCATGTATTTTACTCAAAATTCAGAGAAATGCTAACAGTTTCTAGTAATCATGCACTGGTATTAACTGGCAGGGATATGCCTAGAGCTTACAGGTTTTGCATCCATTATCACCAGACAAGTTCATCAGGTTAAAGCTATGCCAGTGAATAAGGAAATATGTATAGTTAGTCCAGTTTTCCTGTTACATATCTCCCCTTGCACACATGGAGCCCCCTTTTCAAGATTAATAATATAAGCTAGAGAAATTAGGCCAAGGGTACTGAATTACAAAAAGGTGAAACTGGAGGAAGGCTTGTAAGGTCATCTTTTCCATCATTCTGCCTCCAATAGAACTGACTATTCTTCAACTGTCCCAAATGGTAAGAATTTGCCAGAGATGAAGAACAATTGAAATGCTGCTTGAGGCAGCCCTTGATGTAACCGTCCTGAATGCAGCACTCAGAGATGCTGTCCACCTCCACAGTGCTGAAATATGCCTCCTTCTTCATTTTATAGATTTTGATTATATATAGCCTCTTATTCTTTACCTTTTAGATTGAAGAGCTCTCTTAAAAAGAAACCTTCATCCCTTAATCATATTAGTAGCCTGTCTGTAAACATTCTCTGGTCCCTTTATATCTGTTCAAGCTGGTTGCAGTGTTTCAGGTACGAATTCATCATGATTTTATATAAGGATAGAAATTTTTTTCTTTGATTTCTAAAATGCTTTCTGATGATAGCTAGGTTTTTCTGACCAGTGTGCAATGGTACATAGACTAGTATCTTCAAAGAACAGCCTACAGTGATTTTGAGGTCTTCTCTTGGGTTGGTAAATATATGCCCAACAGTCTCATAATGATCATTTACAATCTTTCCCCTTAGAACTAAGTGTTGAAATTCCTCTGTTATCTTTCTCCCCCTTTGTACAGTCTTACGGGAGCTCATCACCTTCTATTTGCTTTTCCTGACCTGGAAGATCTTATAGCCTTGGCAATTTCATTTTTCATTTCTCTGTTCTATTACTTACAAAACTATAAAATTGCATCAGTGACAGCATAGATCCCTGAGGAATCCCTCCAGCTATGAGAGAAGAAAAGGAGAAACGCAAAACTTAGATAATCTATAACCTAACAAAATAAAGCCCTGAAAAATTAAGATTTGTTCATGTTTCTAGATAAAGCTTGGAAGCTGGAATTTGCCTTGCCCACTCCAGGAACTAAGAGGCTTGGCTCTTTGTGAAGAAAACTATGGCCTGGCCTGGAGGGCACCATGGTGGCCATTCAGCATCCGTGTCCTGTTAGCATCAGAGGAATGGTTTCAATGAAAGATATTTGAGGGGAGTCTCAGATTCTTTTTTTTATTATTATAATTTAAGTTTTAGGGTACATGTGCACAACATGCAGGTTTGTTACATATGTATACATGTGCCATGTTGGTGTGCTGCACCCATTAACTCATCATTTAACATTAGGTGTATCTCCTAATGCTATCCCTCCTCGCTGCCCCCACCCCACAACAGGCCCCGGTGTGTGATGTTCCCCTTCCTGTGTCCATCTGTTCTCATTGTTCAATTCCCACCTATGAGTGAGAACACGTGGTGTTTGGTTTTTTGTCCTTGTGATAGTTTGCTGAGAATGATGGTTTCCAGCTTCATCCATGTCCCTACAAAGGACATGAACTCATCATTTTTATGGCTGCATAGTATTCCATGGTGTATATGTGCCTCATTTTCTTAATCCAGTCTATCATTGTTGGACATTTGGGTTGGTTCCAAGTCTTTGCTATTGTGAATAGTGCCGCAATAAACATACGTGTGCATGTGTCTTTATAGCAGCATGATTTATAATCCTTTGGGTATATACCAAGTAATGGGATTGCTGGGTCAAATGGTAATTCTAATTCTAGATCCCTGAGGAATCGCCACACTGACTTCCACAATGGTTGAACTAGTTTACAGTCCCACCAACAGTGTAAAAGTGTTCCTATTTCTCCACATCTTCTCCAGCACCTGTTGTTTCCTGACTTTTTAATGATCGCCATTCTAACTGGTGTGAGATGGTATCTCATTGTGGTTTTGATTTGCATTTCTCTGATGGCCAGTGATGATGAGCATTTTTTCACGTGTCTTTTGGCTGCGTAAATGTCTTCTTTTGAGAAGTGTCCGTTCATATCCTTTGCCCACTTTTTGATGGGGTTGTTTTTTCTTGTAAATTTGTTTGAATTCATTATAGATTCTGGATATTAGCCCTTTGTCAGATGAGTAGATTGCAAAAATTTTCTCCCATTCTGTAGGTTGCCTGTTCACTCTGATGGTAGTTTCTTTTGCTATGCAGAAGCTCTTTAGTTTAATTAGATCCCATTTGTCAATTTTGACTTTTGTTGCCATTGCTTTTGGTGTTTTAGACATGAAGTCCTTGCCCATGCCTATGTCCTGAATGGTATTGCCTAGGTTTTCTTCTAGGGTTTTTATGGTTTTAGGTCTTAACATTTAAGTCTTTAATCCATCTTGAATTAATTTTTATATGAGGTGTAAGGAAGGGATCCAGTTTCAGCTTTCTACATATGGCTAACCAGTTTTCCCAGCACCATTTATTAAATAGGGAATCGTTTCCCTATTTCTTGTTTTTGTCAGGTTTGTCAAAGATCAGATGGTTGTAGATATGCAGCATTATTTCTGAGGGCTCTGTTCTGTTCCATTGGTCTATATCTCTGTTTTGGTACCAGTACCATGCTGTTTTGGTTACTGTAGCCTTGTTGTATAGTTTGAAGTCAGGTAGCGTGATGCCTCCAGCTTTGTTCTTTTGGCTTAGGATTGACTTGGCAATGTGGGCTCTTTTTTGGTTCCATATTAACTTTAAAGCAGTTTTTTCCAATTCTGTGAAGAAAGTCATTGGTAGCTTGATGGGTATGGCATTGAATGTATAAATTACCTTGGGTAGTATGGCCATTTTCACGATATTGATTCTTCCTACCCATGAGCATGGAATGTTCTTCCATTTCTTTGTATCCTCTTTTATTTCATTGAGCAGTGGTTTGTAGTTCTCCTTGAAGAGGTCCTTCACATCCCTTGTAAGTTGGATTCCTAGGTATTTTATTATCTGAAGCAATTGTGAATGGGAGTTCACTCATGATTTGGCTCTCTGTTTGTCTGTTATTGGTGTATAGGAATGTTTGTGATTTTTGCACATTGATTTTGTATCCTGAGACTTTGCTGAAGTTGCCTATCAGCTTAAGGAGATTTTGGGCTGAGATAATGGGGTTTTCTAGATATACAATCATGTCATCTGCAAACAGGGACAATTTGACTTCCTCTTTTCCTAATTGAATACCCTTTATTTCCTTCTCCTGCCTGATTGCCCTGGCCAGAACTTCCAACACTATGTTAAATAGGAGTGGTGAGAGAGGGCATCCCTGTCTTGTGCCAGTTTTCAAAGGGAATGCTTCCAGTTTTTGCCCATTCATTATGATATTGGCTGTGGGTTTGTCATAGATAGCTCTTATTATTTTGAGATACGTCCCATCAATACCTAATTTATTGAGAGTTTTTAGCATGAAGCATTGTTGAATTTTGTCAAAGGCCTTTTCTGCATCTATTGAGATAATCATATGGTTTTTGTCATTGGTTCTGTTTATATGCTGGATTACGTTTATTGATTTGCGTATGTTGAACCAGCCTTGCATCCCAGGGATGAAGCCGGCTTGATCATGGTGGATAAGCTTTTTGATGTGCTGCTGGATTCTGTTTGCCAGTATTTTATTGAGGATTTTTGCATCAATGTTTATCAGGGATATTGGTCTAAAATTCTCTTTTTTTGTTGTGTCTCTGCCAGGCTTTGGTATCAGGATGATGCTGGCCTCATCAAATGAGCTAGGGAGGATTCCCTCTTTTTCTATTGATTGGAATAGTTTCAGAAGGAATGGTACCAGCTCCTCTTTGTACCTCTGGTAGAATTTGGCTGTGAATCCATCTGGTCCTGGACTTTTTTTGGTTGGTAAGCTATTAATTATTGCCTCAATTTCAGAGCCTGTTATTGGTCTATTGAGAGATTCAACTTCTTCCTGGTTTAGTCTTGGGAGAGTGTATGTGTTGAGGAATTTATCCATTTCATCTAGATTTTCTAGTTTATTTGCATAGAGGTGTTTATAGTATTCTCTGATGGTAGTTTGTATTTCTGTGGGATCGGTGGTGATATCCCCTTTATCATTTTTTGTTGCATCTATTTGATTCTTCTCTCTTTTCTTCTTTATTAGTCTTGCTAGTGGTCTATCAATTTTGTTGATCTTTTCAAAAAACCAGCTCCTGGATTCATTGATTTTTTGAAGGGTTTTTTTGTGTATCTTTTTCCTTCAGTTCTGCTCTGATCTTAGTTATTTCTTGCCTTCTGCTAGCTTTTGAATGTGTTTGCTCTTGCTTCTCTAGTTCTTTTAATTGTGATGTTAGGGTGTCAGTTTTAGATCTTTCCTGCTTTCTCTTGTGGACATTTAGTGCTATAAATTTCCTTCTACACACTGCTTTGAATGCGTCCCAGAGATTCTGGTATATTGTGTCTTTGTTCTCATTGGTTTCAAAGAACATCTTTATTTCTGCCTTCATTTCGTTATGTACCCAGTAGTCATTCAGGAGCAGGTTGTTCAGTTTCCATGTAGTTGAGCGGTTTTGAGTGAGTTTCTTAATCCTGAGTTCTAGTTTGATTGCTCTGTTGTCTGAGAGACAGTTTGTTATAATTTCTTTTCTTTTACATTTGCTGAGGAGTGCTTTACTTCCAACTACGGGGTCAATTTTGGAATAGGTGTGGTGTGGTGCTGAAAAGAATGTATAGTCTGTTGATTTGGGGTGGAAAGTTCTGTAGAAGTCTATTAGGTCCACTTGGTGCAGAGCTGAGTTCAATTCCTGGATATCCTTTTTAACTTTCTGTCTCGTTGATCTGTCTAATGTTGACAGTGGGGTGTTAAAGTCTCCCATTATTATTGTGTTGGAGTCTAAGTCTCTTTGTAGGTCTCTAAGGACTTGCTTTATGAATCTGGGTGCTCCTGTATTGGGTGCATATATATTTAGGACAGTTAGCTCTTCTTGTTGAATTGATCCCTTTACCATTAAGTAATGGCCTTCTTTGTCTCTTTTGATCTTTGTTGGTTTAAAGTCTGTTTTATCAGAGACTAGGATTGCAACCCCTGCTTTTTTTTTTTTTGTTTTCCATTTGCTTGGTAGATCTTCCTCCATCCCTTTATTTTGAGCCTATGTGTGTCTCTGCACGTGAGATGAGTTTCCTGAATACAGCACACTGATGGATCTTGACTCTTTATCCAATTTGCCAGTCTGTGTCTTTTAATTGGAGCATTTAGCCTATTTACCTTTAAGGTTAATATTGTTACGTCTGAATTTGATCCTGTCATTATGATATTAGCTGGTTATTTTGCTCGTTAGTTGATGCAGTTTCTTCCTAGCCTTGATGGTCTTTACAATTTGGCATGTTTTTGCATTGGCTGGAACCTTTTGTTCCTTTCCATGTTTAGTGCTTCCTTCGGGAGCTCTTTTAGGGCAGGCCTGGTGGTGACAAAATCTCTCAGCATTTGCTTGTCTGTGAAGGATTTTATTTCTCTTTCACTTATGAAACTTAGTTTGGCTGGATATGAAATTGTGGGTTGAAAATTCTTTGCTTTAAGAATGTTGAATATTGGCCCCCACTGTCTTCTGGCTTGTAGAGTTTCTGCTGAGAGATCAGCTGTTAGTCTGATGGGCTTCACCTTGTGGGTAACCCGACCTTTCCCTCTGGCTGCCCTTAACATTTTTTCCTTCATTTCAACTTTGGTGAATCTGACAATTATGTGTCTTGGAGTTGCTCTTCTCGAGGAGTATCTTTGTGGCATTCTCTGTATTTCCTGAATTTGAATGTTGGCCTGCCTTGCTAGATTGGGGAAGTTCTCCTGGATAATATCGTGCAGAGTGTTTTCCAACTTGGTTCCATTCTCCCCATCACTTTCAGGTGCACCAATCAGACGTAGACTTGGTCTTTTCACATGGTCCCATATTTCTTGGAGGCTTTGTTCGTTTCTTTTTATTCTTTTTTCTCTAAACTTCTCTTCTTGCTTCATTTCATTCATTTGGTCTTCCATCACTGATACTGTTTCTTCCAGTTGATCGAATCGGCTACTGAGGCTTATGCATTTGTCATGTAGTTCTCATGCCATGGTTTTCAGCTCCATCAGGTCCTTTAACGACTTCTGTGCATTGGTTATCCTAGTTTGCCATTTGTCTATTTTTTTTTCAAGGTTTTTAACTTCTTTGCCATGGGTTCAGACTTCCTCCTTTAGCTCGGAGTAGTTTGATCATCTAAAGCCTTCTTTCTCAACTCGTCAAAGTCATTCTCCGTCCAGCTTTGTTCTGCTGCTGGTGAGAAGCTGTATTCCTTTGGAGGAGGAGAGGTGCTCCGATTTTTAGAGTTTCCAGTTTTTCTGCTCTGGTTTTTCCCCATCTTTGTGGTTTTATCTACCTTTGGTCTTTGATGATGGTGATGTACAGATGGGGTTTTGGTGTGGATGTCCTTTCTGTTTGTTAGTTTTTATTCTAACAGTCAGGACCCTCACCTGCAGGTCTGTTGGAGTTTGCTGGAGGTCCACTCCAGACCCTGTTTGCCTGGGTGTCAGCAGCGGAGGCTGCAGAACAGCGGATATTGGTGAACAGCAAATGTTGCTGCCTGATCATTCCTCTGGAAGTTTTGTCTCCGAGGAGTACCCGACCGTGTGAGGTGTCAGTCTGCCCCTACTTGGGGGTGCCTCCCAGTTAGGCTACTCAGGGGTCAGGGACCCACTTGAGGAGGCAGTCTGTCCATTCTCAGATGTCCAGCTGCGTGCTGGGAGAACTACTACTCTTTTCAAGGCTGTCAGACAGGGACATTTAAGTCTGCAGAGGATTCTGCTGCCTTTTGTTTGTCTGTGCCCTGCCCCCAGAGGTGGAGTCTACAGAGGCAGGCAGGCCTCCTTGAGCTGCGGTGGGCTCCACCCAGTTCGAGCTTCCTGGCCACTTTGTTTACCTACTCAAGCCTCGGCAATGGCGGGCGCCCCTCTCCCAGCCTCGTTGCAGCCTTGCAGTTTGATCTCAGACTGCTGTGCTAGCAATGAGCGAGGCTCCATGGGTGTAGGACCCTCTGAGCCAGGCACGGGATATAATCTCCTGGTGTGCTGTTTGCTAAGACCATTGGAAAAGCACAGTATTAGTGTGGGAGTGACCCGATTTTCCAAGTGCCATCTGTCACCCCTTTCTTTGACTAGGAAAGGGAATTCCCTGACCCCTTGCGCTTCCCGGGTGAGATGATGCCTCACCCTGCTTCGGCTCACGTTCGGTGCGCTGCACCCACTGTCCAACACTCCCCAGTGAGATGAACCTGGTACCTCAGTTGGAAATGCAGAAATCACCCATCTTCTGCGTCACTCACGCTGGGAGCTGTAGACTGGAGCTGTTCCTATTTGGCCATCTTGGCTCCACTGAGTCTCAGATTCTTTTAGAAAAACTTTTAGGATTCTGCTTTCTGAACAATGCCATCCTAAACTTCATGCAACTGGAATTTAGTAAAGAGAGAAATGGTAAGGTACCCATACACATACAGTATTTTACAAGACAAACCCATATACACAGAAGCATAAACATTTGCATATTGAGATCATCCTGGCCAACATGGTGAAACCCTGCTTCTACTAAAAATACAAAAATTAGCTGGGTGTGGTGGTGTGTACCTGCAATCCCAACTACTCGGGAGGCTGAGGTAGGAGAATCACTTGAACCCGGGAGGCGGAGGTTGCAGTGAGCCTAGATTGTGTCATTGCAGTCCAGCTTGGGCGATAAGAGCAAAACTCCACCTCAAAAAATATATATATATTTGCATAAAGAAAGGTAAGTAGATTTGAATTGATGTTACCAGGGAGTGAAGGAGCAAATACTGTGATTTGTTTCGGGGTAGCCAGCGTTAGGCTGATTTTGGAGCTCAATTAAAATATGGATGACTGTATTAGTTTTAACATGTATTAAAACCAAGTTGAAAAATAAGAAAACAGGCACTCTTGTATGCTACTGGTAAGATTATACATCAGTACAACTGCAGTGGAAGGCAACATGATGATATCTTTCAAAATTACAAATCCATATACCATTTATCCGAAGAATTTCTCTTCTAAAATATATATCCTGTAGAAAAACTTACGAACGTGCAAAATGTCATGTGCAAAATGTGCTTGCAAAAGATTGGAAACAAACCTGAGTGTTCATTGTGAAGAGACTGGTTAAATAAATTATGGTACTTCTAAACAAGAGAATATTGCATAGCCAGAAAAAAGAATGAGGATTTTTTCTTTCTATGAATTGACATGGAATGATCTTCAAGATAATCATTAGTTGAAAAAAGTCAAGGTGTAAAAGAGTGTTTATAGTTGGCTACTATTTGTATAAAAAGCAGGAAGAAAGCATGTCAGTAGATGAATGTATTTGTCTGTTCTCATACTGCTAATAAAGACATACTGGGTAATTTATAAAGAAAAAGAGGTTTAATGGACTCACAGTTCCACATGGCTGGGGAAGCCTCACAATCATGGTGGAAGGCAAAGGAGGAGCAAAGATACGCCTTAGGTGGCAGCAGGCAAGAGAATGTGTGCAGGGGAACTGCCCTTTATAAAACCATCAGATTTCGTGAGACTTATTCATTGTCATGAGAACAGCACAGGAAAAACCTGCCCCTGTGATTCAATTACCTCCCACTGGGTCCCTCCCACAACACGGAATTATGGGAGCTACAATTCAAGATAAGACTTGGGTGGGGACACAGCCAAACCGCATCAATGAATTAGATTGAACCATAGGAAATTGCCATTATTAGACTGTTTTTGACCTGCAACCAATGGAAATGACAGTGGAATGACAACCACATCCATTTGGTTCCACCTAATATTTGCTTGAAGATGCATAAAATCTCTCTGAAATTGTACACTATAAATTGACAATATTGGTTGTCTTTGGGGGCAGAGCTCAGTTAACTAGGGGGTAAGGAGGAGATTTTGAACATTGTGAATATTTAATCATGGGGATGTACTATCTATTTAAGAAATAAATAACTAAAATTACAAAAAAATTTGGCTGAGGAAAATCATTTTCTTATCTTACTACAAAATAAAACAGAAATATCATATTTCTACACCAAAGCAACTAAACATTGTTTAGTTTTCTTTTTCCTTCCACTTTGCCAGAAGACTTTAATAATGATCTCAAGATATTGTATCCAAGAAGAAAATACCAGCATCTGTAGCGTTTTTGGGAAAAAGAAAAATATTCTACATCAATAATTCTGTTCACAGAGACTGTTTCTGAGTATTTCTTCCTGGTGACTGCAACTCCTGAAACTACTATAATGACTCAATTACATTAACAAATGAAGCAGTAAAGAAGAATGGAACCATTAAGCCAGATATGAATATAAGCACATTAAAGGAAAATGAATCTTTATTCCTGCTCGATAGAATATTAGTTGTAGTGGACATGTTGAAAACTACTTCCTCAACAACTTGGATGATAACTCAAAATCCAAGTAGAAATGTCAAAAGACAGAAGGTTACACTTAGATTCACCTTTTAATAGCATTTGTATGTAAAGGTAATTAAATTTTATGAATTGAAATTTTAAAGATAGGGTGTATATCTTAGAGACCAGCACTGTACTAAACAAAGCAACTTGTTCTCAGCCAGATGCTCTAACATCAGGGGTGTTGTATCCTCACCTTATCACTGAACATAAGGAGTTTTCGATAAAAATACAACCTATGTGAGGGAATACTAAAGAATTTTAAATATTTTCTACCTCTTAAAAGAACACACAGAAATAACCCAGAAGTTTGCTTAGGGGGGAAAAGAACTAAAGAAAATGACCTTTTTACATTTCAAATTTTATAGAAATTAAAATTTTAAGGTACAAAATGATTTTTAAGTGTTACCTGCTCAAGAATTAGCATATACTGGTTATAAAATCAGACACGAGTGATGTTCTGAAGAGGCACACTTTAAAGGCTTTCTTCAGCAAGCAAACATCAGGTGGATTTTCTTTCTTGAAATATAGGTGCCAAAAGTCTTACAGGACCCAGAGTTTTATTGCAGCCCTGGAAAGTCATGGATTCACTAGGCAAACATATATTAAGTGCTACTACTGAATATTAAACGTGGTCATTACATCACAAGAACCTGAATGATCAAAGAAACACTGCATTTATTTTGTGTTACACACCATCTTATCACACTCTTTGAAAATTGTTAACCTGATTTTTAACCCAAGTGTGCTGTGACTTTCAGGTAACCAGAGTATTAAACCTGTGAGCTCTTTCCTCGATCATTCTCTGTAAACCAGAGCTTCCCTATCTCTACCCCAGTGGCTGGGCCCCTGTGCTGCTTTGTGGGTCTCCTGAGACAATCTCTACTCTTTTAGAACTCTATGCTCCAGCTTCACTTAATTAAAAGTGATCACTTTAAAAATGGGCCTAACGTCAAAACAGACCCTGCTTCCCTCATGACAGCAGGATTCAAGACCACTTCTTCCTTTACTGTGGAATGAGGCGACCTGAGAAAATACAATTGCCTGTTAAAACTCCATCTGCTTGTTTTCTACTTTAAAGCTCACATAGTACTTTCATGGCCACCCTTTCTCTTCATTCTTATGGTAAGCTCTTGTGGCAAATGTGCAAATATTATTTGCTTCCACTTAAGGGCAAGGAATAGAGAGGCTCAAAGAGGTCTACAGGCCTGCCTGAGTAGTGTGACTGGGATTAGAAGCCAGTCTCTGGAATTAATGTGGGAAGATAGTGGGGATGTGAGTGTGGGCCTTATGTAGCACTTCATACACAGATTAGAAAGAATAATTATATTGTACTTATCAGGGTATCCATACAAATGTCAGAGCTTGTGTAGAAATCTGTAAAGATGAAGTGAGTACAATTATGTCTAAGCGGACTTCCCTGCACAAATGTTACCAGACATTTACTTACATTTTGGACGACAGAGGTTTCGAAATTGAGCCTGTAGAGTTTGCTCCACACCAAACATGAAACAATTCAGTTTTCTTAAAGGTGCAAAAGGATCTTTTGGCATTTAATAATAATTTTACAATATGACTAGTTTGGACCCTATATCTAGAGAGGGCTCCAACTTGCAAATCCTGGACAACTTTGTAGTTCCTTGCATCTTTGAATTGATGTGCATTGCTTTGTGTCTGAAAATTAATCAAGACCTTTTATTTGCAGTCTACTGCTTATGAAAAGCAATTTCCTGCAACCAGTAAGGACAACTTTGATATGTGCAGTTCAAGTTTCACATCTAGCAAACTCCTTCCAGCTGAAATCAAGGGAGAAATGGAGAAAACCCCTGTGACTCCAAGCCAAGGAACAGCAACCAAGTACCCTGCTAAATCCGGCGCCCTGTCCAGAACCAAAAAGAAACTCTAAGGTTCCCTCCAGTGTTGGACAGTACAAAAACAAAGCTGCTCTTGTTAGCACTTTGATGAGGGGGTAGGAGGGGAAGAAGACAGCCCTATGCTGAGCTTGTAGCCTTTTAGCTCCACAGAGCCCCGCCATGTGTTTGCACCAGCTTAAAATTGAAGCTGCTTATCTCCAAAGCAGCATAAGCTGCACATGGCATTAAAGGACAGCCACCAGTAGGCTTGGCAGTGGGCTGCAGTGGAAATCAACTCAAGATGTACACGAAGGTTTTTTAGGGGGGCAGATACCTTCAATTTAAGGCTGTGGGCACACTTGCTCATTTTTACTTCAAATTCTTATGTTTAGGCACAGCTATTTATAGGGGAAAACAAGAGGCCAAATATAGTAATGGAGGTGCCAAATAATTATGTGCACTTTGCACTAGAAGACTTTGTTAGAAAATTACTAATAAACTTGCCATACGTATTACAGCAGAAGTGCTTCAGTCATTCACATGTGTTCGTGAGATTTTAGGTTGCTATAGATTGTTTAAGACAGCTTATTTTAAATGTAGAAAAATAGGAGATTTTGTAACTGCTTGCCATTAACTTGCTGCTAAATTCCCAATGTATTGATTAAATCAATAAAAAACAGATGTTACTCAGCACATTAATTTTTATGTTAACAAGAGGTGAATATAATAAGGTCCTCTAAGCCTTTATGCAAATTATAAGTTTGTTCTACTGCTGCAATGGTAGGCACACATCTTTGGGGAAGATCATGAAGCAAGAAACAGGGGACCATACCTCATTTCTCTTAGCTTTATAGACATCTCCTTTCCACCTGGGTAACTAATTTTGCCAGTTGAAGTCAAACTGGTTGAATAGCTACTTTCCTTTGCTTCCAAAGCAAATTCTAAAGAAAGAATTTGCAATTGCTTTTACCTTCATAAAGTCATAACCTAGTTCCATTCCAACCCCCCATGGAACTGTCAGGTCTCCAAAATGGCCCACATCTGGCCAGCTGAGCATATACTAGTTGCATTTAAATCCACTTGGTAACTAAAAATAGTACGTGTGCTTCTTGCAGTTAGTTTAGAAGACACTATTGTGATTCCGAATGAGTCAAAGATAGCACTGGCCTGTGTTGCCCCACGTGGTTCTGCCAGTATTTTCTTAGTACCTTCAGTGTGCTTTCCTTGGGGGAACCTGCTGGCCAAGGCATATCTAGTGGAAATTGTCTGTATTTTATTTTAAACTGTCATTAACATAGCTGCTTCAAGATCTTTCTCCCTTCTTGATGTCTAGTTCCAGTCGTATCATAAGCCCATAAACCATATCCTGAGCTTTAAGCTTTCTCTCAGGGTTTAGTAAGCCAGTCTTTAAAGGGCGTGTTCTGTTCACCTGATGAGAACTCTGGCTTCATTAGCTAAGTGGAGCCTTCCCTTCCCTAGTAGTCTCAAAGGCAGATGTGTGCACTGCAGTTCCGTCACCTCCGGCGGGGAGAAGCAGGGACCTAGTGCACGGTGGCTGCTTGTCTCCTTGCAGAAAAGCCTAACCAAGATGGTGGCTTTGATTCTGCCTATTCCCTGGGCTTGAAAATGAAATATTCTGTATATTAAAAATACTCTTACTTTCACAGTGATATTCTTTTGGGATTAGAAGATCCTATTGTTAGATAGAGTACTATCCACACTTCTCTTGGCCCTAAAAATTAGCGATTCTGCTCAGTAAGCTTGAGCAAAGGTCCAGAACTAACCACTAACTAAAAGATGAAGTCATTTTATAACACGTTAGTGTGTCTTCACCTATTCCCACCTCACACCAGGCAAGGCCAGCCACCCTGCCTGTCATATGATGCATTCTATTAACGCCCCTCCATCGAGGTGTTCATTTGATTTGTAGGAGTCATTTTAATAGAAATTTAGCTCACTCTTTCTAGAGAGAATTTCCACATCATTTTTGTGTTACTTAGTGGTATTTTTGTTACTTCGTTGTGTAGAACACACTTGGACCAGGCCATGTCTGAGCTTTGTTTCCAACAGATGTGCCTCTTTAAGGTCTGGGGATATATGGCCTTCCTTCCTCCATTTGCTTTCACAGCTGTGAAAAAAGGGCGCTCTTCCATTTCAGATTGACTTTCAATGACTGATAGGCCAACTCGAAGGCACCAATAACAAACACTGTGACACCTCCTGTGCTCCATAGCATGGGGAGCTGGGTTTTGCTGTGATCCAGCGGGACATAGTCTGTCTAGGACAGCACAGCGCAGGTGTTATTTTCAAGGAATTCAAGTAGCGATCCGCATTCCAACTTGAGTGACAGATAAGGCAGGCAAAATATGATAAAAAGAGAGGAATGCAGGCAAGCTGGGGACAAATTCATTTGAGGAGAATAGAGGATGATATCAGAGAAGGCCTTACATCAGAGAAGGAAGGAAAATGGGGATATGTGGAGCAAAATGAAAATAAATTATAATTAATAAAGAAGACAGGATGACAACACATGGTTCTGCCAAAGCCGGAAGCCGGAGCGAGAGGAGGGAAGCACTGCTCATAGAATATTTGGTTGTTCCAGGCCAGTCTGAGGTAAAGTTAGCCCCCTCCCAGGGCCCGTACACAGGCAAACCTAGAAAAAGGCACAGGATGAGGAAACGAAGACCCAGGGAAATGGAAGCTGAGATTTTAAGAGTCAGCCACAAAGTTGTCCTTTCATTTTGAGTAGGAATGTTGTGTGGTGCTGCGGGGGTTGGGTGGGGGCCAGCCAAAAAAAATCAAAACATCTTGTGCTTATCACTGAAATGCTTTGTTTAAATAATTCTATTTGACTCCAAAATGTAAGTTCCAGGTTAGACAGATCAAAAGCAACCAGTCTTGAAAATGAAGCTTTTTAAATTCCAGCCGCGCTGTTGGAACAGAGAATAAAGGCTTTGTTTAAACATGCATTCCCAGCAGCAAGCAGAGCTTTGAAATTGGCCAGGGAAGTTGCGTCCTATAATGGCTGTGCTTGGCTAGAGACCAAGGAGCTGTGGCCTCTGGGAAATGACCCTGGGCTGGATATTTTCTATCTGCCCCTCCAGAACCACTCTGCCTGCTCTGCCGTCTCTGCCCAGAGAGGCTGATCTTCAGGTACTGCATTAACACACTCCCTGGGCTTCTGGATTCATTGGCATTCTGTCAATGAAGGCACCAAGGGGAGATGAGAGAAGGGGAGAGCCAGGTCCAGACGCTGACTCCCGAGTGCCTCCCTGCTCTGGGCCAGGCTGCTGGGCATTTGCTGCCTTCTTTGGTGGGCGTGGCTCCTGCCAGGCAGCCCTCTTACAGCTGTGTCCCCTGCCCTTGCAGGCCAAGACCAGCCTGTTGCCCTGGCTACTATGTCTTCCTTTGTGGGTTTTCCCAAACCCTCTCAGTGCCTTTATGAACAGTCTCTGTTAAATCCTCAGCTTCCGCATTTAAGTTTACCACCTGTCTTTGGCTGCAACTCAAGTGGTGGAGACCCTTTCCTTATCAGTGCTGCATTGTTCCTGACCCAAGGTAGTTTTGTCTCTGGCTGCCAGTCTCCTACCAAAGTACAGTAAAGGGCAAAAAAGATAAACGAGCTCTTCCTGACACAAAGAGATTCACCTGGGTGGTCACTAAGGGTTGGGGAGGGGCTGGTGGGGAGATGTTCCTGAGGTTGGGACCCAGGTAGGGCAGGATACCTGGAGCGTTGCCCGATACCGAACCTGAAATCTGAAATTGTCTGGGCTCAAGGTTTGGGAGCCTAAAGAATGCAACACTTCACTGTGACAGCCAACAGAACCTGGGAGGAGGCCACCCTACACTGGCTGCTTGCTGCCAATGAGAGACCAGGGAAGGGGCTTCCAGGGGACCCCGTGGAGCCCAGGAAGCACAGGAGACCTGAAGACAAGACGTCTCCTGGGCTTCGTGTTCGCTTCATCTCTACAAGCACTGAAATCACTTTACAAAAGCATTTTAAGGTAAAAGTTTTTACTATTCAAAGGTCTCACATCGTTCAGTTGTACTCTTCAGGATCCTGCATTTTTCTGAGTGAGCTGGCTGAGAACCGATTTTGATTTCTGTTCAGTACATTGTTATCACTTAATTCTCATTGGTGAGCCAATTTTCTTTGCCTTTGTTCTTCAAAGCGAGGCCGCATCTGCGGCTGTCTTGCATTTCTTGTGGCTGCCTTCTTCAGTCCCTGCTATAATCAGCTCAACTCTGTGCTTGCTGGGTCAGTTCTCCATATTTCCCTGAATAATCTGGGTCAGCCCTCAGAGGAGTGGTGGGGGTTCCCACCACTGCCCCATTGGGAAGATTAATAGGACTTTTGCAGTGTCACCATGGCACTCTCAGGACCTCCCCTTCCCTGTTGCCCAGTGCCATCCCAGGTACCTTAGCCAGATCCTGGACCTCCTCCTCCAAACATGCATCAGGTCCTGTCCTGGCCCAGAGAATGGGACTAGAGACGCCGTGCAGACCCTGTCTCCGTCCAGGCTTCTGCTGGTTCCTCTCCGAACTAGATCCTGTGGCATCTTCACACCATAACCAGGGCATTGATACAGGGGCCATAGAAGTCTCCCTGCCCTTTGGGGACCAAAACCTCCCTGTAGGCAAAATCCTGAAGCCAGGCTATTCTTTAGGAAAGCTCAGTCAGCACAAAAAGTTGTCTCCATCCCCAGGAGCAATTGCAAGGCTGGAGGAGTCAGCATTCCCATGTGACTGAAGGGTGGGGCGGGTGGGGTGGAAGATGGAGAGCAACTGACCCCCTCACTGGACCCTGAGGAAGATGCCCTTGCAGGGAGGTGGCAGCTGATATTTCCTGGTCCAAACACTGGCTTCCACTTAGTTACTAGAATCAAAGTCTTTTTGCAAGCTGGACTTTGAGCTATAATAGTGGATGGGATCCATTTTAACTAAAACCCCCTTTCAGAGTCATGATGTAACAGCAGCAACAGTTACAGAGCACTTATACATGCCAGACACCATTCTAAGCACGTTACGTGTATCAGTTCTTTCCATTCTTACCACGGCCTGTGAAGTTGATACCATTATTATCTCTACAGAGAAATGAATTAAGGCACAGAGAGATTAAGAACCAAGGTCTTAATGTCCAAGGTCTTGTGTCCAAGGTCACACAGCTAAGAAGTAGCAGAACGTAAACTGGAACCTGGCCAGTGTGCTCAAGTATCACTGTTGTACTATATGCCTCTCAAGATGTTCGTGTTTTTGCTCCCCTACTCTTTAGGCCTAAGCTACCGTGAAGTTTGATCCCAGAGTTTCAAAAGGCCGAGCAACTCACAAACACCTCTGTCTCCAGCAGGAGCCTAGAGTGATAATTTTGACAAGTTTGGGCTTGAGGTTTCAGAAGGGAGTGGAATTATTTTGCATGTTGACGAATTTGGTCGAGACTCAAGCACTATATCAGGGAAAGCTGCATTCTGAAGGACTTTGCGTGATAAAAGTAAGTTCTCAAGGCTTTAACTGGTCCTTTTGTCTGGAGCAGTCTTTAGAAGCCTTTGAATATGTTTTTAACCGAAGAGAGAAAAGAGGCTCCGTTCTTTCCTCAGGAATTCACAGGGACCGTCCTTTCTGTGCAGACATGACAGATCGATGCTTACCAGGAGCAAAGTGTGATTCCCATCTCAGGGCAGCTGGGGGTTAGAATCACTATCATGTTTCGATTTCCCACATCCCTTCATCAGGTGGTGTGAGCAGCTGTGCCGCTGAGCAGGTGGAGTTCAGATGTGGAGTCCACCTCCCCATCCTGCATTCCTCTAGCTTTTGCCATTGCTCACTTCTTTAGAGGACGGTTAGGCGCAGTGACGTTTTGTCCCTTTCACATTGACACCGTCCTGGTTCAGGGGGCAGCCATGTTCCCATAGGCTCCGCGGATTCTGTGGTGCAGGACGGGAGACGTCTGCTCTGGGCCTAAGCCAGCAGCGGGGGATGGTGCCACCTCCCCCTGGCTGCCCACCTCCCAGGCCACTGCCTGCCACTTGGTCCCAGGAGAAGAGAGGCAGTTCTTATTCAGGATCCTCATTGCTGTTTTGGAACTTTGGAAGAAAAGGCTTCTAGCTACCCAAAACCATGCAAATGGATAAATTTTTACAAGAGTTGTTTTTCTTCCAGAAGTAATTACCTGGTTGTAGCTTCAGTCCCTTGCCCCCATCAGCACAGAAATTAGTCATGAGACTATAGTCATTTAGCCACTTAAGTTTCATATCAACTTTCTGCTCACCAACTTTTTTATAGCAGTCCCTGACCAGGCTTCATTACTGTGTAGCCCAGCCCGTGTGAAATCTTGGCAGAAATGTCTTACCTGCAGTGATTCTGATTGCTTGGAGGGGAATAGTCTGACTACCACCAAAATCTTTTTCTTTTCCTGTATAAGATGACCAGCATCAGACCCCGTGGCACCAGCATGGACAGAGTTGTACAAAAGATGTTCATTAAGAACTGGATTGGCCGGGCGCGGTGGCTCACGCCTGTAATCCCAGCACTTTGGGAGGCCAAGGTGGGTGGATCACGAGGTCAGAGATCGAGACCATCCTGGCTAACATGGTGAAACCCTGTCTCTACTAAAAATACAAAAAATTAGCCGGGCGTGGTGGCGGGTGCCTGTAGTCCCAGCTACTCGGGAGGCTGAGGCAGGAGAATGGCGTGAACCCGGGAGGCGGAGCTTGCAGTGAGTGGAGATAGCGCCGCTGCACTCCAGCCTGGGCAAAAGAGCGAGACTCCATCTCAAAAAAAAAAAAAGGAACTGGATTGAGAGACTCAGTCATTCATTCAAGAAATAGTTGTTGGCCACCTACCATGTGCCAGGCACTGATAGGCGCTGGATATAAAACAATGTGAAAGGCAGTCAAAACCATTGCCCAACATAGGGAGCTTGTAGCCATGGGGGCACAGAGACAGATGATGGCCATCTATACAAATGCGTAAAATAATTATATATTGTGATTAGAGATAAGGCATTTCTATATAGAGTGCTATCATAGAGGATTACAGGATAGGAACCCTCTGGAAAGCCTCTCTAAGGAAGCCAACCGTGGGAAGAGCCGGGGAGGGATGTTTTAGGCAGAGGGAACAGGGGAAGAGCTTGATGGAGTCCAGGACTTGGCCCAAAGGCCAGGATGATCAGGGAAGGGGAGAGACAGGGGTCAGGTCCTGCAGGATTTAGGGGGCCACAGGAAGAAACCCTTTTATTCTAAATGCACTGGGAAGCCATTGAGGGCTCGACGTCTGATTATGTGTTTAAAGGATCCGTTTGTCTTCTGTGTAAATGAATTATGCAAAGTGGAACAAAAGTGGAACCAGGGAGATTAGTTAGAGGACATTGAATAAGATGGTGGCAGAGAAGATGGAGAGAAATGGATTGATATGAAATATGTTTTGGAAATCAAATTGATAGGATTCAGTGATGGATTAGAGGTGATGGTTGAAGAAGAATGGGTGAGGAGGCCAGGGATGACTTTGGCTTCAGTAACCAGATTGATGGTGGTGTCGCTTCCTGGGGAAGGCCAGGCCTGGGCTGGCAGTGGAATGAAGAGTTCTAGTGTAGGGTCCTGCCCTACAGGGCCTAGTGGTGTTCTCTTCATGTGTGGAGACGAGAGATTGTAGAAAAATAAGAGACAAGACTAAGAGTATGAAAGACAGCTGGGCCCAGGGGACCACTACCATGAATGCGCGGAGTCCGGTAGTGGCCCCAAATGGCTGGACGCACTGCTATTTATTGTATACAAGGCAAGGGGGCAGGGTAAGGAGAGTGAGTCATCTCAAGTGATTGATAAGGTCAAGCAAGTCACGTGTTTACAGGACAAGGGGCCCATCCCTTTGTGATCGCCGAAGCAGACAGGGAGGACAGCATACGTCAGCGTTTTTTCTACGCACTTATCAGAGAGATCAAACACTTTAATACTTTCACTATTTCTGCTACTGCTGTCTTCTAGGAAGTTAAAAGGAGGACCAGGTGTACAGGCGGAACATAAAAGTGAACAAGGAGCGTGACCACTGAAGCACAGCACCACAAGGAGACGTTTAAGCCTCCGGATGTCTGTGGGCAGGCCTGGCTAATGTCCGACCTCCCGCAAGAGGCTGGTGGAGCAGAGTGTTCTCTAACTCCTCCAAAGAAAGGGAGTTTCCCTTTCACGGTCTGCTAAGTAATGAGCGCCTTCCCAGGCACTGGCATTACCGCAAGACCATGGTGCCCTCCAGCGGCCCTTATCCGGACGTGACAGAGGGCTCACACTCTTGTCTTCTGGTCACTTCTCACAGTGTTCCTTCAGCTCCTGACTCTGCACTGGCTGGTTATTCCTTGGTTATAATAATAAAACAGATTAATACTAAAAACTAATTATTATGATTATCCATATATGATCATCTCTATATCCTATTTCTAGTATAACTTTTCTTATTCTAAATACTTTCTTTATTATATTGGAACAGCTTGTGCCTTCACTCTCTTGCCTCGGCACCTGGGTAACTTTCTGCCCACATCTAGCTGATCGTATGAAGTTTGAGATCTCTATCAGACCTCAAAGTGGAGATGACTACTTGAGATGGATTTAAGGGTTGGAGCAGATCAAGGTGGATAGAGAGAAAAGAGCCCTAAGGTGGAGAAGGATGTGAAGAGAGACCCAGAGTTAATAGCGAAACTGTGTGCAGAGGCTTCTGGGTGCCTGACAGGGCTCACAGAATCCAGGGAGACCTGGTATCAAGGCACCATCTTGGTCCACACAGCAAGTGTGTCTCCCTCACTCAAGGACTAGGCAGTGACTGTATTTTGGCAAGAAGAAGGATGAGAATGGAGTGGAATGACATGAAATGCCATTCGGAGAAATATCCCTGGGAGATGTGGCCAAATCTCCTTATCGCTTGATTAATTGAATCTGAATAGTGACAGTTTACAAGCCCTCAATAGCTAAATCATAATTCCATAGCCTTCCATTAGCAATAAATCAGAAAATGGTGGGCCAGGTATTTTGCTGAAACCCATATTTGCAGAATCCTGGACTGTCTGAACTGTTCCTTCAGCCCAACTCTTCCTCAGTGCAGAAGCTGCACCCACAGCCAGCTCCAGTGAGCTCCCACCTCTGATGACACGTTCCTGGGGTTGGGGGCTCCCTACCTCCCAAGGCAGATGAATTCCACTCTGGAAACACCTAAGTGTGAGAAAATTCTTCCTATCATCTGACACCTGCTGCTCACTGGCCCTTCTGGAGCTCTTTAAAGGCCTCTCCAGCTGCCACATCCAGCCCCTTGGGTTTGAAGGTAATTCCCACAGCCCTGTGTGCCTTCTTCAGGCTAAACATCCCCATGTCTCTTGGACTCTTCCTTAGTGACATGTTTCTAGGCCCTTCATTCTAGTTCATCTGGGTCTTTTTCCAAAATTGAAGTCAGACCTCCAAGTGTGGCCCGTCACCCCCAGTCCTCGGAACACTGTGCGTCTGTCACTGCAGTCCATTGTGTTCCTGTTAACAGGGATTCGTGGACAATCTAGTTTGAGTTTACCAGGACAGGCTTTAATGACAATGTGTCCCTGAAGCATGGTTATTTTCCTATCAGTGTCCTTGTGGTGGACTTTCAGTGACTGCTAAAGAGGCTTTTTGCAGTGTGTTGCCTGTGGGGAGCAACAGAGAGTGTGTTGAGTCAGCGCTCTGGGGTTGGGTCTGAGTCACAGAGCCCTGAGATTATCCAGGAAGACACACTCATTTTCCTTAAGTATCGGTCTTGCTAATTATCCACTGAGATATATGGGGAGGGAAGAAGGCACAAACCGAATTACAGGCCTGCTTGCCAGAGGATGCCTTAGTGGCTTAGCTCCTGCTGGGGTGGCGGTGGGAAACAGGAGAGGTTTGGCAACCTCACACAGGACCTGTCCTGGACCCTCCAAACAGGGTGAGCGCAGGTGTGGTCTGTGTCTGTGTAAGCTGCATGTCCCCACGCCTCCCGCCCACAGGCACTGGGGCACATTAACTTCTTTGCCTAAATGGAATGGCTCTGAGCCCTCTCTCCCCATGCTACTATCAGGAATCTGAGTCTTTTGCAGGGAAGACTCTGAGCGCCCTCCCCTGAACATCTCTGAGAATTCCCAGGAGTGTTCACACATGTCCTTGTCCACTTGTGGCTCTTTGCCTGAGGCAGAGGCTCAGATGCATCATTTCTGATGTCCTTGCCTCTCACTTTCATTTCCAGGGCTTCTGCTCCCCAGCTACCATCAGCGACTGTGCAGCCTCTGGTCAGCCAGGGGCTGTGGCGGCAGCTGCCCAGCAAGATGCCACATGTCCAGTGTGATGAGCGCCAGGCCCAAATCCCAAGTGTCACCCCAATGTAGCGTGACACAGCAGCCGGGCCCTGCGGTCCTCCGATGTTCCTCGCTGCAGGATGTCCCTTCATGTGGACTGACCTCGTGGAGTGGAGTGGATGTGGGTGGCAAGGGTGTGCTGGTACATAAGCCGTAGGATGTGGGGGTGGGGGCGAGGCAGGAGTTGGGAAGAGGTGTGGTGTGGGAGAGGCACGGTGCATACTGTGGTTACAGAGGGATATGGGTGGGAAGGAGGTCTCAGCAGAGATTGCTCTGGCCCTTCCCTTCTGGGTCTCAGAAGCTCCCCAGGTAATCCTGACATGCAACGTGTCTGTTTCCTATCTGGGCCCCAAACTAAAGGGATCTGTAGGCTATTTCCAAATTGCAAGGAACATAATGGAAAAAGCGTATCTGCCTATAGTGAAATGGCTCAGACCACACTCACCTAAAGTTTTTGGGTAATAAAATATTTCAAAACACAGAGCTCACAAAAGAAATAATGACAGGCATCGTTGGAGGTGTAAAGGGTGAGAGGTAGTCCAGCCCCTCACTGTACAGCAAGGCCCAGGGACAGGGTGTTCCAGCTGCTCGGTGCTCACTAGACCAGAAGCCAGGTGGGGTGTCGGCTACAAGTGGGGTGCTGGGTGCTAGGTGATCTCTCATGTTTCTGCATTCAGGATGTTCACTGTGGGATAAACCTTCCGCCTGTGGGATCCTTATTTGGGGATCAGGGCAGGCACAGGCTCTTGTGGCTTAGTCACTCACAGCCCCAGCAGCTGTCCCTGCTTTCATTCTCCGTGGGTCAACAGCAGGAGCCCTAACCCTTAGCCACAATGGAGTGGGGAAGGGGCAGCCAGGAGACTCTCGGCTGACAGATTACTTGGAATACCCCTTACTAATTATGTAGCAGTCCCCACAACTGCCTTTGCAAGTTAGATTTAAAATGAGGTGTGTTTTCTTAATTTTTTTTATTTTAATAGCTTGTGGGGTACAAGTGGTTTTTGGTTACACGGATGAATTGTACAGTGATGAAATCTGAGATTTGAGTGCACCCATCACCCGAGTAGTGTACATTGTACCCAATATGTAGGTTTTTATCCTTCGCCACCCAGCACTCCTTCTGAATCTCCATAGTCCATTATACCACTCTGTGTGCCTTTGCATATCCATATCTTAGCTCCCACCTGTAAGTGAGGACATAGGGTATTTGATTTTCCATTCCTGAGTTCCTTTACTTGGAATAGTGGCCTCCAGCTCCATCCAAATTGCTGCAAAAGACATTATTTCATTCTTTTTGATGGCTGAGTAGTGTGTATATATGTGTGTATAGTAGTGTGTATATGCCACGGTGTATATATACCACATTTTTAAAATGCACTCATTGGTTGATGGGCACTTAGGTTGGTTCCGTATCTTTGCAATTGTGAATTGTCCTGCAATAAACATACATGTGCAGGTGTCTTTTTGATACAATGATTTATTTTCCTTTGGGTAGATACCCAGTATTGAATTGAATGGTAGATCTACTTTTAGTTCTTTGTGAAATCTCCATACTGTTTTCCATAGGGGCCGTACTAATTTACATTCCAACCAGCAGTGTATAATTGTTCCCTTTTCACCACATGCCCACTTTTTTGACTTTTTAATAACAGCCATTTTTTTTTTTTTTTTTGAGAAGGAGTTTCACTCTTGTCAACCAGGCTGGAGTGCAATGGCATGATCTCGGCTCGCTGCAACCTCTGCCTCCCGGTTTCAAGTGATTCTCCTGCCTCAGCCTCCTGAGTAGCTGGGATTACAGGTGCCCATGACCATGCCAAGCTATTTTTTGTATTTTTAGTAGAGACGAGGTTTCACCATGTTGGCCAGGCTGGTCTTGAAGTCCTGAACTCAAGCAATCCACCCATCTCGGCCTCTCAAAGTGCTGGGACTACAGGCATGAACCACTGTGCCTGGCCAATAATGGCCGTTCTTAAGGCTCATATACTGTTGGTGGGAGTATACATTAGTTCAACCATTGTGGAAAACAGTGTGGTGATTCCTCAAAGACCCAAAAACACAAATACCATTCAACCCAGCAATCCCATTACTGGGTATATACCCAAAGGAATATAAATTTTTCTGTCATAAAGACACATGCACGTGTATGTTCATTGCAGGATTATTCACAATAGAAAAGACATGGAATCAACCTAAATGCCCATCGTTGGTAGAATGGATAAAGAAAATGTGGTATATAAACACCATGGAATACTATGGAGCCACAAAAATAAATGAGGTCACGTCCTTTGCAGGAATATGGATGGAGCTGGAGGCCATTATCCTTGGCAAACTAACACAGGAACAGAAAACCAAATACCACATGTCCTCACTTATAAGTGGGAGTTAAATGATGAGGACTTATGGATAGCACAAAGAGGGGAACCACAGACACGGGGGCCTATCAGAGGGTGAAGGGTGGGTGGAGGGAGAGGATCAGAAAAAATAACTAATGGGTACTAGGCTTAATATTGAAGTGACAAAATAATCTGTACAACAAAGCGCCCATGACACAAGTTTACCTATATCACAAACCTGCACATGTAACCCTGAACTTAAAAGTTAATTTTTAAAAAAAGGGCATTCTTCAAGAGTAATGTGGTACCTCATTGTGGTTCTAATTTGCATTTCCCTGTTGATTAGTGATGTTGAGCATTTTTTCATGTTTGTTGGCCATTTGTATATCTTCCTTTGAGAAATGTCTGTTCATGTCTTTTCCTACTTTTTGATAAGATTATTTGTTTTTTTCTTGCTAATCTGTTTGAGTTATTTGTAGATTCTAGATATTAGTTCTTCGTTTGATGCATAGTTTGCTAATATTTTCTCCCCTTCTGTGGGTTGTCTGTTTACTCTGATGATTATTTCTTCTGCTGTGCAGAAGCCTTTTAGTTTAATTAGGTCCCATTTATTTATTTTTGTTTTTGTTGCATTTACTTTGGGTTCTTAGTTATGAATTATTTGCCTAGGCCAATGTGCAGGAGAGTTTTTCCTAGGTTATCTTCTTGAGTTTTTATGGTTTCAGGTCTTAGATTCAAGTCTTTTGATCCGTCTTGAGTTGATTTTTATATAAGGTGAGAGATAGGGATCCAGTTTCATTGTTCTACATATGGCTAGCCAGTTTTCCCAGCACTATTTATTAGATAGGGTCTCCTTTCCCCAATTTATGTTTTTGTGTGTATTGTTGAAGACCAGTTGGTTTTAAGTATTTAGCTTTATTTCTGTGTTCTCTTTTCTGTTGCATTGGTCTACGTGTCTACTTTTATACTGGTACCACGCTGTTTTGGTAACCATAGCCTTGTAGTATAATTTGAAGTCTGGTAATGTGATGCCTCCAGATTTGTTCTTTTTGCTTAGGATTGCTTTGGGTACTTGGGACTTTTTTGGTTCCATGTGAATTTTAGGATTTTTTTTTTCTAACTCTGTGAAAAAAGATGTTGGTGTTAGGATAGGAATTGCACTGAATCTGTAGCTTACTTTCAGCAGTGATATAGTTTGGCTGTGTCCCCACTCAAACCTCATCTTGAATTATAGTTCCCATAATCCCCACATGT
This sequence comes from Homo sapiens, assembly GCF_000001405.40. Classification (NCBI taxonomy): domain Eukaryota; kingdom Metazoa; phylum Chordata; class Mammalia; order Primates; family Hominidae; genus Homo; species Homo sapiens. The sequence continues at coordinate 8,378,645 of NC_000011.10, read as the reverse complement.
TGTGAGAGGGACCCAGTGGGAGGTAATTGAATCATGAGGGCATTTATTCTCATGCTGTTCTCGTGATGGTGAGTGAGTTCTCATGAGATCTGATGGTTGTTTTTGTTTGTTTGTTTGTCTGTTTTTTGAGATGGAGTTTCACTCTTGTTGCCCAGGCTGGAGTGCAATGGTGCGATCTTGACTCACTGCAACCTCTGCCTCCCAGGTTCAAGCGATTCTCCTGCCTCAGCCTCCCGAGTAGATGGGATTACAGGCATGCACCACCATGCCCAGCTAATTTTGTGTTTTTATTAGAGACGGGGTTTCTCCATGTTGGTCAGGCTGGTCTCAAACTCCCGACTTCAGGTGATCCACCCACCTCGGCCTCCCGAAGTGCTGGGATTACAGGCTTGAAGAGATCTGATGGTTTTTTAAGGGGCTTCCCCCCACTTCGCTCTGAACTTCTCCCTGCTGCTGCCATGTGAAGAAGGATGCATTTGCTTCTCCTTCCATCATGATTGTAAGTTTACTGAGGCCTCCCTAGCCCTGCGGAATGGTGAGTCAATTAAACCTCTTTCCTTTATAAATTACCCAGTCTTGAGTATTTCTTCATAGTAGCCCAAGAATGGACTAATACAGGCAGTATGGTCATTTTCATGATATTGACTCTTCTAGTTCATGAGCTTGGGATGTGTTTCTAGTTGTTTGTGTCACCTATGGTTTCTTTCAGCAGTTTTTGTAGTTCTCTTTGTAGGGATCTTTTACCTCCTTGGTTAAGTATATTCCTAGGTATTTTATTTTTTGCAGCTGTTGTAAAAGGGATTAAGTTCTTGATTTGATTCTCAACTTGGTGGTATAAAGCAGTGCTACTGATTTGTGTACATTGATTTTATTACCTGAGACTTTACTGAATTTATTTATCAAATCTTGGAATCTTTTGGAGGAGTCTTCAGGGTTTTCTAGGTATATGATCATATAATTGGTAAACAGCTGTAGTTTGACCTCCTCTTTTCCAATTTGCTCTTTCTTTCTCTTGCCTGATTGCTCTAGCTAGGACTTCCAGTACTATATTGAATAGAAGTGGTGAAAGTGGGCATCTTTGTCCTGTACCAGTTCTCAGGGGGAATGTTTCACCTTTTCCCCATTCAGTATGATGGAGTGCTGTGGGTCTGTCATACATGGCTTTTATTATTTTGGGGTAAGTCCCTTCAATGGCTAGTTTGTTGAGAGTTTTTATCATAAAGGATGCTGTATTTTGTTGAATACTTTTTCTGCATCTATTGAAATGATCATATGATTTTTATTTTAATTATGTTTATATGATATATCCCATTTTGAAGTGTGTTTTAATTGGCCAGTTTTTAGGGGGGATTTATTTTAGACAAAGGTGAAGATTAAGGGGTCTGCAATGGCCCTGCCTAGGCAATGGATCCAGCAGCATCAACCCCACAACTATAGGGGTATCTACTGGTCACTCTCGATTAATGAGAACATCATCTCTAGCTTCTAGTTTTTGCTTTGGCTGTGTCTTGGTTGAAGGAAAATGGAGGATTGTACAAGGTGCAAAGGGGCACTGTCGAGTTAGTGGTTTTGATAAATGGACCAACATGGGCAGGATATAGGACACTGGGGAGGAGAGAGGTGATACTAGGAAAACAGCTTCAGATTATGCTTCTGAAGCTGGGAGGTTACGAAGGCTTCTACAGTGGAGCCTTTCCTGCCCAGTCAGACTGTTGAGGACTTCAGGTTTCAGACTATACTAGGGATGGTTGGAGCCAAAGTATGGCAGCTGGAAGATGTGATCTCACTTAAAAGAAATGCAGAATCGGCCGGGCATGGTGGCTCATGCCTGTAATCCCAGCACTTTGGGAGGCTGATGTGGGAGGATCACGAGATTAGGAGATCAAGACCATCCTGGCCAACATGGTGAAACCCATCTCTACTAAAAATACAAAAAACTGGCCAGGCATGGTGGCTGGTGCCTGTAGTCCCAGCTACTCAGGAGGCTGAGGCAGGGGAATCACTTGAACCCGGGAGGCAGAAGTTGCAGTGAGCTGAGATCATGCCACTGCACTCCAGCCTGGTGACAGAGTGAGACTCCATCTAAAAAAAAAAAAGAAAAAAGAATCAAAGCCTGCCAGGACAAGACTGTATTGCAAATGCCTCTCCACTTGCAGAGATCAGACCTGATGAAGAAAGTGCACAGGAGAGAAGAGGGGAAGGAGAGCTCGGAGAACCAAATTCTGTCTTAAGCCGTCTGCCTTCTCCTGGCTTTGGCTAATGGTATTAAATACCCTCCACCCAGCCCCACCCAACATGCACATGTGAACACACGTGTGTGCAGCTTCTGTCCCTCACTGCTGCAGGGGACAGATTTGAGCTTGCCCCCGTGACATGCTTAGACACACATAAAGTCATAGTCACTTCTGCCCCCTCCTGCCCAGGACCCAGGTTCCCAAGGATCAACCGAGATCCCTGTTTCCCAGAGCCTTGCCCTGGTGGCTGTCGCTCAGTGATGCTTGGGCTGGCTGGAATCACAGCTCTGACCCCGCTCATTCCCCTGGAGCCTCTTTGGAATATTCCCTGGGTGGCTGGCTCTGGAAGGAAGCAAAGGAATGCATTTGCCCTGTTGTATGTCTGGAAATCTAAGTAGCCTGAGTGCCTGGAGATTAGCCTGTATTCTCCAAGCTGAGTTTCCCAACTCTCCTGGCTAGGACTCCTTGTATTAGTCCATTTTCACACTACTATAAAGAACTGCCAGAGACTCTTTTCCAATTTGCCCTTTCCTTTATGAAGGAAAGAGGCTTAATTGACTCACAGTTCCACATGGCTGGAGAGGCCTCAGGAAACTTACAATCGTGGCAGAAGGCAAAGGGGAAGCAAGGCACCTTCTTTACAAGGTGGCAGGAAGGAGAAGTGCCAAGTGAAGGGGTAAGAGCCCTCTATAAAACCATCAGATCTCGTAAGAACTCACTATCATGAAAACAGCATGGGGGAAACCACCCCCATGGCTCACTGATCTGCCTCCACTTTCTAGGGAAAGAATTTGCAAACAAGGAAGTTGCAGACAACTCACTGCTGGCACCGTGTGTGAACTGCCTACATTCTATTAAGGAATATAAGCTTAAACACATCCTAAAGCAATTATCTGTGAATTTGAAAATCATTGAGTAGTTCTATTATTTTTACCTTGACCATATATGGCCAGTTACTTAAATTAACACAAGTTCCAGGAGTATATCACCAATAATAAGTTTCTTTCTGTCAAGCAATGGGGGGAGGAAGTGGTGAGTAATTCCTGCCTCTGAGGTAGCCATGGGATAGAAATGTTTCCCATTTCAACCCATATGGATGCCTGCCTTAAATGCTAGTTGTTAGAAAGATGTACATTGGAAACCCTATTGCAAATAAATGTCACTGCAAGTTGTAGGGTTAACCAACAAGCGACTAAATTGATAATGATGAAGCTAAATTAATAGTAGTCTGTAGTTAAAAGACAAGAGTAACATTAATTAAAACCACAGTCACTCAGGATGGCATCTCTTCAAACCTTGCAAGTGTGCATTTCTGTGGGAGCATTAGTGCTGCCAGACTGTTTAGGAGGGCTTGGCATCAGAATCCTCTGGAAACACATTAATAAATTTAGTCTGTGCTACAAGATGGAGGAAATGTTATCTGTTAAAATTCCTCATAGGAAGGGAACTATACTTCCCTGCCAAATATCCCTTGGTGGGTCCTCGGGCTAGGAGATGAGGCGGCCGCCAGACCAGAATCTGGAGAGAGCTTTGAGGGAGAGGTGGGCTGGTGGAAGGGTGGGTTGGGGAATATGTGTCCACTGCTCTGGGTGAACAGGGAGAAAAGAACAGCGAGGTAATTGAAACACTCTGTTTGCAGTGTGACCTCTCTGCGTGAACATCACTGTTACAGGCTGAATGTTTGTGTCCCCTCCTCCAAATTATTGTGTAAAGCTCCAGCCCTTCCCCCAGTGTGACTGTATCTGGAGGTAGGGATTTTATAGAGGTATGTTATGGTTAATTGTGGTCACAAGTTTGGGGCCTGGAGCCAATAGTATTAGTGTCCTTATAAAAAGAGACACTGGAGACCCCGAGTATGATCTATCCTTCTCTCTCTCTGTCTCTCTCTCTCTTTCTCTGCCAGTGAGAAGGTGGCCATCTGCAAGGCAGGAAGAGAGCCCTCACTAGAAACTGAACCTGCAAGGACATTGATCTTAGACTTTCCAGCCTCCAGAACTGTGAGAAAATAAAGTTCTCTCATTTGAGCCACACGGTTTGTGGTATTTTATTATGGTAGCTCGAGCAGATGAAAATAACCTCCTACCTCTACCAACGCCCCCAACCTCCCAGCTCACAGAGTACAAGGGGGTTGGGGGTGGGAGCTAGGGAGGGGCCTGAGCTCTGTGCTCTAATTGGCCCTTGAGTGAGCCCCTGTGGACCCTGGGGCAGGTGAGAGGTAGTGGGAGCCCAGTGGCACAGAGAGAAGCATCAGAAAGTCAGCCCTGGCAGCTTGGAGACATCAGCCAGATCTCTAGACTTCCACAGGCTGTCTAACTGGATTTGGAGGCAGCAAGGGCTTCAGCTGAGAGCTGGGAAGACACACATAAGCATTGTGTTAATAACTTTGGCGCTTACATAATTGGGTATCAGTAAGGAGGCCTGAGATGAAAGAAGACAGGGAAGACCAGGAATTGCATGTTGTCATGGCTAAGTGCCCAGGAAGGCACCTGAACACTTGGACTGCTGGTGAGAGGCAGGAGGGGCCTCTGGGCCCCCTGCAGCTGCAGCCACAGCCCCCTCTTTGAGAACCACTAGTCAAAGGCACGGGTTCCAGGGAGGCCCCCAGAAGGCCACCCACTTACATTTTTCCAGCTCACACTCAGCCGTGTTCTTCCAGGAACTCCACGCCCCACAACCTGCAGCCTGGGCCTCAATCACTGGGATGATCCCGCTGTGAAGAGGGTCTGCTTATAGCTGGGTCCATCACGGTGGCAGTGGAGCCAGTATCACCTGGTGATGCCGCTGAGGACCAGTAGAGCCATCTGGGCCTGAGACCACCCTGAGCCCCCTGTGTGGAGGCCCCTCCTGTCTATTTTCTACTTTTCTGCTGTCATATTCTTCCCAGCCATGCCTGGGCCCAGCCTGATCCTCATACTAGCACCCTCATCGTCTTCCTCGCAGCTCCCAGGCAACCTGCTACATCCTGCCCCTGCCTTTAACCCAGGGCTCCTGGTAGGGGTAGAGGCTGACGTGTCCTATCAAAATCATCTGGGCAGCGTTCTCTCTCCATGAGGGCTCCACACCCCCAGCAGTGTGACTTTGTAGCCCCCTCATCAAGAGCTGGAGTCTGTTCCCCAACCCCTTGAGTCTGGGCTGGCCTTGTGACTCACTTTGGCCGATGAAATGCCATGCCCAGAAACATGTGGGTTCTGAGCTTAAGCCTTCAGAGGCCTCGCGTCCTTCTGCTGTCTTGCTTCCCAACCTTTGCTGTGAGAACAAGCCGAGACCAGCCTCCCGGAGGGTGAGAGACCATATGGCACAGAGCCCAGTCATCCCAGCCAAGGTCCAGACATGGGAGACAGCCCACCTGAGGTTAGCAGCTCCCCAGATTTGGGTCTGCCCTAAGGGGAACAGTGGACTCTGCAACTGCCCAAAGCGCTAAATGCAGAAGCCCTCCCTGCTGCATGGGGTCTTTTCCCAAGCTGACCTTTAGGGTCTTGATGAGCCCTGCCTGGCTACCTCCATGACAGTCCTCACCTTCCAAGCAGATCTTCTCAGAGAGGCTGGTCAGTGGCAGGGTCCCAGAGCCCCCGGAAGAGGCCGCCACGCCCTCAGCCTTGCAAGCCAGAGCAAGACATGAACTCAGTCTGCAGAAAGACATGGTCTTGGCCCTTGGATGCTGTCTTAAGGGCTGTAGTGGGCAACCCCACAGATTGAGGCAGTCAGGGAGGCAGTACGCCTGTCCCAGTCAGCCTTGGGAAGAAGATGTGGCTGTGAACTCAGGACTAGCCGCCCTTCAACCCGCCTATGCGGTGGGATGCATGAAGAGCAGGCCTCAAATCCAAAGTCTAAGCGCCAAAGGTTCACTGTCCCCACATTTCTCTCATGAGTGTCTGCCTTTCTACTAGTTTCTAACTGGGAAGCTGAGGTTGTGAGAGTTTTCCTGAAAGACTGGGGTGTCTGGTGTTCATGTTGGACCCCAGGTGGGGTGAGGCTTTCAAGTATGAGCAGTTTCCCTACCCCCTCTCCCACCCACCCCTTCTCCAGGCCTGAGCCAGCCAGGTAGAAACATGGGATCTTGGTCTAAGGACCCCGTGGATCACTCAAAGCCCCCTGCTTTGCAGAGTGAGACCTTGTAAGGCCTTACAAGGGCCCGATTGGTGTTCATAGAACTTGGCCTGAGCCTTGCAGCAACACCAAGCTCATGGCTTATAGGGCAGTCTGCTCTGGAATAGTGTGATTCCAGCTACTAGAAAAGACTTCTTGGCCGGGCATGGTGGCTCACACCTGTAATCCCAGCACTTTGGGAGGCTGAGGTGGGAGGATCTCTTGAGCCTAGGAGTTAGGATCAGCCTGGGCAACAAAGTGAGCCCCATCTCTACAAAAAATCAAAATATTAGCTAGGTGTGGGTCCAGCAACTCGGGAGGCTGAGGCAGGAGGATTGCTTGAGCCCAAGAAGTCAAGGCTACAGTGAGCTATGATTGTGCCACTGCACTCCAGCCTGGGCAAGAGAGTGAGACCCAGTCTCAAAAAAATAAAAATAAAGGAAAAATAAAGAGAAGGAGGGAGGGAGGGAGGGAAGGAAGGAGGAAGGAAGGGTGGGAGGGAAGGAGGAAGGGAGGGAGAGAGAGAGGGAGAGGGAGAAAGGAACGAAGGGATGGAGGGAAAGAGGAAGGGAGGGAGAGAGGGAGGGAGGGAGAGAAGAAGGGAGGGAAATAAATGAAAGGAAGAAAGGGGAAAGAAAAGAAGAAAGAGGGAGAGAAAGGAAAGAAAGAAAAGAAAAGAAAGGAAGAAAGAAGGAAGGAAGGAAAAGAAAGAGAAAGAAAGAGAAAGGAAAAGTCCTCTTGCTCATCTGAACCCTTCCTCCCATGCTTTCTCCCTATATCAGTTTCCTAAGGCTGTGTAACAAATTACCACAAATTCTGTGGCTTAAAACAACAGAAATGCATTTCCTCATAGTTCAGGAGGCCAGAAGTCCAAATCAAGGTATTTGCAGAGCTATGCTTTCTCTGAAGCTTCTTGGGCAGGATCCGTCCTTGCCTCTCCCAGTTCCTGGTGGCTCCTGGCATTCCTCGGCTCGTGGCAGCATCCCTCCAGTCTCTGCCTCTGTCTTCACACAGCCTTCCTTGCTGTCTCTCTGGGTGGTCCCTCCTCTCCTCTTCCTCTAAGGACACCAGTCATTGGATTTGGGGCCCACCCTAAATCTAGGATGATTTCATCTTGTGATCCTTAACTAGTTTCACCTTGCAAAGAGCGTTTTTACCAAACAAGGTCATTTTCTGAGGCTCCAAATGGACATGAATTTGGGGGAGGACACCCTTTAGCCCATTACGTTCCTTCATGGTTCCTCCTCTGCCCCAGGCCCCCACTGAGCACTTGTGCTTCCTCAGCCCCCAACAGCCCTCCAGGATCAGACATTAGCCATGCTCCTCAGCTTCGGTCCAGGGCAAACAGCCCCGCTCCTTCCACAACTCTCTCCAGCCCTAGTCTCACTTCATGATCTCCAAACTCATCACTATCCTCTTCATCCCCTTCTGGACCACCAGTTTGTCAAAGTCCCTCTTAAAACATGGCTCTTTACATGGAGCCCAGGAACCAAATTCCCAGCCACTTCTCGTGCTGGGCGCAGTCCTCCTGACAAGAGAGCCTAGGTTGGCAGTGCCTTGGGTGGCTGAGGGTGTGACACTCTTGCCCGGGGCCCCTCCAGCCCCCAGGAGCTACCTTGTCTCCTCCAGCTGCAACTTCAGCAGTTGATTTTTTGACCCTAAATTCAGGATGTTGCATTTGCCCCACTGAGGTCCCCTGTTGGAGGTCTGGGCCCCGTATCTGTAGCCTCAGGAATGGAGTGTTTTTGGGCCCAGTGCTGCCCTCTGCTTCTCCCTTACAGCCCTAAGTGGAGAAAGCACCAGGGAGTTGGAGAAAGTCTCAGCTTTGGGGCCTGGCAGGGTGGATCGTGCCTGTAATCTCAGCATTTTTGGAGGCAAGGCAAGATGATCACTTGAGGCCAAGAGTTTGAGACCAGCCTGGGCAACACAGTGAGACCCCATCTCTACACAAAATTAAGAAATGAGCTGGGGGTGGTGGCATGCTTCTGTAGTCCCAGCTATTTAGGAGGCTGAGGTGGGAGGATTGCTTGAGCCCAGGAGTTGGAGGCTGCAGTGAGCTATGATCGTGCCACTATACTCCAGCCTGGGTGGCAGAGTGAGGCACCACTTCTTTAAAAAAAAAAGCCTCATCTTTTGAGGCCCAGGTTTGAATCAGCCTATTTTCCCTGTTCCCCCTTAGCTCTACCGCAATCCTCCCAAAGCAGCTCCAAGCCAGCCCTGGCCCTTGGGAGGGCAGGTGGCCCCTCAGACGGGGTCTCCTCCTGCCTTCATTGGTGTAGCTGGAGCACCAGAACGGGGCTGTTGTTAACACGGAAGGGCCTGAGACAGAGACTCAGATCAGACAACTGCCTCTCTCTGGCATCCCCCATCCAGGGCTCTGAATTCTCACTCAGAAACACTCACTGACTGAGCCTTTGGTGTGCAGGTTGGCGACAGTGTTCCTTGGGCTGGCCCCTTAGGCTAAAGCCCTAGCATCTCAAGCCTCAAAGACTAGCCCCCAGCCCCAATCCTTAGCTGTGCAGAGGGCATGCACAGCAACCAAGGTCCTGGGGCCTTGCTGGAGCTCAGCCTTTCAGGAATTTGCAAGCAGTGAGAGTTCAGAATTCTACAAATAAAGAAACTGGGGTCAGCAGGAAGAGAGATCAGGCCTGCTAAGCTCCGGCATCAGAGCTCTCTGGAACCCCACTCAGGCCAGCTGCACCCTCCCACTGGCTGCAGAGGCGGAGGAGGAGAGGAGGTGGGAGAACTGAGGCTAGGTGCTGCCCCACCCTCCCTCCCCAGGCCCCACTGCCCCCACCTGCAAGGAAGCTTTCCACACAAATGACAAAGAAGCTTCATCAGGCAGGACTCCCTTAGCCTCCTCATTCTCTGGAAGCTCCCTCTGTCCCCACTCTTAGATCTGAAGATCCCATCAGCCCCTCCCACTGCCCCTGGGGCTTCCTGGAGCTGCCTGTGCCATCGTATAGCACACCTTGGCTGGATTTTCTGATTATACACACACACACACACACACACACACACACACACACAGAGTAAAAACCCAAACACCACAGAAAACTGTAAAAATAGAAGGTAAAAAAAAAGTGACTTCACTACCCAGAGATGATAAGTGTTCATATTATCCTGACTTCAAAACACCTGCCTCTTGAGCCTTCTTTCTCTCTCAATGAATATGATTTTATGTAAATGTCATATTATAAATACACTTTAGTAACCTGCAGTTTTGTCAAAACAGTGCATAAAGGACATGTCCCCATGGCAGTGAACCGAGATGTGTATCGCGACCCTTCCATGGCTGCCCAGTAGCTCTCTCTGTCCCCTAACCGGCATTCCATACAGATGGACGCAGACGCTGATGGCTTCTGCGGTGGTAACAGCTGTGTAATGGGGCTGCCTCAGCACACTGCTCGTTTGTGTGATCAGCTCCTTTCTATAAATTCCCAGATGTGGATTTGAAGGTGAAAGGGCATGCTTATTTCATGTCTTGATCTGACCACCCAATGTCTTAAGGTGGTTGGGGCCCTCCCCGGGGGAAATGCGGTAAGTTATTTTGGATCCTGAGATTAATGGGAAGTCACTTTGAAGCAGGGAAACAAGGCTAACCAGACTGGGGCTCCTTGAGGGCAGGGGCCAAGCTCCCATCCAAGGGGAGGCAAGAACCTGCCACTCGGGCAGGGCTTCAGAACTGGAGGGGTTAATTAGAGATGGATCCAGAAATCTATAAACACCCGGAAATGACTGGCATGTGCTAATTTCTTCTTTAGTATTCACAATGGCTTTCTATTAATTAAGAAGAGACAGAGCCCAGGGGAGAGGCGACAGGCCGGGCATTCTGGCGCTGTTGGGCTGGGCAGGCTGCCCATCCTGGGTCTGCTGAGGGTGAGGGGGTAGCCAGGGCCCAGTTCGACCTTGATGGCACAGGCCAAGGACAGCATCGCTCTCAGGGACCCTCCTTGGGCAAGAGGCAACATCGTGCATGGGACAGGCAGCAGCTTTCAGGTATCTTGTTTTTGAAACTCAGTGACTGCTGGCTCTTGAGGAAACTGGGGACACAGGAGGCCCGGGTGGGGGATTAGGGTCTCCCATTTCCCAGGGAGTCCTTTCCATAGCCATGCAGGGACAGGGTGGACAGAATCCTTCCCCCATAGCTGATGGAGGAAGTGAGACTATACTGAGGTTTTTGAAGTGGGTCCACTTCTTTGGGTGTGATGGGCAGGGAGGATCCCGCCCTCTGCTGCTTGGCTGCAGGAGTAGGATTAGAGGATGGAGACCACCCTCAGTTATATCCCTCAGTCCCGCTTCATCACATGCTCGCTGCCCTTCCCTCCTGCTCCACCACCCCATAGAAGCTAGGGCTGAGCCAGAGCTCTGGCCCAAGTCACTCTGGACAGATGGGAACACCTGGAGATAGCCTGGGTTTGGGCGTGTGCACTGTGTATACGTGTGTGTGTGTGATGAGTGTGTCCACTGTCTTGTCTGCATGTTCAATGTGCATATCATTGTGTGTATGTGAATGTATGAGTGTATGTTCAAATCCCGACTATACCATTTTCAAGCCTCATGTGCCTTTGGGCAAGCTACCAAACTCTCTAGAACTCATTTTCCTCATCTGTAAAATAGGAATGGTGATAGTGCCCACTTCGTAGGGTTGCTGTGAAGATTATGTGAGTGTGTGTAGCACACTCAGAACAATCATTGTGTTTGAAAAGCATCTTTAGTCTGGAACCCCTTTCCCTTCTCTACTACTCCATTTATTTGGTGAGTTGCTACTCATTCTTCAAGACCCAGCTGAAGTTCAGGCAGCATCAGGTCCATGTCACAGTGCAGGAAGATCTACCCTTAGAGTCCTGGGCTCAGGGGCAGAACCTCAGTACCTAAAGAAGCAGAGAGGAGCCTGTGGTCCCCATATCTCATAGTCAGAACATGAATGTACAATGATGTGAACACACGTCAGCATGGGCTTGTACACATCTGTACAATGATGCGTGTATATACACAATGTATACCCACGCACTCACAATCTGCATGGATACAGGAGGTACAAATACTTTGTCCTCAGCATTTGCAGACGTAGGACTCACACACATAACCTTGGCATGCATAGTGCGCACAGATATAAGCCCTCCATTGTCTACAAACATGATGTAGAAGCAGAACTTATACACACACGCTTTGTACACATTTAGTACTTTGTTCACACATATATACAAAACGTATACTTTCTACACATAAACTGTTACATAAACTCTTTGTATATGCACAATGCAGACATAGAATGCACACCTATGTACACACATGGCATGGATGTATTCTTTTTACACAAGAATAACAAATACACTTGCACACATGTGTGTGCTCACACACACACACTGTACAGTCCCAAGTGCAAGGCCTCAGACTCTCACAAGCCACACAAACTGGCCTGTAGCTGCCATCCCTGGGGAAAACTCATCCTGAGCCAGTCCCCTCCCTTTAACCTTCAGCGCTGAAGGCTGCATTGGACCCACAGATGGGGAATTAATTGGTGTCATTAACATGAGGCATTGATAATGACTTCTCATCGATCCCTGTGGCAGATGTATGGCCACCCCAAGGTGGAACTGGGAGCTCAGGATTGGGGTCTGGGCCTCTCTTGCAGAGCCTTGATCTTTGGTGGCCACACTGGATGCCCCTGTTCCTGCACACAGACTGTGGTCAGGCCCCACCTTGCTGGATTCCTCGCAGAGCACAGAGGGGAAAGGGAACCCAGGGGAGATAAGCCACTTGCCCAAGGTCACTTGGCCTGCTAGAGGCTGGGGCCACCTGGGCACTCAGGACTCAGCCCCTCACATGTGAGCCTCCCCCGACCCCGTCTGTGCTCTCCCACCCCTTCTGTAGAAGTCGCTCTTGTCCCTCCTTTCCCTCCGGCTCTAACCGTCTCCTGTGGGGCTGGCCCTGTTCACAGTCTCTGTCCTGTGTCCTGGGGCCTTCAGTGAGACTGAGACCAAGAAGTGGAAGGGCTTGGCTGTAGGAAGGAGAGGGCCTGGGCTGCAAAGAGGATGAAGGTGCAGAGGCTGGCCTGGGACAGACTGACAGACCAGCAAACTCCTGCTCCTCCAAGAGGCTGCCTTCTCCAGGAAGCCTCCCCTGATGGGCCCACTCCAGGCCTAGCTGGATCCCCTTCTGATGCTTCAGCAACTTCTTCTCTATCCAGCCCTTATCCCACAAGGTTGTAGTGGTCTGCTTCCCCCTTTTCCTTCCCCACTGTGCCGTGAGAAAGTCTTCCTGTATGGACTTTGTCTAACGATCCCTGCAGCTCCTTCAGACTTACCCCAGAACAGGCAAGTAGTAGGTGCCTAATGGATGTTGAATAAATGGAAATAGACCGAGACAGACAGATAGACAGACAGATATACAGACAGGCGGAAAGGCTGAGACCAGAGCTGGAAGGACAAATGGAGAGGGGTGCTGAAGCCCGAGTTCCAGGACTCTGTGGGGTGGAAGGTGGGCGCATGGGCCTTGGGGGCTTGGCCAGGTGCCCAGTAATGGCAGAGAGTCTGTGTTCTCGGGGGCCCCCTAGAGGCTTCGGGTTCCCTTCCTGGGTTGGAGCCAGGCTACTTCCTCCTACCTGTCCTCTCAGGAGAGAAACGTGGGAAAGGTAGCTGAAGGCCCTGCAGCCGGGAGCTGGGCTGGAAAGTGGCAGTGGGTAGGTGGAGGTGGAGGGGTGGTAACGGTAAATGGGATCCAAGGAATAGGATTCAGACTCTGTGGATTCAGACATGGGCAGAGGCTGAACTCATTCCCAGCAGCCCCCTGGAAGCCCAACCTGGGTCAGGCCCCTGGGGACACCCCCAGAATGGCTGGCTGCACTGAATTTGTTACTGTCACTGCATTTCCAGGGCTTATAATGAGCTGCTAATGAGCTGTCAGCTAATTATGAGAATTAAATGGGGCAGCGGGGCTGAGCTGAGTGTTGCTGAAAGCTTCTGGGGTGTCCGGCAGGGAGGGAAGGTCCCCGTCAGCTTCCTAGCCCCCTCATGAGGGTGAGAGTGGAGGAATTTGCTCTTGAAGAGAAAGGGAGAACTCCAGCAGCCCCAGAATAAGGCAATTCCAGCCCCACAGCTGGGGAGCAACTGCACCTCAAGGCAGGGCAGTGAGGCCTGTGGAGGGCAGCTGAGTGGCCCCAGAGGTTTGACTCTCTGTGTGACCTCAGACACGTCCCCCTGGGTCTAGAGTCTTTCCTTCTATCTGTAAAATGGGTTGGGAGGAGGAGAAGGGACTAACCAGCTGTTCCCTGCTGGCCCTTCCTCCCATCTCAGCCCAATCATGACACTGTGACTCCTCCCTCTTCATAGATGTGGCTCAGAGGCTCCCAGCTTTGTGAGCATAGGGATTTGCTTGGGCGGGGCGGGGGGGGTCACATGAAATAATTGGTGAACCCAAGTGGAGAAATCTTTAACCAATAGAAATGAGTGCATATGTTGACAGGTGCAAGAACATTCATAGCAACTATATGCGTAGGAGAGCAAAACTGGTACAACCCCTACGTCCATCAACAGAAGAAGGGATAAATAAATTGTGGCATATTCATACAATGAAGTAGTACACAGCAATGAGAAAGAACAAACTACGTACATAGACAGTCTTCATTTTATGTGATTCTGATATGCACAAATTCCAGTTACCATGGTTTAATTAAGCAGTTTCAGTCTCTCAACAAGGTGGTTCAAATTTCAGCCACCATTTTACTGGCATATTTTAAACTGTGAGTAGTGGCCTAAGGGGTAAACTTCCCTGCTGGCTCTTCAGTTTGCAGGTTGCTCCATCAATAGCAGATACATATCATGATCAATGACCAATCACATCACTCTTTCTAAGGCCGTTGGTGATTGGACACTGGGCATCTGCCAGGCAGTTCACACACAGCAAAGTGTGCAGTTGTGTTGTCTCTTTGTCTTCAGTTTAGAAACCCACATGACACTTCAGAAAAATCTCCAACTGAAAGAAGGAATTAGTTAACAAAGAGGAAATTGCAACAAAGAAATGAAAATGATAATGCTAGAAGTAAAATTCGACTCCAACGTAAATGGAGTTGTAGAAGAAATAGCTGACTGGGAACGTCCACCGACGACGTCGCCACCATTTGGCTCCACATGTGCAGCAGAGGAACTTAGTGAAGACGAACGTATTGACATAAACGAGGAAGGAGGTTGTGATGAAATGGATGAACATGCCCCAGAGATAGTGACGCTCGCAAAAACACTTCACACCGAAGGAACTTCCAGAGATATTTCGCAACATTGAAAACACAAAGGAGGAAATGTTGGAAGCAGATCCAAACTCAGAACACAGTCTGACAATTGGCCAACACATAGAAAAGATGCTTGCCTGTATTGTAAGTGACACGACCAGCACTGTTCAATCTGCTCTTCATAAGCTTTTTACAAAGAAATGAAACACTTTAATTCTTAATGTCTCTGATGTCTAAAATTGCATCAGAATTAAAACTAATACTAAATGAGTATTAGTTTTACTATTGTTTTTATTTCCCAACTATATTTATAACTAACAGTAACCGTTTTTAACGTTTTGACAAAGAAACTTCTAAAGGTCACAGAACAATTATACTTTTCCTCCACTGACTAGGATCTCCCCGTGTGATTTCAATTCGCACGGTTGTTTGTGTGTCCTGCACGCACCGCTGTGCAAAGCGAGAGCTGCTGGTACATGCACCTGCACAGATGACTCTCACAGAGACAACGCTGGGAAGAAGCCAGATGCAAAACACAAGTACAAACTTTATGATTCCAGTCACACGAAGTTCAAAGGCAGGCAAGACTAATCTATGGGGGTAGAAGCCAGAAGAGTGGTTACCTGGGGGAGGTGGGGGTACTAACTGGGTCATGAGGAAGTCCACTGGGGTGTGGGATATATTCCAGATCTTGATTTGGGTGGTGGTTTCAGGCATATGTAAATTTATTTTAAAAATCATCCAGCTGTATACTGAAAATGTGTGTACTTTATGTAAAATATTCTTAAATAAATAAATTTTTAAGTGGAGAAATCCTGTGAATTTTGTGCAGCTCCATCTTCAAGAATTTGACAGTATTCCATGTGGCTGGCCTTTTTCCCCTTCTTCACTCTCTTCCCTCGCCCGCCCCCAGTAATCCGGCCCTCCTGGTTGCCCTTCCCTCTCTCTGGCTACTCCTCAGCCCATGCCGGACTTCTCAGCGCTAATCTTCACTTTCTCCCACTTCGGTCATCACCTGCTGCTCTGGTCCCGCCCAAGGGGCACCTGCTCCACCCTGGAGCCCAAGCTCACCCAGAACCCTCCCCAGGCTCACTCCCTTCAGGTGTGCAGTGCGTGACCCTGTCACCCTTGTCTCCTCAGTCTCTCTCAGGAAGGAAGGAAAAAAGGAAAGGAGGGAGGAAGGAAGGAAGGGAGAGAGAGAGGAAGGAAGAGGGAGGGAGGGAGGAAGAGAGGGAGGGAGAGAGGCAGAAAGAGAGGGATGGAGGGAGGAAGGAAGGAGGGATGGCAAATGGATGGGAAAAAAAGGAGAAGGAAGCTGGCTGCTGCTGAGGAAGGGGCAGCTTCAGGGAGAGGCCGTGCAGGGCAGGAGCTGCTCAGGGAGGATCTGGGCCTGATCCCAGCTCTAGAGAAGCGACACCCCATTAATGCCTTCCCAGCCAGTGACGTGCCTCCCTAATGGAGTCTGGAACTCCACACTATTAGCCACAAATGGCGTTTTGAAATGGTTTTTTTGTTGGGTGAACCCCAAAGACATTGCTAAGATTTACATTTTCAAATATATGCTGACCTTTTTTTCCTCTTTCTTTGAGTTCATTTGTCATCAGTGTATAATTGAATCAATATATTTCCCGATCAGCCCCAAGATTGAATAAGGTCACGGGGAGCCGTGTGTGGGCATTAGACATCATTATTTCACTCCGAATGAGCGACCATGGCATGGAGCATTCCGGGCGCCAAATGAAATTCCATTAGATTCTATTACACTTTTACAATTATAGAGACGTTCCAATATTACAAGGGGAAATGAAGTCATCATAAAAAAGCCCAGAGGTGTATTACAGAGAAATGGGCACACTATTTTTCTAGTTAAAAACTTGATGGACGGAGCTTGACTGGCTCTCGGTTGCCGATATGTGACCTTGTTCTCAAAGCCCCTCAGTCGCTGGGCCCCGGCCCTCCCTTCCCAAGCCTCTGCTGCCCAGAGAACAGTCAGAGCCAGAGTTTGGAAGGCAGCTCACCCTCTCTAGTCAAACTGAGTCCAGCTCCTAGGCCCCATGGAGGCACAGACTTGTTCCAAACTGATGTCACATCTGGGGCAATGAGGCAGCCGAGATACTGAACCGTCCTGGGGAGGTGTCTGACCAGGTGAGAAAGAAGCAGAGTGGCCAAGCAGGCATGTGAGAGGGTGGCCATGGGCCCGCGTGAGCACAGGCTCCTGCCCACTGACATATGGGGCAGGGGATCCAGCAGTGGTGGGGTGGGTGCCCACTCGCTGCCGTGGAACACCCCCTCCATGCCACTGTGCTGCTGTGTGGGCCAGGGATCCTGCCATCCTGTCCTGACCCTTGCAGAGGCGTTCCACCAGCTCCACGTACAGATAAGACAGAGCCCAAGGTGAGCAGCTGGTGGGGCTTCCTGAAGAAGCAGAGGAGACAAGCTAGGCTTTGAGGGATTGGGAAAGCCTGGATATAGGGATAAGAGAAGAAGAGCCCCAGAGCTCAGAGGGGAGGAGAGACCAGTGCAACGAAAGGTCCAGAGGTTGAGGCGAGCCTGGCACATTGAGAGTCAGGGATTGGTGGGGGCGGTGGAGAGGGCAAATGCTGGAGAGTGAGCAGGTGGGTGGGGGCTGGGGTGAAGGGCGGGGCCTCAGCCTCTTGGGAGACCTGAGGGCAGGCAGGGGTCTGGTCAGATGCAGGTTGGTGGCTGCCCAGGAAAGGCTCGATGTGGAATGAGGTGCAGGCTGGACAACCACCCAAGGGAGGCAGGACAGGGGGCCAGGAGGGAGGCTCAGGCGGGTCTCTGAGACCTGGGTGGTTGTCCCGGACCATCTTGGGAAGAAGGAAGTGACAGAGCCTCTTGGGAACAGGCATGGAGCCCTCCCCTTCCCTCTGGCCCTGCCCAGGTGCAGGGATAGCTGGTGGATAGATGAATGAACCTCAGGCTTTCCAGGAACACTGTTAGGTGGGATAATGGTTCACTAACCTTTCGCTCCCCTCTCTCTTGAGGTATACATTTTCCCACCCAAAAATGTTGGGCCTGGCCGTATGTGGTAGGCAGAATTGTAAAGGTGACCCCCCAAGATTCCTGATCCCTATTTTTCAATGCAACGCTAATTTAGGTACTGCTGTGGAGGGATTTTGCAGATGTAATTAAAGTCCTAAGTCAGTTGACCTTATGATACAGAGATTATCCACATGGATCTAAACCAAGCAAGTGAGACCTTTAAAAGCAGAGCATGTTCCCTGGTTAGCAACACAAAAGGAAGCCAAAGAGTCAAAGCACGAGAAGGATTTGTTGCACTATTGCTAGTTTGATGATGGAGGGAACACATGACAAGGAATGCAGGCGGCCTCCAGAAGCTGGGAGCAATGCTGGGTGCCAGCCAGCAAGGAAACGGGGACATCAGTATTCCGAGGGCATGGAAAAATCCTGCAGCCGCAATAGCAGGAATGAGCCTGGAAGAGGAGCCCCAGCTCCAGATGAGAATGCAACAGCTGACACCTTGATTTCTGCCTGGGCAGAGAGCCCATCAGACTGTGCTGGACTTCTGACCTACAGACTGTGGACTCATAAATGGGCATTGTTTTAAACCACCAATTTCATGGTAATTTGTAAAGCAGCAATAAAAGACTAATATATGCCATGACTTGTATTGGACAATGGACAATGGAAGTGACAATGTGGACCTGGGGCTAGGCCTTGTGTGTTTCTGCCTAGCCTCTCGTGCTCCTTTGATGGTTAGAGATGAGGAAGTGCAGGCCCGGGAGCTGTGCCTTCTGCTGGGCCAGAGGAACCGGCCTGAACCCAACAAGACCCTGCAGCCATCCCTTGCTGACCAGCATCCTGAAGTGGAGTCACCCAGCCAACCTGCAGACCTGGGAACAGGCAAATCAATGTTGCTCTAAACTGTGGAGTTGTAGGGTGTCATGCCACCATCAAGTCGCAGCAATAATTGAATTTACAGATACCTGCATCTTAGCAGCAGCCAGGAACAGACTGGGACAAAGAGGCAGGGGCTGCTTTGAGGTCCTAGAGCAGTCCTCTTGTGCAGGGGTGAGCCCTGGAGGCCAAGGCTTGGGCTGAGCCAGCCTGGACCACAGCACTGGAACATCAGCTAACTGTCCTTACTACCACCCTGGGTGTGTCTGCATGCCCTTTCTGTTGGGGTCACCTCTGGAAGTCACCATGCCTCACCAGGAAGTCTCCTTTCTTCTAAGAAAGCTGGAGCCCCATGGCCTTTCTCTTGCTGCTAAGGGGGATGCTTGCCTTTGCCCAGGCAAGTTCTGCTAGACCACCCCTGTGCCAACTGCACAGGAAAGTGTCAGGCCCTTGCCCCCGAACTCAGGGGACACAGGCCACATCCCCTCAAGAACCCCTCTCTCTGATTGCAGGGCAGTGCTGTCCCGGCCCTGGGGGAGAGGAGGGGAGAAGAGCAGCTCTACATGGTCGCTCCAGAGAAATCCTCACTTGTCTCACCCACCACCTGGAGGCAAGTGACTGAGGAGGCGCGCAGGCCTATGAGGCTCTCTGCTCAGCAAGCCTTGCCCGGACCACCCAGCATCATGCTGTTAAGACATGGGGTCTGGGCTTCTGTTTTCCCCAGCATTGGACCTCAGTTTAGACCAGCACCTCTCCCTGCCGTTTTAAAATTTACTTTGAAATAACCTCAACTTTACAGAAAAGTAGGAAGTCCAATACGCATAACTTTTTTCCCTGAGCCATTTGAAAACACAGGGTGATGACGTGGGGCCCATCAAGAAAACACTTCAGCATGCATTTCCCTCAACACCTTCTCCTTCAACACAGCAAAATCAGCAAATTAGCACTGACATATAACTAGCAGTCAGTCTTCTGCCCCACTCAAGATGCACCAAGCATCCCAACAATGTCCTTTAGAGCAAAAGGACCCAGTTTTGGGGTCACACATCTCACTCAGTTGTCATGTTCCTCTGTCTCCCTCAATCTGGGATAGTGCCTGGTCTTTCCTGACCTTATTGCCTTTGTGATGACAGGCCGGTATTGGACAGGCTGTCCCTCAATCTGGGTTTATCTAACGTTTCTCAAGGGTCAACGCAGGCTGTGCGTGTTGGGTAGGCCTGTTACTGTGGGCTCATCCCCGCGCTTCTTGTCGGGAGGCACAGGGTTTTGACTGTCCCATTGCTGATGCTCACTTTGATCACGTGAGGAAGGTGGTATCTGCCAGCCTTCTCTCCACTGTAAATTTATTCTTTTTCTGTTTGTAATTAATAACTATGTGGGAAGGTATTACGAGACTGTGTAAATATCCCATTCCTCATTAAATTTTCAATTTATTCATTTATGTCAGTATGGATTCATGGCTTCCTATTTCTTTCAATGGGTTATAAACTGCTACTATCATTATTTATTTTGATGTTCACGTTGCCCCAGATTTGGCCAGTGGGAGCCCCTTCAGGCTGGTTTGTCGCAGCACCCGCCCCCTCTCACTGTCCCAGCTGTTCCTGGCCATTCCTCGGGTGGAAGAGTACCTGGATGACCTCTACAACCATCTCTTCACCCTCCAGGCGCCCTGTAGCAGTGCCTTTAAGACTACTCTTTCAGGCCGGCATCTTGAGCGCTCATTTCCCAGCCTGACGGTTAGACCTTGGCCGGAGGGCAGACCTCAGCCCCTGCCCTTGGCTGGCACAGATCTGGGTTGAGCACACAGGCACAAGGCGCCCCCACTCACCAATGCATTGGAGGCGGACTGAGCTGTTGGCTAAGGGAGTCTATGCAGCTTCCTCAGGTGTGAGCAGGGTGGGGTCCCAGCTCATTTCTAGAGCTCAGACATGCCCCCCCACCCCAAGCTGGGACTCCCCCAGTCCTCAAACCCTGACGTCTTCCAGTGTGGTCTTCCCTGGTGTCCCAGGAGAGGGCAGGGTTCAGCCCGGCTCTGCGGCCACTGGTGGGCAGCCGGTGATTTGTAGGGGAAGTGCAGGAGAAGGCCCAGTGGCAGCTGTGTCATAATAGAAGACATGTGGGCAGAGTCTGGAGAACCAAGAGAGGGCTGCTTTGAGCTCAAGCTAGGAAAAGAGGCTGAGTGACACCAGGAGCCTGTATGGGGAGGCGGGGCCAGAGAGACTCTGGCCATACAGGCAAGCCCCTGTTAAACCAAACTTCAGAGTCGATAGTGGCCAAGCTGAGCTGAGTACCTGCAATTTTCTGGCTTCAGTTGTCTTACCTCTTCAGACATTTCCTAATGTGGGGCTCTGGTGACACACTGGGTGTGAGCTCATCTGAGCTGGTGGCCCCATGTAGAGCTCCCCTACTCCAGTTTTCAGGAGCAGTTTGCATGGCTCAAAGGTGACCCTAGGGTGCACCTGAAGGCTGCAATTCCTGGGGGATTCCTGGAGGGGGACTGTGGGCCTCCTCTTCTTCCCCAGCCTTCTCCTAGTGGGGAGGGGTGTGAGGGCAGGAGGACCCTTGGGGAGTTCAGGGACTTCCCTGCAGCAGGCTCCTGCCCCTCCCGCGGTTCCGAGCCCAGGTTCTGGCTGTGCAGAGGCCTGGAGCTCAAGGCTAATTGTGAATTAGGAGCCCAATTATGCCCGGCACAACTGGCTCTGCACTGCCTCCTCTTCCCGACAGACATGTATATTAATAGTTGGCACTTATTGAACCAAATATGAATATTCATCTTCATTTATATTTCAAGGCCTTTCCTCCTGGAGGCCCGCGGGGCTGCGACCAGCTCCAGCCCCATCACGGAGCTGACAGCTCGCACTCCTGGGCCCTGACTCCTGGCTCCGCGGGCTGCTGGGCGGGCTCCCAGCTGTCCACAAACACTCATTGCGGGGGCCGGACCCAGCGAGCTGCAGAGAATGTGTAATCGCGCCGCGCGCTGCTAATTAGGGAGCCGATGGGGCATTGAGGGCAAGAGGACGAATTCTTTAAACAGAGGACGGGAAACTTGAAGAGCTGTAATTACTTGGAGCAGAGTTCATTTCAGAACTTGGGAGCCAATGAGTCTGATGACAGCCCTGCCGGGAGGAGGGAAGAGGGCAGGCCGGGAAGGAGGGAGACAGCTGGGGCTTGGGCACCCAGGACCTCAGGCTGCACAACTGCGGGGCAGCGCCTCCACCTTCATTTAATGCAGTCCAGCTGTGTGGGCCCCGCCCCACTTCAGGGACGGCTTCCTCTAGCTCAGGGCCAACTTGGGGTCAGGCTCCTGTCTCTCTTGCACAGTCAGCTCCAGAGTGCTCCCCTGGCATTGGGGGTCATGCGGAGTGCTCTCAGCTCCACCAAGGGCCTTGGACCTCCATAGACAGTCACCACTGCTGAGAGCCATGAGTCACGGTCCAGCTATCTGACAGCTGGTGTCCCTGTTTCCCAAAGCCAGCGGAGATGAGGGTCTTCCGGCTCCTCAGATGCCCCAGCCGGAATTGGCAGGAATTGCTATGGACAGAGGGAAAGTTTACAGGCTCTCCAGAGCCTCCCAGGCATGTCCCTGATACTGTTGATCCTTTATAGGAACTGCTTCTTCCTGGGTGCCCTCATGCTCCAAATCTGCCCCCATCAGCCCTAAGGTCCCCCCACGCCCCCACCACTGGTCTTCTTTAAACCTCCCTGTCTGACATCCCACCCACCTCTCCCACGAAAACCTCACCACTGTCCGCAGGAAAGGATGACAGTGGCGAGCCGTCGGTCCTCCCTCGCAGGGCAGGGTCCCCTGTCAGCCAGTCACTTTGGAGGAGTTTGAGGCCCCCACTCCTTCTTCTCCCCCTCCACAGCCCCTTCCCCTAAGGCCCAGTGCCACCTGGGTCTCACAGGACTGCTGTGGGCAGGAAGAGCTCCAGGCTCACAGTCAAAGGTGGACGTGGATGCTCCTGGGTGGATTTCCCTGTCTCTGTTCCCACTGGGGTGAGCTTCATACCTGTAACTAACGGGCAGATTCCTGCACACCTCCTGTAAGTCCCACTCAATTTTCAGCAACTGTTAGATCTGAATCTGTGCTCTGAAAGGATGTACTTCCTCAGTTAGCAAAGTGTAATCCTCCGTCCCCAGCTCCCCACCCCTGCACCCCCTGTTACGGGGTAGAACGGCGTTTGGTTTCTTTCCCGTCAGCTTTTACTCCCTGTTACTCAAGGAGAAGCTCCTGGCTCAAACTCCATTTGTCAGGTCTGCAGCCTCACTGCAGAACAGACCTATCAGCACTCCTTCTCCATGTGGCTGCTGTTTGTTGCATGCCAACTGTGATGATGATGGTGATGGTGATGGTGACAGCAACAAAAGCTACCATTTACGAAGCGCTTCCGACATGCCAGGCACTGGTCTAAGCACCTTGTGTACTCACTCGTTCAACCCTCTCAGTAACCCTCAGTGGATAGTATTAGTATTTATCATCCCCATTCTACAGATGAGGAAGTGGAGGTTCAGAAAAGCTTAGTGGCCTGTTGGTAAGTGGCAGAGCAAGATGTGAAAGCCAGTCCACCTGGCCCCAGAGGCTGTGCTGCTGGCCTCAATCCCTGACTGCACCTGGAAGGGCGGGCCTGGAGCTGCTGCTCAGGCTGGACAAGGAGAGGAAGGAACACCCCGTTTTTGTAGATGGAGAGGACAGGGTCAGAGGACAGCCAAGTCATTCCTCCAGGTCTCACCCAGCTGGGCACCAGTTGTGCGACCCAGTGGGAAATCTGGGCAGCATCTCCTCACTTCGACCTAGAGCCGTCCAGTACCGTAGCCACTAACCCCATGTGGCTATTGAAATAAATGAAATGACAGATTTGATTCCTCAGTCAGACCAGCCACATTTCCATGCACAACAGTCAGGTGTGCCGTATTAACCTCTGTGGTTATCAGTCACCCCATACTCAGTGCATGTGGCCTGCCCAGCTTGGGGTAGAACTTTGAGGCTAAAACCTTTGGGAATCTTCTCCCTGGCACCCTCCAGGCCTCAGAGTACTGACTGCCTGGTGAGGGCAGCATGGGAAGGGTCTCTGTGGGAAAGTTGATGGGAAAAGCCCCACCCTCACACCTGCCTCTGCAGCCCTTGTTCAAGCCTCAGAAGCCGCAATTAGCAGGCAGCGGCCGCTGCTTGAACCCGTCGTTCCCCTCCTCCCGGAAGCTGGAGGCCAGGCAGCTCCAGCAGCTTTGCTCTTTTTTTCTGCAAGAAGAGATCAGAAACAGAAGCATTCAGGCTGCGCCTGGCTGGCTTCTCTCTCGGCATGAAGTCTGTGCCCAGCCCTGCCAGGCTGGGCTTCCAATTACGGAAGCTCAGCTTCAGCCGCGGAGGGGCCGGCGCCCAGCCAGCAACCCACCTGGCCCCCTCCTCTAATCAGAGCCTAATTGATGTGGGCTTGCCCGCAAGTCTTGCAGCACTCCTCTTGCTTCCCCAGCCCCAGCTGCTGCTCCTCAGGGAGCTCAGCCCTTTGTCCCTGCAAGTTTGAAACCATCTGAACAGAAGGTGGCAGCTCTGTGTTCACAGCATTCTGGACTTTCTTCATGCCCCTGGGTGGAAGTGTACCTGGATGGTTTCTGGGAGAGGATGTTCAAGTCACCTCCCCAGTTGCTTCCTAGACCTGTGCTTGAGCTGGGTGGGGCTGAGCATGATGTGGGGTGTCTGAGGGGTGTGTGTGTGTGTGTGTGTGTGTGTGTGTGTGTGTGTGTGTGAGGTTTTGCAGACTTGTACTCTGGAATGTTGATCTGCTAGGGAATTAGGCTTCTAGCTCTGAGTATGAGCACCTGCCTTCAACCTAGGACACCTGGATGCCCTTAGGACTGTACCTTAGGATAGGATATTTTATCTGGGGAAATAGGATGAGGAGGAATGAGGAAGGGAAATGAGGGTGAGAGCGGAGGTGGGGTAGGGATGGGAGGATTCTGGGAGGCAGTTCCGGCCGGGCCTGGCAGGGGTTTCTCCTAACTGATGCCACCTCGTCCCTGGAGCTGTTTCATGTGGAGAAAGAGCAAGGAGGAGAGGAGGAGACACGGTGGGTAACATAGTGTTCTCATCTTGGCGGCTCACCTTGCAGTTTGCAAAGTGATTCCTCTGGGTTTATCTCCGTGGCTCTGCAAAGCAAGCAGGGCAGGACACTCGTGCCCAGTCTGCAGAAGGGGAAACTGATTTGATGAATGTCACATAGGGCCAGAGGTGGCAATGAAACCTGACCCTTGTCCCCAGGCTCTAACCACCCAGCTGTGGCCCATGGCTGCCAACAGAAATTCCAGACCTTCATCCCACCCTGGGAATGCCACTGCTAGAGTGGTCACATTTGGTTCCAAATGGCCTGGATCTGGGGCTGTGGCTGTTTTATATGCAGTTTTAGGAAGAATGGCACAGATGAGAGACTTTAAGTTCACTCAAAACAACCTTGAAAATGACAGAAGAATTCCATCCAGGCTGCAAGGGTAAAAGGCACCCCACACTCCCCCAGGCCTCCTCCGAGGAAGACCCCCTCTATTTGAGACAGCCGAAAAACAATGGGGAAGGGAGAATTTTGGACATGGACTGGTTGTAACTTAAGGTGGGGAAAGAGGAGGGGGTGGTGGCACATTTTTGGCTTAAATGTCTAGGTGGCCTTGGAGTCCATTAATAATGTCCTGTTCTAACCGATTTCAGCAGGTTTGGGGACTGCAGCTGCTCTAGTAGGTATCAGTGGAACTAGAAACGGAGCTGTGTGGATGGGCTGCTGATTGTCCCCCAAGGGAGGCAGCTATGCTTCTGTGAGACAGATCAGAAAGTCAAGAGAGACAAAACCGGGTGACTAGAGACAAAAGGACGCTTTGACAACTGCTCCCAGCTTCCTTCAAAGGAGGGCTTTGCCAAGCTGCTTAGTCAGAACCCAAGCTATTGACTGGGTGTGGCCACAGGCTTAGCCGGCACCAACTCAGGTTCGTGGCTTCTTGCTGACCCAGGAAGGGTGTGAGCCCTGGGTCCTGAGGTCATCTCTCCTCTGCTCCTCTCCTCTCATCCCTTCTGGTTCCATGGCCTGGGAGGATATGTGGGCTCAGAACCTCTCGTGGGGTTTCTCTGTGTCCTCCAGGCCCACCTGGATGTGCTGATGCCACAGGTAGATCTAGGGAGTGAAAGACCCTGCTGAGGACCTCAAGCCGCTGGTCCATGTTCCCGTCAGCTAGCAGCACGCGGGGCCAGGGCCGTGGGCATTCACACAGCACGGGTGCTCATGAGCCTGGGCTCTGATTTCTGTTCTGCTGCCGCTCCCTCTGGAACCCCACTGGAAGAGTGGTGGTATGGGGGCAGGATGCAGGCATTCCTGGGTCCCTGGCAGAAATAATCTCTAGCAGCACCAAAACCTCACTCTTAACCTAGAATGGTTATTAACATATTAATTAATATTTAAAAACTCATTACGCCTTGATGATGGCTTCCTTAATCTGCTTTTATATTAATTGCAGCCACCCAGGAGCCATAACCATACTTATGTGGCAAAATGGAGTCATTCTACTTAATTACTGAGGCAGTTTTACAGGCAGTCTTCAAAGCGCACAAACAATCAGAGACTTGATGTGATGTCTTCTTTTTAGATTTTCTTTTACACTGGATGCTGTGATGGTTGGAAATTTTTTCTTATATTGGACTAAAATATTCTGATCGACACCCCTGCTGCCCTCTCCATTATAACACCCTGGAGCACCTGGTCTCTCCAGATGCTGGCCCCTAGGAGAGCCTGTCCTGAGGCTGTGGACCTTGGAGGGTGAGGAAGCTCTAACACTCACTGAGCCCCTTGGGGCTGCCACCCCCAGACAATACCACAGTCCTGGGAAACCCTCTCCTACTCCTTTTGGCAGGTTCTGCTTTTGAGTTCAGGGCTGAAACCCTAGAGCTCTGTCCATGGTAGCATCAGTCTTCAAGGCACACTGTGCCTTCAATGTTTTCATTTACCTGGGGGGTCATCCTGCTAGGCTCTGGCCACAGCATCTCTCCTCCCGGGCACCTGCTGGCTTATTTCTAAACTCCTTTTCCCCCAAACCACTGCCTGGCTTTAAAATGGGTCACACAGCCACCACCCACCAGCTTTGCCCACTGCCCAGGGGATGCTTTGACGGCAGTAGAGGCAGCTCGTGCTTATTTGTTGGGACAGTTGCAATGGGGAAGGTGATGGGACAGAGGCCACGTCAGGCCCTGCTGGTATTTCTCCTGCTGGTATGGGAAGATCTCAGTCCTCCGACCGTGAGCGCCGCTGAGGATTTTAGGGTTTCTCTCATTTTCCAGCGGGGCTGAAGGCACGGCCCCTGGGCGGGGAGCCCTCATGGTGTGTGCCTAACCTTCTTCCATCAGCTCCAAGGGGATGGAGGAGCTCGTGGTGGTATCCAGGTCTCAGGTGAGCCAGGAGTGCGAGGCCGAGGTGGAATGGACCAGGCATGGCATCTGTCTTTTAGGACAGCAGCAGAACATATAAGCGCTGAAGCGTGCACCTGTCCACCTCCGGACGACGCTCCCACACCCAGCATCCCTGCTGGGGCCTGCCCCGAGAAGGCCTGCCAGAGCAGGGAACAGAGTCAAATGGTGTCGAGAGATGGAATCAGCCTCTTGTGCTTTAGAAATTATGGTGAAGTGACAGGCAGGGAAATTGGTGACTCCCTCCTGTGGTGCTGATAACACCAGAGCTCATCCATCACCCGTGCAGGGACGGCCAGAACCATGCAGAGCCCCGGCTGCCCTAAGGGGTCCCCTGTGGCCCTCATGGTGGGGCGGGCAGAGGCTGATGGCCACCGGGTCCTGATGAAGCCACAGCCCTGGACACGTGTATGCCACAGTAAGTGTGGACTGGGGTCAGGACCCAGCTCGCAGGGTGGGGAGACATTAAAAGTAGAGGTAGGGGTGGGTAAGGTTTATGGTTTGGTTTGAGGCCAGTCAGAGTGGGTTTTTGGGTAAGGCCAGATTCAGGTCAGGGGTCAAATAAGGCTTCCAGCTGGATTTAGTAGAATTGTCAGGACTAGGGAATAGAATTGGCGTTTGGTTTCGGGGGGAGGTGTTTTGTTGGAGGTTATGGGTGTGTCAGGATGCTGGGGCTCTTCATTTAAGGGGTAGTTAGTTGTCCTATCTGGGGACCCCAGGAGAGGAGGACAGGACCAGGCAAGCCATCCCCAGGGCCAGCTTCTGCTCAGGGAACACCTGGGGTTTCCTCCCCTTGTTTCCAACCTGGAGTTCTGAGCTTTCTTATCCCTGTCATTGTTCCAGGGCCCTCTTCTATCCCAACCGTTTTCTGCAGCAAGGTATGCTGGGGGCTGGTGACTCTGCGGAAGGGCTTGAAACTGAAGGTCCCAGTCACTTCCGTGGCTACAGGGTGGACAGCATGTGCCATTTCTAAAGGACAGTAATTCTCCAGCTTCCCTTGTCTCTTCCCCTCTCTGCCTGCAGGCACATACCAGCCCACACCTGCCACTTAGCTGCAAACACTGTCCCTCATTCTGGTGCAGGTTCCTCTGTGATGGGCTGGCCACTCCTGTCCTTCCTTTCCCCTTCCTGACCCCCACTTTCCTGCCTATCCCTCTCTCCCTGAAGGCCAGAGCCATTTTCAGAGCCTTCTAGTGCAAGATGAGGGTGGCTGGCACCAGAAGAGTGGCATGGGGGAGACCAAAGTCCCTGCACGGGAAGGTGAGATGTGAGCTGTCACCCCCTGAGCTTCCCTGTTGTGTGCCCCAGAGGGTGTGTGTCAGTGTGGGGCAGGGCGGGGGCATCCGATGCTTCTCAGCTGGCTTAGCTCAGCCTGTTCCTAGCCTCATTTGTTGGCTGGGGTCTGCCTCTCCACCTCGGGTGCACTTTGAGCTCTTTCTATGTTGCTCTCCCCTCAATTTCTCCATAAAGGCTCTTGCTCTGCCCTTGCGCTAACTGCCTGGCCTCCTGCTCTGGGAGTCTGGGCCCTGCTCCTGCCCCTGCATCCCAGCGTGGGTGTAGAAGGCACAGGCTGCAGAGTCCCACAGTCCTGGATCCAAATCGTCTGCCACCACAGAGCCACCGATGGCCCTCAGAAGTGAGTCACATGGCTGTTCTAAACTTCAGTTTCCTTATCTATAAAATGGAGATACTCATGTGTTCCATCGAGCAATGCCACTTTTAGGATTAAGTGAGATGAGGCATATGAAGTGCAACGCACACAGCAGGCTCTCCAGAAACAGCTGATCCTCTTGGCCTAACCTGTGCATGATCGCAGCTCTGTGGGGCCTTGGTTGTCTCAGGGCAGAGCCCTCTGAAACAGATCCTGAGATGAGGACGCACATGATTTATGAAGGAGGGTTTCCCAGGAGAAATCTATAAGGAGTGGGTGAAGGACAGAGAAGGGGAAGAAGCCAAGCTGGTGTGGGGTGGGAGGAGTGTGGTGGAGGGAAGACTCCAGACAGTTTCAGTCCCCTCGAGGGTAGCATCAGTCTCATCCTGCATGGGGAGCTCTGGGACATGATCATGCTTCCTAATTGTCCCGACTGGGGGCAAGGGAGCTGGGCTTTCACACTCCAGCCCTTGGTCATTGGCCAAGGCCACCCCAGGGATGTCAACTCCAGACAACTGGCTCAGCAGTTCCAGAGAAGTCATCCAGAGAATTGAATGTGAGGTGGTCAGAGGCACATTCACCTCAAAGGTGGGGAGGAGCTCACAGAAATGGTAAAGGGGACATGAGGGTACTGGGGCAGAGGACTCCCAGAGCCCCTGTGATGATTCTGAGCGTGGGCCCTGCATGTGAGGCCTGGGATGACTGAGAGGCAGCCAGCCAGAGATGAAGCAGGAACGAACTAACTCTATACTAGGCAGGCCTGGGTACTGGGATAAAAGGCTTCAGGGCACAAAGGGTTCTCCAGGAAGGGAAAAAATGGGAAAATAACAATAATCATAGTAGCTAACACTTGCATGGCACTTATATGATATCAGACACTGCTTCAAGGGTTTTATTTAATACAACAGTCCTAAGAGAAAGAGGCTATTACTGCCCCCAGTTTACAGGTGAAGCAATGGAGTCTTGGCAAAGTCAACCAACATGTCTAAGGTCACACAGCTAGAAGTGGAAATGACCCGTGGGATCAGCCAGAGAACAGAGGGAGCTGGCGGTGGGAGGCAGCTCTGGAGAGCTCCTCTGCAGAGAAAGGGTGCTCCACAGCTGGGCACGGAGCCAGCCTGGACTGAGGCTCCATCAGTGGAAGCTCTAGATGCTGGGTTAGGTGACTTACTCAAGGTCAGACACCTGGTACAATTCAAACCAAAGTTGAAGAAATGATATTTTAAAAATAATGTCATGTGATTTTTTTTTTCCAGTTTCTTAAGTGCTCTCCAACCCTTTTCACTCAGCCAGAGGCACCACTGTTTCAGGGATGCTCAGGGTTATTGAAGCAGGAAGGCAAAGAGAGGCAGACTCAACGTGCAGACTTCCAAAACAGGGCTGTGTCCACAGTGGAACAGACACATCAAGAATCAGGCTTAGTGGAGACAGAGAAGGTTTTCTAAGTTCCTAAAGCTCCTTTTACACAACTGAGTCAAGCCTGGTGGACTTAGAGTTTTACTGTAAGCCCCAGCATAAGGAGAATGGAGGATGAGATGGTTTGGCTCTATCCCCACCCAAATCTCATCTTGAATTGTAGTTCCCATAATCCCCACGTATCATGGGAGGTATCTGATGGGAGGTAATAAAATCATGGGGGCAGTTACCCTCATGCTGCTGTTCTCCTGATAGTGAGTGAGTTCTCACGAGATCCTGATGGTTTTATAAGGGGCTTCCCCTTTCGCTTGGCTCTCATTCTTCTCTCTCCTGCCACCTTGTGAAGAAGGACATGTTTGCTTCCCCTTCCGCCAAGATTGTAAGTCTCCTGAGGTGTCTGCAGCCCTGCAGAACTGTGAGTCAATTAAGCCTCTTTCCTTTATAAATTACCCAGTCTCAGGTATGTCTTTATTAGCAGCATGAGAATGGACTAATACAGAGGATACAACACAGGGGAAGTTCCCCCTTGCAGGAAGAGGAAGTGGAGGGATCTGAGCCACTAAAATGCAGCAGGAAAAGAGGTGAGGGGTCAGCTGTTGCAGTCCTGGTTGCCCCCTGGTGTTCAAGCACAGGGGAAATAGAGTCAGTCACCCAGATGGGGTTGGGGCCTTCCCAGTGGGAGGCATTGTCTCTTCTCCTCTCAGGGACTAGACCGGGAACAAGACCAGCTCCTTAACAAAGCTCTGGGTCTACAGGTGTTAGGCAGGATGCACCATCCAGGCAGTGGTTTAGAAATGGCAGGGGAAGGTGGGTGAGCCAAGGGGCAGCCTTGCAGGGCCTCTGCCCCTTCCGCCACAGTGGAGAGAAAGCACTTAAATGTTTCTAGACCCTTGAAGGGGTCCTGGGGAGAGAAGAGTGAGGGTGGATTCAGATAGGTCTGGGGTCAGGTCAGATATTAGAGGCTTGTGCTGTTGGTCAGGTATTGCAGTTTCACTCCCCTTCCTGACTCAGGGCAAGACTGAGCTTCTGGCTCAATGGTGGGGCCACATGACTAGTTCTGGCCAGTGTGCTGTGATAAGAAATGGCTTGTGCCATTTCCAGGGCAGAACATTGAACCGCTGATGTGAAACCCTCCATAGCGCTCGTTTCTCTCGGCTGTAGTCACCAGCAATGCTCCAGACAGTGGCTGCTTCCTCAGCCCGGATCCTGGAGTGTTGATAGGGAACAGAGCCCACCACTGACTTGTGATGACATGTAACACAAGCAAGAAATAAACCTTTGTTGCCCATCACTGAGATTTGGGGAGCGTTTGTTATCAATCACAGCATCACCTAGTTTATATGTGGCTGATGCAGACTTCATGACCAGAGGCCAGAACAGGGTTTCAAGGACTCAGCACCTAAGTGGGCACCGGGAGCTGGTCCAGCCACGCTGTCTGAGACCAGTGAAGCCCAAAAGGCAGCAGTAGGCCGGATGTCCTTCCCTTTGCCACCATGAGCAGTGTGAGCTCCCCCCTGCATTCAGCTGCCATTTTAGGAAGTAGGAAGTTGAATGAAGATATATCGAAAGGGGAGAGAAACAGTCCTGATAGAGAGTTTGAATTTTGAAAGACTGAGTATTCATGCAAAAGATGTTGAGTTAACCTGAAAGAGACTGTTTTAAGCTGGAAAAGGCTGAGCTATCTTTAATTAGTAAGCTAAAGTATTTCCCCTACTCCCTTCCCAGTCATCTGTGGGAATATGAGCTCAAGAGCAAGATGAAATGAATTATAGAAAATAAAGGTCTATGATTTTGCACATCTTGAATGTATAAAATCTTACACTTTTGTGCCTGCCAAACTCAATTCTCTCTGACTCCAGAGCTCGGGCCTTCCTGTACCTTACTGTCTCCAGATAGCTCGTGTTCCCCAAAATGCTGCCCACGTGGAAGAAGGGGCTACAAGAGGCCATGTGCCTGGCTTGAGTTACGGCAGCAAGAAAATGAGAGTAGGGGTCGGGGTGGGAAGACACGAGGAGGCCGCCTCATGTAGCTGGTAAGTGCTTTGTCTTAGAAATAAAGAGACCAGGGCAAGATGAGGCTGTCGCCAGAATGACAGAGCCAGCCAGTGTCATGCGGGAGCCTCAGGTGGAAGCCGGGCCTTTCCTCACAGATATCCTGCCCCACCTTTCTCTTGGGCTCTATCTCAGAGCACCATGCCACCATCTGCCACCGGTGCCCATGCCAGAAACCCGGGACACCCTGACTGTTCCTCTTACCACCCTCACATTCAGCCCCCAAGTCCTCTGGCCTTGCCCATGTCCTGGGCCCTCCAGGCTCCCCCGAAGCCCCACCCTGCCCTGTACCCTGGGAGGCTGACCGCAGGGACTGCCTTCACACCATTATTGCTGCTCTCCTCCCACCTCTCCCACCCCGCAGGGTCACCTGGGGCTCACGGTGCCCCGTAACTAAAGGGCAACACCTCCTGTGTGGCACGACCTGGCTCCTCTCCCTGGATTCCAGTGGCTTCTCCCCTGCCACACATAACTCCTTTTTGGCCTCGCAGTGGTAATGACTCCCCACTGTTCCTAGCTCCAGGGCACGACACCACTCTTGATAGTTCTTCTCAAGCCTGGTCACACCTGCGAGAATTGTCCATTGATAAAACTCTTCTCATGGCACTCAGTTTGAGGGTGCCATCTGTTTTCTGCCAGGATGTGGCTGATAGAACCTCCCTTGAAGGATTTCTGTAGGGACTAGAGATGACGCACATAAAGCAAAAAGACCAACCACCTAGTGCACGGTTGCCACTCGGTACGTGGAAGCTGTAATTGTTTCCTCCTAAATCTGGCTTGAAGCAACATTTCTCCCCATCCACGCTGCTGCTTTCTTAAGAGCGGTCTCTACCATCTTTCTCTCGTTGATTTTCATTGCCCTCCTTGGTCTCTGCCTCCACCCTCACCCCTGTCCTCTTCGGTCAGAATGATCCCACTGAAGCCCATGGCTCACCATGCTACTCCCCTGTGGGGAACCCTTCAGCATCTTGATGGAGTTCAAACTCCTCAGCCTGGCCCTCAAGGCTCTCCCTGACTCTCTCTGCCTGTCCCCCACACAGGTAAAGAGCCTTGCTCAACCACTCCCAGGGAGGAGCCACGTTCCCCTACTCCCTGGCTTGCTGGCACACCCAAACCGCATGCTATGAATGGGTCTTCCTGCCTGTCTCCTTCATTACACCGTTAGCTCCGTGAAGATCCGTGTGCTTTCAGCATTTTCCCCGGCATCCTGCCTAGGCCTTGGCCCACAGCAAGTGCTTAATACGTATTCGTGGAAGGAAGGAAGGGAGACGAGGGTTTAATGGCATCTTCCCTGTGCCAGGCTCTAGTTACATTTTCTTCTGTTTGCCTAAGAGAGCCTGGCCTTTAATAGTGCTAATATAGACACAGTGGTTTTACGACTAATATTAGCCAGGACTTTCTAAGTGATGTTAAGATTAGAAGTCTGGGGTTGTCAATAGTTGGACTGTGAACTCCAGCAGGACAGTAGATTTTAACTCGGACTCTGCGGGGCCTCTCAGGTGAAGCTCTGGAGATGCTTAGAGCCTTGGGGATCCAACTTCATTCTTCTCTGGGGCCAAGCATAGAGGGAAGGTGCGAGTGGGGAAGTGGAGAGATTTGGAAGGGGAAGAACTGTCCTGGGGTAAGTCACTGGACCAGCCTTTCTGCTGGGGACGTTGAGCTGATTTGGAAACTGTCAGGTCCAACCTTGGGGTCTTTGCCAGGCAGGGGAGAGGCAGCTCTAGAGGCACATGGGAAGTGCCCTGAGAAGACCAGGGACTGGGAGGGAGGCAAGGAGGCTGGAGATGGTGCCTGGCAGGGTCTGCACCGCACAGGATGCTGAGCGAGGAAGCACAGCCCTGGGCTCCAGGAGCGGAGCCTCCCCACCTCCAGGGTCATCAGCCAACCGTGGGATTTGAGCCCATCTCAGGCAAAGGGGTGTGCAGTAATGTAGACCTAGGCCCAAGTACTTTCCACACCCTAGAAGGAAATATAGCTTCTAACTGACACCTAAACCTATGGATATAAAATAATGGTCATTTTATACCCATCGCAGGAGAAAATAACCTTGGAACCAGGCTGTCTGCGTTTGAATATCAGCTCCACTCCTTGCTAGCTGTGTGACCTTCAGCACATTACTTAACCTCTCTGTGCTCAGTCCTCTAAACTGTAAAACAAGGATGATATAGTAACTACCTCATACAATTGTAAGGATGAAAGGAGTTAATGGTAAAGCTCTTGGACTAATATTGGCACCTAGTATGTGCTATAGAAGTGTTTGCTGTTATTTTTATTTTTATTTTATTGGAGACAGGCTCACGCTCTGTCACCCAGGTTGGAGTGCAGTGGTGTAATCATAGCTCACTGCAGCCTCAAACTCCTGGGCTAAAGTGATCCTCCTGGCTCAGCCTCCTGAGTAGCTAGAACTACAGGTGTGCACCATGCCCAGCTAACTGGGGTGTGTGTGTGTGTGTGTGTGTGTGTGTGTGTTTTGTTTGTTTTAGAGATGGGGTTCTCCCTGTGTCGCCCAGGCTGGTCTTGAACTCCTGACCTCACTCGATTCTCTCACCTTGGCCTCCCAGAGTGTTGGTATTCTAGGCGAGAGTCACTGCGTCCAGCCCTATTATTTTTATATTATTTCCTGGGAGCTCGACAGAGCAAGAAAAAGGACCAGAGCGGACTGCTGGAAGAAGGAGCCGTGGACTGGGGCTCTGAAGGACTCACATGAGTTCCTGTGGAGGAGTGGAAGGGCAGTCAAAGCTAAGCTGGTGATTAGATTCCCTTGGGGGGAATGGGAGCTATGTGAGGTGAAGGAGACTAGGGAGGCTGGCAGCGGGTGAGGGGTGAGAGCTGAGGCCAGGATGAGGGGCTGGGGCACTGCCCTCGAGGGCTAAGGAGCCACCAGAGGGTCAAGGCATGGTGAGAACTGTGTTCTGGAACAATCAGTCTGGGGCAGTGGAGAGGAGTGGAGATTGGAGAGGGGGTGCTGGGGAAGGGGAGAGGGAGAGGCCAGCTATGAGACTCGCCCCAGCCTTGATGAGGGCAGGAGCCCAGGAGTGAGGCGCGAATGCATCTCTGCAGCTGCCATGGTGAGAGTGCCTTGCGGGCACCCAGTCCCCACCCTTTCCCTGTTCTTTCTGCCCGAGTGTGCGGGGGATTTCCAGCAGTACTTTATGTGGTCTGGTGCTCACAGGGACAGCTGACTGAGCCACAGCCCTGCCAGGCTTTCACTGCCACGGCCACCGCCACAGTCACCTCAGAACTCATCGTGCCAGGAATTTGCTGCTGTCCCCACTGCCAGTCATATGGCAAGGGAGACCCTTCCCCACCATCTTTGGCCCTCCCTCACAAAGCGAGCGGTGCTCCTTTCCAGTTAGAGCACCCACAGTTGGGTGACAGGTTTCAAGGTGTATGTGTTGTGACTCAGTCTGTGATGGCTTCCTGCCCCAGGGCACAGCACACACTGCTGCCAGAGTGGCCAGACAGGCGCTGCCCCCTCATGCTCATTGGCCATGACCCACGCTCCCACTGGGGCTCTGTCCCGGCTGGATTTGCCCTCTGGGCCATGAGGAGAGTACTTCCATCTGTGTCAGGGCCCTGGAGCCCTATAGGAAACGATCGTATGTGGTTTAAGTTCAAGTCCTTCTCCCAGCGGACTTCTTAAGTCTTATGTAAATCAGTGGATGCAAATGCCTGCCTGGGGATGAGCCTCAGTGCCCCCACCAAAAGCATCAGAGCCAGCTTATGCCCCTGCCTCCCTGGCTCATCGCACTTTCCCTGACACACACCTTTATTGCTCCTTTGATCCTGCAGTGGCCATGCTCCTTTTGCTCTTTGGTCTGGCACAAGGAAAGCCAGGTCTTAATAATAACCGTAATGATATTTATCAATTACAGTATGCCAGGCCTATTCTATCCATTAGAAGAAGGATGCTTACTAGCTGTGTGACCTTGGGCAAGTCACTGAGCCTCTCTGTGTCTTATGTTCCTCATCAGTTAAACAAGGAAATAATACCTACCTCATAAGCATGTCATGCAGATTAAATGAATGAGTGGATGTAAAGTGTTTAGAATAGTGGTTGATACGTAGCAAGTGTGGGGCACCAGCCCCGAGGCATGAAAATAAAGAAAAATCTTGAGTTCCTTCAAGGGGACCTAGCTAGCATTGAGAAGTCAATGAACAACCTGCTAAGCAAGAAGCTAACAGTAGCTTAAAACAATCACCAAGGAAGACAGAGTCACAAAATGATGGTTCCTCTAGAAACTAAAGATGACATCTTACCATATGTCTCTGAGTTGTTTTTCAGAAACCCAGACTCCGACTAAATGAGAAAGGCCAACTGCTGGCACATAGACCTCACATAAGGAGGAATTGAGGGCTGAACTCTGAGCACCATTCTTTGTTCTAAAGTTCTTCCTGAAGGTCCTGGAGGAAGTCACGCCCACAGGCCAGAGCTCAACATTCTTTTCTGCTGACCCCCAGAGTTTTAGCTGCTTAGCCAATCACAAATGAGAATATCTTTGAATCCACCTCCCCTTCCTCCCCACCTGCAAGGTGTCCAGCCTTTTTAGGTCAAACCGATGAATCGCCTCCGTGGACTGACTGATGACTTTGCTTGTAAAGTCATATACCTGCCTCCCCACCTTTAAAAGCCCTTTTCTGTGAGCCATCAGGTCTTAAGCATGAGCTGCCCCATTCTCCTTGCTTGGCATCCTGCAATAAATGCCTCACTTTCTCACGCTGCAAATCCTGATGTCAGTGTTTGGCTTTGCTGTGCCTGGCAGGTGGGCCCAAGTTTGGTTTGATAACAAGCACTCAAGAAATGTAAACTCTCATGATCACAACAATTTAGCAATTTACACTCTATTTATCATTCCATTTTCCAGGCAAGGAAACAATCTCTGAGAGGTGGTGTGTCTTTTGAAAGTCACTCAGTTCATTAAAGGAAGGGGAGGGGTTACATTTGGGTCTGACTTCATGACATGCTCTCCTAACCTCCAGCTTCTAAACTGCTTCCCCACAAAGTCCTCCCAGGACATGGACTCCTTGGCTCTGGTATTCTCTGGGGCAGGCTAAATGCCCCGTTTTTCCAGCTGCTGCCCTAGGCTTGTTTCTAGGTAGGAGTAAAACTTTGAGGGCATATTGCCAACACGCTTCCTTTCCTATTAAGCAAAGAAGCCACAGTCATTGAAATCCTGAAGGAAGCCACTGAGTGGGGAAGATGATCTGGAAGCCCAGGGGCGGGAGCAAAGAAGAGGGTTTCAGGGAGTCAATGAGAGTGGTGTGGTGCTGGCTCCCTTAGGTTGTCCGGAAGCTGCTGGGATGGGGTGAGGGCAGTAGAAGGCCCAGGAATTAGAACCCAACGGAGGCAGCCTCCCTGCTTTGTGGGGTCGCTGTCCTCTGATAAAGCAGCCTTGTTAGATACAAGGGGCCCAAGCACTGCCACCCCGAAGAGGACCAAAGGCAGGGGTACTTTGCCCTAACTCCTAGGCTGCATGTTGATGCCTAAGAGCAGGGAAACAGGCCCCTCGTGGCTGGGTGCAGTGGCTCACGCCTGTAATCCCAGCACTTTGGAGGCCCGGGCAGGCAGATCACCTGAGGTCATGAGTTCGAGACCAGCCTGGCCAACATGATGAAACCCCGTCTCTACTAAAAATACAGAAATTAGTTGGTGTGGTGGCATGTGCCTGTAGTCCCAGCTATTGGGGAGACTGAGGCAGGAGAATTGCTTGAACCCAGGAGGCGGAGGTTGCAGTGAGCCAACATCACACCACTACACTCCAGCCTGGGCTGCAGAGTGAGACTCTGTCTCAAAAAAACAAACCAAAACAAAACAAAACAAAAGCTAGGCCCCTCAAAGTTTGACCTGGGGCAAGACCCAGCTCTGCGAGCCTGTTTCCTTGGCTGTAGAACAGGGGTGCATAGAGCTCCAGTGCTCTCCAGTGCTCTCTGTGGGCTCACTTGCTGGGCCCTGCTGCATGTGTCATCACTCAGATGGGGATCAGGCTGGTGCTGGAAGGCAGCAGGGACTAGAGACATTGGAGCCCTGGAAGCTGGAGACCAGCTTCTGGTCCTGCTCCTACCTCTGGCCTGCATTGTACCTGGGACAAGTTACTTAGTTTCTCAGAGCTTCCCCAGCTGGAAAAAAAGGGAAGAGGATAATCACAGTTCAAGAGTCCACCTCTAGTGTCTTGCTCAAGGTCTGAAGAAAGGCTGTGTGATGCAATGGAGGAGGGGTTCTCCAGGAGTTCACTTATGTGAACAATATTTATTGAATATCATTTCATGGCAGGCACTGTTGTAGGAACTTGGACACATCGGTGAACAAAACCAAAGGTCCCTGCCTTGGGGACCTTAGGGCAAGGTCTCCCAAGGACCTTAGAGATCACCTAAGGCCAAGCCTGGATTTGGGGGCATTGAGTTGTACTAGACATAGAAGGAAGAACCTTGCCTTTCAAGTTGGAATTTGTAAATCAAGGGAAGCCCCTTCATTCCTTTCCTGAAAAAAGACCCCAGAGTTTATAAATTGTGTTTGCTCAAATAGAAGCAATCAGAGACCAGCCTGTTTCCAGGCTGTTGGAGGTACTCATTTGCATATGGATATGCTGTTTATGAACGCACTCCTATTCATTAAAGCAGGTTCCCCAAGGCCCTCAGCTGCTCAACAAGGTGCTGGTCGCGCGGTGCGCCTTCTGCGCAAAAGACGCTGTGCCCTCGGGTTCTGCACAAGCTCACCAGGGGCAGGGAGAAGGTAGGCGGGTCGGGTCAGGGCCAGGCAGAGCTGGAGAGAGAGGAGGTGAGGACTCACCTGGTGGAGGGGCGTGGTGAGGCGTGGTCAGGGAGGAGATGGGAAAGGAGACCCGGGAAGAGGTTGGGCTTGGAGGCTGTGTCCTGCCCCAGGCGGAGCCGGAGGTGGCTGCGGAAGCTTTAGTCCTCTCCCCGATGTGGCGACCACGGCCAGGTGACAACCTCCCACCCACCCTTGCCCTAGCTCTTGCAGCCCCCGCTGTAGAGAACGTCTGGGCTGGTCCCTGTGGCTGTGCACGGGTCAGCCCAGG
Organism: Homo sapiens; assembly: GCF_000001405.40. Taxonomy (NCBI): domain Eukaryota; kingdom Metazoa; phylum Chordata; class Mammalia; order Primates; family Hominidae; genus Homo; species Homo sapiens. The sequence continues at coordinate 8,339,630 of NC_000011.10, read as the reverse complement.
AGGCTTCCCCTGGTCACCAGCCGGGCGCCTCTGCCGCCGAGCGCAGGGCCATCCCTGGCCTCTGTGCGCCGCCCTGCACCCTCTAAGCACACATCTTTCTAATGGGATTAGGCTTCACACGGGTCAGGAACAATTTATTATTCTGCTGGCTAGAGCCAAGTTTCCCTTTGAAAAATGGTTACTCCCGGAGTCGGCAATTACTTCAAAATAAATTTACCAAAGACAAAATTGTGCCTCTTGGGTCAGTAAACGACTTGCCTGTTTGGGGCTGAGGAGACAAGGTGTTTATTAAGGACCGCCTTCGTTTCCTGTGCAGGTTTTTCAGTTTGAATAATTGTCCAATTAAATATAATTTGGAAGTCGGTGCTAACCCCGTGCCTGGATTGCAGGAGGAAGAATCACTCGGAGGCGTGCATTAATAAATCCCTCGGAGCCCCATCGCTCCCCAAACCCCTCCTTTGGTTTAATTTTGAGGAATTTTTTTTGTCTTCCCACAGCCTATAGCCTTCCCTTTGGAAATGAGCCACTTTCCCCCAAAGAATTCCTGGGCCTTGCTTGCTTCCATCTGTCTGTCTGCTTCTCTCTAGCAAGCCGATGCATGGGGATTTTCAGCTGTGACCAGCAAAGTGATGCCGGGGCCTAAGGTCCATTTCTTTATGGGCCTGCACACTTGCAGGTTCATTCATTCAGTCAGTCAGTCAGTCGGTCAGTCATTCAACAAACACCCACTAAGAACTTACTTGGAGCCAGGCCCTGGGCTGTATGAGGACAAAAATCAGAGATTGTCCTGGCCCTCAAAGATGATTTGGCCCATTGAGAGAGAGAGGGACACATGAGAAGGCCATTGACTGTCAGACTGACAGAAGAAGGGGTCTTCTGGTTCTCTGGGTCACCTTTTCCACGTTGCAGATGGGGAAACTGAGGTGAGGAGATGGAAAAAGCCACCCAGGGAGTAACTGGGGAGTCAGGTATCCTTTGGCCAACCAGGGTGGTTTCTACAATAATTATTATACCCACCACCTGGCCTAGGGTATAGTAAGGGAGGTGCGTGGCAGCCCTGGGGTCCCCAGAGGTGGTTCCACCCTCTGGGAGTGGCTTGTGGGAGGCAGCTGAAGGCCCAGAGCATTGATGTGGCACCGTCCTGGCCGGCTGGGTCTGGTGGGGTGAAACACCCTCACAAGGGGCCTGTTCCTGATAACTGATAGGATCAGAGACATCGTCCTGGACATAGAAGCCATCTGTTCTGAGGCCAAAGCTAGGGCAGTCAGTGCCCAGGCCAAACCTCCGGCCCGGGGAATGTCTGGATCCTTTTTCTGGGAGCCTGCAGTGATCTGGAGCAGAGATGATCCTCCCTGGAGGATCGGGGCTGGGCATCCTGTGTGGCGCCCTCTGGAGGCTGGTGCCTGGATCACAGAAGCCGGTATGCTGGCCTTGGCCAGGCCCTGTGTATGGCCTGTGGTCACACACTGGACAATTTATTTGTTAATCACCCCTGTATACTGAGCACTATTCTAAGTACTGGTGCCACTATAGTGAACAAAAGGGGCAGAAGCCCCTGCTGACATGGAGATTTTAGTGAAGGGAGACAGACAACCAACACAAGCAAGGAAAAGAAACAGTATGTCAATTACGATGAGTGAGGTGCAGAAAGATAAAGTGTGTGGCGGTGGGGGCAGCACGGAATACGGGGGATGGGTTGCAATTTTAAATGGGGTGGCTCAAGAAAGTTTCCCTGAGAAGCTGCATTTGGGTGGAGACTGGAAGGTGAGGGCATGAGCCTTGGGGATGTCTGGGGGAAGAGCTTTCTATGTGTGGGAAGACAAATGCGAAGTCCCTGAAATGGAAATGTATGTGGCATACTCAGCCAAGGGTCAGGGCTGGAGTGGGGTGAACAAAGTGAGGACTGGGGGCGGGGGAGCGGTAGACGAGAAACGGTGGGAGGCACAGGAAGTGAGAGAGCAGGCTGAGGGCAGGGCCCCCCCCCCGCCCCCCGCCGTCGTCAAGCTCCCTCTGCCTGGCCCACGCTGCAGGCTGCCTCGTGGCTCCGTGGCTCCGCGGTCCCAAAGCCTCCCTGTAGGCCTGCAGTGGCCTCCTGGCTCCTCCACAGAAAGTGCTGGCTCTCAGGCAGGGTTGCTGAGTTCAGTGGGAAGTGGGTGGTGAGGAGGGCGCAGAAGCCCCCTAGGCCGGCCCTGTTGGCTGCCACCAGCATCCTTCCTCAGCCCCACAGGGAAGGAAGGAGTGGGATTTGTCTGCCCACATTCACAGCCATGGAGGTGATCCAGGTTGAAAGAAAATCAATAAGATGTGTCCATTTATGTGGCACAAAGGAAGAAAGGTCTGCAGACAGAAATAGGCCGGGAATCACACGCAGGCGACTTAATAAGACTTTTCCCCAGTCTGAAGAGGACGGTAATTTAGATTTGCCTTTGAACATCTCCTTTCTTGTGCCTCAATAACTCTCAGGATCAGCCTGCTTAGGAAGCAAGGGAAAGGAGATTGGCCGCCTTCTTAGAAGACAAGCCCGTTTGGGAAGGCCGCTTGCTCAGAGAAGTTCAAACACCAGCCTTGAGAAAAGATGAAAGTGCCTCGTCAGCACATCCTCGGCCCATTGATCACGATTGAGGCCTGGGCCTGGTGCATTTGGGCTGGAGCAGGACAATGAGAACAAGGCCAGGCTGCCAGGAGGCCTCCTCTGAGCCACGGTGGTGCAGGAGATCCTCATTACCGGCCTCGGGGCTTAGTGGCCAGGTGTGGGCAAGAGGCAGCCTGGCCCTGCCTGCAGAGCACTGGCCTTGCAGCCCGCGGGCCCCACAGCCACCGCCCAGCCTTAGCCCAGGAGGCAGACTGGCTCCCACCTCAGGTTGTGGCAGGCAGAACTCAGGCTGCCATCCTGCCCAAGCACAGATCCAATTTATCCGCTTACACCTGGAATTTCTGCCAAAGAAGTCTGGAGTGCCTGCAGAAAAAGGGGAAGGGCTAGGTCTTGTTCTCCTGAGGCTCTGCAGAGAGGGTCATAGCACCATTTGGCAGGGCTGGGCCACCCACTTTGTGCTGCCTGCGTGCACTTTCCTTACCTCGGCTGTTCACCTGACAGGAAAAACTAGGCTCCTGGAGTTTTAGGAAGCTGGGTGAGTCAGAAAAAGGCCCCTGGGCAGATTTTCTGTCCCTCTCCAGAGACCCAGCTCAAGTATCAGCTTTTCCATCTCCCCGTGAATGGCAAATACCCTGTCCTCACTGCCCCCACGGTGTCCTCTGATTCCTCACTCAAGGCTTTATTAGTTGTGCTGCCATTGTCCCACCCACTGCAGGCTCCTCCGGGGTGGGAACTCTAACCCCCAGCCCACAGCCTGGTGCCTGGCACGGAACAGGTGCTGTCGTTGTCTCCATTGGCCCTCCTTCCTCAGCTGGCAGGGCAAGAGGCCCGGGCCAGGTGGGGCCCCTGTGTCCAGTGGGGCCCCAAGGTCATACGAGGGCAGGTGAGCAGCAGGACCAGCTCGGGATGCCAGCCTCAAGCACCAGCCCAGGGCTCTTCCATCTCAGTGCCCTGGGGCCACCTCAGGCTCCAGCAGGACAGCAGGAAGGCCGGGAGCTAGAGTCGGGGGACTTCATCCCAGAGCCTGGTTTGCATTTGGCCATGAGCAAGTCCACTCTCCTCCCTCCCAGCATTCTCCTCTGTAGACCCAGCATGCTGGTCTCTGTGCTGTAGAGTACAATAGCCGCGTGTAGCCGTGGAGCAGCACCTGAAACTTGGCTCGTAGGAATTGAGCTGTGCTGTGAGTGTAAAATACACGCTAGATTTCTGTGACTCATCACCATAGAAGAATGTAAAATATCTCATTCATAATGTTTATGTTGATTACATGTTGAAATGATAATGTTTTGGGTTTTATAAACCCAGTAATAATATTGGGTTAAAGAAAATGTATTATTAAAATTAATCCTTTTTAAATGTGACTCCTGGAAACTTTAAAGTGACCTGTGTGGCTCACATTGTATTTCTATAGGACAATGCTGGCCTACGCAGTCTCAGAGCATGAAAGTTTGAGGCGTCTATGTTATGAGAGAGTGGACATGAAGGTGCTTTGAATAGATCCATCTTCACAGGGAGGACACTGGCTGTCAGGAGAGACCAGACTTGCCTCAAGAAGGGTTAATGCCCAAAGCAGGACCTTTTGGAGGTCGTCAGCCTTCACTAGTACCAGGAGCCAATGGCCATTGTCCTGCATGAGGTAATGCCTTCAAGGGGTCCCTCTCATTGGTGGCTGGGAGCGTCAGTGGTGAGTAGAGGTGGGAGCCCTCGGGAGTTTCCTTCTTCCCCTCTCTGAAGTTCATGTGCTGTCCGATCCTGTTAACAGAACAGGTAGCCAGGACCGCCTGGACTCCATAAAGGGCCTGGGGACCCCGCTAGCGATCAGGAGGGGCCCAGAGTTGCCTGAGCTGAGGGTCTGGGTCCCCCTCAGCCCGAGGCACTTCTGGCCTCTCTGCGATTTGCAGGCTGCGGTCTCCACCCCAAAGGCCCTTCATTCCTCCGCGCACCTGATGGCTTCCTCCTGAAGCTCTGAGACCCCACTTCCTGGCACCTCCTCAGGATCTGCCACAGCATGGATTTCTCTGTTCCCTCTGTCAGAGATCTACAGCCTGTGTACTGCGATGGCCCAGCACTCCTGCTTGTGTCTCCCACTTGGCTGGAAGCAGACCAAGAGCAGGGTATGTGCTGGGGTGCCCAACCCAGGGCCAGGCACAGAGCACACCTACACATTGAAGGAGTGTGTGACTGCATAGATGGAACCTGGTTCTGGATCAGCCTTGGAGGTGGGGAGAGGGGTTGGTGGGGTCTGGGTAGATGAGAGGGATGGATAGAGCTTGGAGGTGTTGCAGAAAAGCAGTGTGTATTGGGGGTAAGGGGCTACAGGGAAGACAGAGGGTACAGGGAACTTCCATGGCCCCTGTCCTGGCAGTCAGTCTCTAAGGTATGAGGTCCTCCCTGCCGTGCTGACACCAGAAACGGTTTGGGGCAGCCTGGCCATGGGATGCAGGAGGGAGCTTTGTGCCTACTGATGGGCACTGCCGCCTGGCTTCCTGGCAGCCCAAGCGGGAGCCAACAGAGCAAGTTGGGGAGCTGGCCCAGGAGCCAAGGGGGCCCTGGGAGCCCTGCAGGTACCTAAGCAGCTTCAGAAAGGAAGGTGCCAGAGCAACTGGGAGGGAGGAGCGTGTCTGGAGATGAGTGGCTCCTCCCAGCCTTGGAAGCCGGGGGCATCTGGAACAGTGGGGTCCCTCAAGAGAGGAAAATGCCAAGATGACACCGGTGAGGGAGGGCTAGAGAGGCCTCCTAGGGTGGGAAGGATGAGTTAAGGGGTGGCGTGGGGCTGGGGTGAAATCATCCAGCAAAGGGACAGGTCAGGCATGGGGGTGAGTGGTGACTCATCAGGAGGGAAGTGTCAGAAGCCCAGCCCTCTGGCAGTTCCCTCATGCTGCTGTAACATGGCAGGGGTGTTGGTCAGGCAGCTGGCTCCACACTCTGCCACTCACCTGTCCTGGGATACATGCCAGTGTCTCCATCTCCTATAAGCACTGCCAGTAGAGAACACCACTGCCGCCTTCAGGCAGACTGACCGGCAACCCATCCTGCCATGCAGGCCCACCCCAGGTGCAGAGACCTGGTTTCAACTGCAGCTTAGTCACTGATGGGCAGGGTACCACGGCCCTCTCTAAGCCTTGAATTCCTCATCTGCACAATCCTTTTGGGGCAGTGGCCACTTCCTGCCCACCCTGGCGGGGCAGGCTGCAGGCCAGCCTTTGCCCCTTTATGGAGAGGGAGCTCCACATCTCAGCCAGCAGGGCAGATCCCCAGAGCTCCTGGGGTGGGCAGATGAAAGGAGCTCGCCCCCTCCTCCTTCCCCCAGCCTCCGGGCCAGTCACTTCACCTCTCCTCCTCTCTTCTGCAGAACTGTAAGAATTATTATTTTTTAAATCCTCATTGGAATGCTAATTTTGATTCTGAGTGTCTGTCATGGGCTCTTTGAAGTTTTTCAGACAAAATAAGTATCTCCTTAACAGAGGGGATTAGCGCCTACTTGTTTAGAATCCTCTGACTGAGAGTGACAACCAATTTCGGAATCTGTGGGGTTTAGGGAGGCTGCAGGAAGAGGGGCTGCCTCCCTCCCTGGTGGTCAGCTTTCCATAAATGGCTTAATGGGGTTAGAGTTTAACCCCTCAAATAGGGATCAGAGCCCCCAGCTTGAAAGCCAATGAGCAGCGAGGCAGATCTTGCTATTTAAATCCAGCAGGACTTGGTTAGAACTCTTTTATTCTCTTGAGCTTAAAGAAAACAAACCCATTTCCCTTGCAGAATTTAGGGCCCACACCAGCCAGCTGCCCCCAGCCTCCTCCCCAAAACGCAGGCCTTTGCTCCACAGGTAATTCATCGCCCAGACTCAGCCCAGGCTGAGATGCTCCTGGCTTTATGATTCAGTTCAATTCAGGAGTGCTAATGGGGCAATTTGTAAAGAAAGAAATATAATGAGTTATCACAAAGCCCAGCAAGGACTCGACAAACCAGGCACTTCCCATCCATCAAGCATCCTAGCGTGGTCGGAGACCAGCAGCGCCAGAAATCTTGTGAGGCCCCTGGGAACGCGCTTTTCTGGGCCTGGACATGCACACATACGGCAGCCACTGCAGGTGCTTCCTTCTCCCTTTGCCCTCCCTGCATTCCCCGCCGCCCGCACCCCACCAAATCATGGCCCCTAAGGGCCAGATGACCTGGGCCGATGGTGTGGGTGGGGTACGATAGAGGTAAAAGGAGGGATACTTAAGAATTTCTTTGCTGAAGCAAAATTATCATGCAGGCCATTTTTAAAAAGAGCATTAATACCATGTGAGGGCCCACAGAGTCCCAGATGTGGCAAGTAGGCTGCAACATTTCCCCAGGACTCTCGTTGCCAGCAGGGTTCCCATGGCAGGGTTGCTGAAGCTGGGGCTTGGCCTGACATGAAGCCTAAGGTCATGGAGATGATACTGGGCAGCCACATCCATCCAGTATGTCCCATGAAGTCAAACTTCACCCAGCCTGGGCCTGTGGGATACCCTCTGCAGAGAGCAGGTGCCATGCTGTGTCCACTCTGCTGAGACAGCAGGCCGCTCACTTGAGTTGGAGACCCATAGGCAGGCAGGCCCCTCCTGCGCTTCTTTCAGATGTGCACAGTGGGGTCCAGAATGGGGAAGTGAATTGCCAGAGGACTCGCATTAAGGAAGTGGCAGCTTGTCACAGTGTGTACATGATAGTCTAGGACAGTGTGGCTGGGGCTGGGTGGCTAGCAAGGGGGAGTAGGAAGGGTGAGGCCAAGAGGGCAAGTCCACAGGCCCAAATGCCAGGCACCTGGGTCCGGGACTGGCCCAACTTGCTCAGCCTCCATGCTGGGGTCCCTAGACTGGCCCCCACCCTTCCTTTTCCAGCCACCACTGCCCTGTTCTAGCTCAGATCTGGAGGATGGAGATTTTGGTCAGTCTGGTAATGATTCATTTGTGTCCCTGAATTGGAACAATCCAATGGCCTCTCCGGGCCTCCATTTGTACACTTGCTTATGGGGGAGGTGACTCACCGGCCTCTCCCTGTCAGAGGCACCACTGCAGCTGAGCCCCTGCAGAGAACCTAAGCGGGTGGTGGGAAGGACTGTAGGAGGGTGAGCAGTGGCAAAGCCCTCAGTCTGGTAAGGAGGGCTGGCCCACAGAGAGGTCTCTCTGGGCTGAGGCATCCCTGTGCTCTCTCCCTGTGCCCTCCAGCCTCTGCTGCCCCCCCCCCCAAGCTGGCCTGGACCCTGGGGATCTGCCCCACCAGGTACCTCAGAAGGCCCCTGGCCAGAGCTGCATCATGGGAAGGCCCCATGGCCAGCAGATGGGACAGAGAGAGGTCTGGCTTTAGTAGGGACTGCTTGATCCCAAACACAGAGTGATGTGGTCCAGAATGGTCCTCAGCATGTTCTAGGTGGTCCTGTCCCACCCACTCAGGTCCTGCCTCCTTTTCTCCTGTTTTTGTAGGCAATCTGGAGATATCTCAAGCCCAGGGAAATCAATCTGCAACCTCAGAACAGGCAGGTCCCACAGAGGACAGTCACCCCCTCAGAAGGATAGCAAGTAATGACAACAAGCACAGCTAGTACTTCCTGTGTGTCAAATGTGGTTCTGAATGCTGTACACTGATGAACTCATGAATCCTCCTACCAGAACCATGATGAGATACTCTTGTTATTATTCCCATTTTGCAGATTAGAAAATTGAGGCATGGAGAGGCTGAATAACTTGGTTAAGGTCACCCAGATAGTGAATGGCAGAGTAAGAGTTCAAACCCAGCCAGCCTGGCTCCAGAGCGTTCTGGTGGTCCAGCAGATGTCCTAGACCTATATCTAGTGGCTACTAGTGCCCAGCATCCAACCTTGGTACCAGCTCCCACTCCCAATAAGGTCAGGCTGAGGTGCAGATTCCTAGACAGAGGGATTCTCCTGATAGGGGCCAGTCCTGGAGAACCTGTTGGGTCTTGAGGCCATACGCTGAAGTGTCCCATGCTCTGTGAGAGATGGGGGAATGGAGGACAGAGAGAGGGCAGTGGACACAGGGCATTGACTCAGGTTTGGGGAAGACTCCAAAGAGCATGGGGCTGACCCAGTAAACACCTGCCGTGTGCCAAGCACTGTGCCTGGCACTTCGCCCACGGTATTTCACGGAAGTCTCCCAGTAGCCCTGCAGGGTAGGAATTACTGTCTTCATTGAACTGAACTATGATGGAGACTGAGAAAGGTTAAGTAACTTGCCCAAGGTCACCCCGCTAATAAGGAGCACAGCCAGATTTCAAGTCGGCTCTATCTGGTTTTACAGGGTCCATGATGCCATGGTGCCAGAGAGGGGCGGGTGGGGAGGAGGGACGGAGGAAGAGTGGGAAGGAAGGTGAGAACTTAGATCACATACCCGAGAGAGCACCGATGGTGGCCCTTCTCCAGCTCGGCAGAGCAGGGCACGCCAGGAAGTCACACTCGGAGCTGGAGGGCACTGGGTCAGTCTGGCTCACGGCCAGATGGGGATTCTTAAGAAAGAAAAAAAAAAAAAGAAAGAAAGAATGCAAACTTTAGCAGCTGCAGATGGGGATTCTTAAGAGAAGTAGAGACCCAACCTGTGGGAGGTGGGAGGGTGGAGGCAGGAGGCAGGGGGCTGCGGGGATTGACCTCCTCACTTCTGGGTTGCCACTCGAAGCTTGCTCCGGGCAACGACCCTGCTGCTTCCCAGAGGGAAACTGTAGCCCACAGACCAGGAGAGAAGCCAAAGCACCTGCTCCACGTCCACATCACCCCAGGCTTCTAGCCCCCAGGGGCTTCATCAGTGCTTCAGTGCTCTCTCCCATCCCCCACTCCCCATGTCCCTCGTGATCCGAACTCCTAGGGCTCCGTGTCCCACAGGTCACCACTTCCTGCGTCTCGGGTTCCCACGTCCTATGGCCCGTCCTGGGAGCGGAAGGGTTACGGCTTCTGCTACTGAGTGGAGGCTGCTGTTCCCCAGCGTTAAGCAGCTTTAGTGTCTCCTACCCCAGCCCTGATTTAAAATTCATAAATGCTAATCCTTCATAATTTACGGTTTAAAAGCAGCCCCACTCACAGGCCCCGTGGCTACAGCTCTGTCAGAGTAATTATGCCGCCAAGCTGAAATTGGACTACTAACTGAGATATTAAACTGGGGGGGGGGGAAATCCTCGCGCTGGCAGCCGACCCAATTATTCCAAATAAGCAAACAGATTAGTGAGTAATTTTCCAGTTAAATTTGGTGATTGGTGCCAGAATTGTATGTTAAATATTCAGAAGTAAATAGATTAAAGATGAAATGTGCCCCCCTCCCTTTTTCCAGGCTTAATTTACTGTGTGTATTAAAATTTTTTCATGAGGAGAAAAAAAGTGAAAAATGATAATTAAAAAAAATCCAAATAAACCCCTCTGGGCCTCCTGGTGTAGCATGGCAGAGGCCAGGCCCTCCAGCCTCCTTGACTTCCTAGCGCTCCAGGGCAGGGCCAGCTACCTCCCCTGGACCCAAACTCCAACCCTCCCCAGGGGAGAGGCAAAGAGGATGTAAGATTCTGGGAACCTGGATGGGCTGGGGACCTCCCGGCCCCTGTGCGCTGGGGTTGTATTTCTTTACAAAGAGAAATCCCAAATCTATTAGCCCTAAAGTCAGACAGAGCTGAGAAAATGCAGGCAGGGGTGGAGGGAAGAGAGGCAGTTCTCGAGTGGGCACTCGAGGCCCCCGGGGTGCTGGGCTCCTCCTGGCACAGAGTGCTGCCTGGTTCTCAGTGACCAAGTGCCCAGGGCTAGGACCCAGGCCACCGGACACCAGCATGCCGTCCTGGCCTGGCTGTAGCCGCTGGTCTGCCGTCCTGGGGTGGGGGTGCTGAACAGTGGCTGTCCCCAGCACACTTGCCTGGCCAGGCTTTGCCACTGCTCACCCTCCTACAGTCCTTCCCACCTCCCGCTTAGGTTCTCTGCAGCGGCTCAGCTGCAGCAGTGCCTCTGACAGGGAGAGGCCGGTGAGTCACCTCCCCCACAAGCAAGTGTAAAAACGGAGGCCCGGAGAGGCCATTGGATTGTCCCAATTCAGGGACACAAATGAATCATCGGCTGCTCAGCCTGTGCTCTCTCTGCCGCCCCCTAGAGGACCTGGGCTTCTGGCACAGGCTCACCCTGGGCAGGTGGGCAGAGCCACACAGGAACAGGGGCAGAACAGGGAAGGAAGACTTGTGCCAGGCCAGGAGTGAGCAGAGAGGATGGGGAGGGGGTGGGGGGCACACCTAGGCCCAGCCTAGGAAGAAGATATGGGGAAAAGGGACTGCGGGTGGTGAGGGGCAGGTGAGGCCGATAGGCTCTAGGAAGGGCCTGGCACCAACCTTGGACACAGCCTCCTCCAGGGCAGCCCCTCATCCTCCCTTTGTCTCAGGGATCCCCTTCTTGTCAGTTCCAAATCACAAAGCACTGAGAATGTGGATGGAAGGGGAGATGAGAAATACGAGGAGTGGCGTCACCCTCTCCAGGGACCCCACTTCCCTGTCTTTCAGAGGCATCTCTGTGGCCCCAGCCATGCTGAGAGGACTCCCTGTCCTCTTGGGGTTGCAGAGAGCTCTCTTCTTCTCCTTTAGCCTCTGAGTGGCATGCCTGAGGGACAGGGGACGGTTCCAACCACCCCTTCCCAGCCTGGACATGCTGCACCTGTAATCCTAGGAAAGCCTCGCCCGGGCCACCAGGACAGCACCTCATGTAAACCCAAGACATGCAGGCAGGCCTCTGAGCCCACAGATCAGTCACAGGAAGATAGTGTGGGCAGACAGAAAGGGCATGTTTGTCCTGTCCTTGGTACCTGTCCAGCTCAGCCTTCTCTGAACCACTAGGCTACTGGTTCTCAAACAGGGCATATGAGAACCGCCTGAGACTCTTTCACAAAATGCATACAACCCCTACCCCCTCACACACATGTGGAATCCCCTATGGGTTATTAACCAGCTTACACAATGCAGTGAGGATTGCCACTCCTAGACTAATGACTTGCAGGTTTTAAAAAGTGGCCAAACCCTTTTTCAAAACAAATCTTTTGTATAAGCCCATTATGCAAAGCAGATAACAGCTTGGGGTAAGTGTCTTTATTTGCCACTCCCCTTCCCTTTCCCCACATTCTGAGTCATCTCAGGGGTTGGGGGAACCCCTAGAATTCTGCCAGAGAGCAGCTGCCCAGCACTAGGAAGCCAAGCCTCTAGTTTGTGGTCCCTGGATTGGTTCCTCCCAAGTAGCCTCCTTTATCAGTGGCTCCAGTGAGCCGAATGTGCTGTCGTGTCCTGGGTTGGCAAGGGATTGGAGGCAGAGCCAAGCCCATCCAAGTGCCGCTGAGGACAGCTGCTAAGGCCAGGAGGGCTGGTCCAGCTGGTGGTCAGCTATGGCCCCACTCTCTTTCTCAGAAAGTTTACAACCAACTTCTCTGAGAGTTCCCAAAAAGAGTGGCCAGTTAGGATTAGAGAGTGAATGGGCCTTAGCCTGAGATCCGTACCCTTCTAGTCATCCTTTCTGCAAGTAGAAGCCTTCCCTGGCTTCTTTCCTTTGGGACCAAAGCAACAAAGTCCTTCTCAGGCCTTCGGGAAGATGGGAAGGGGAAGAGGGGCCTGGGTCCTTGTCTTTACATCTTGGGATCCGACCAGGGTCCAGGGGACCCAAGGTATGCAGACACCTCAGGTTTTATTTTTTCTTTCTCTAGGAAAAAAGTTCCCAAATAAAACAATATTACTGAAAACATTTACTGAGCACCTGCTGTGTGTGGCCAGCATGGGGGACACGGCACTCTGACTTACTCATTGTCCCTCCCATTTGCAGACGCCCCCAGGTGTACCTGGTAACTTTTTTGACTGAGAGAAAAAGTTCCCACTTCGTTCCACAAGTGCCTGGCTCAGCTGAGTCCTGGCCTGTCCCCACCTGTCGTAGTGAACAGAGCCACATAGAAACAGGCCCTCCATTTCTGCCTCCTCACTGATCTGTTCTGGATTCACTATGAACACCATTTGACTTGGAAAACTACAGGTTATCCCTTCACTAACCTCCAGTAGTTGTTGTTGCTGGTTTTAAACTGCTTTCTATTTAAGACTTTCCAAAAGGACCAAACTTTGTTTCCCGTGAGGATTTAAACATCAGATAACAACCAAATGCATCAGAACACAGCTGGTGAACAGAGGTAGCAAGTGGCTACTGGACCAGGTGCTGTGACTCTGGAGCCGCGACTGGATTTCTTTCCGCAGAAGCCCCAGCCTTTTACTATACAATTACGGTGGGGACCAAGACCCCCATGGATGGCTGAAGAAAGCCTGTGCCATCACAGGGCAGGCTCTCTGTGCTGAGCTCCTTGCTAGACCTCTAGGGGACAATTCCCCTATGATGGGAAATTCTTGCCATAGAGAATCCACTCTGTCAGAACACAAACAGGGACACACAAATGCACATGCACTTCGTGCATGCTCATGTATGTACGTAAACAGATCCATACAGGGACACCCACAAAAGCAAACACACACAGGCACATACACATGCACACACACACACACACACGCACACACCCACACAAAATCCCCTAGACCTTTCCAAACACTTGGGCTATGGGAATGGGGCAGTGGCATGCTACTAAATCAGTTCTCCAGGTGGGGAAAAGGTCCTGGTTTACAGTGTTTGCCAATTTCCTTGATGTAAATGCCCCCACAGTGGCAGATTTTAAACAACTAATAGTTTAATAACTGACTCAAAAAATTCCTGAATATTTTCCAATTGTCTCTTATTGACTCCAACAAACTGCTGTCTTCAGGACCCCGTCCCAGGTCCGATTGCTGTAGGAGGGACCTGGTTGAGGTGGTCTGAGCAGATGGGAAAGCAAGGCGGGGTGTTGGCCTGGAGCAGGCCAAACCTGGTTGTCAGGGAGGAGGGTCGTTGAGTGCCGGGTTGCATAAGGATTCCACAAGCCCTGGGAGGCTTCAAGGGGCCTGCTTAGACTCTGAAGGGAGGAGCTACAGTCAGGTGGATGGTGTTGCTGGGCTGATGAATGACATTATCACAGCCACCCCAGGAGGATGTAGGCTCCCTATCACTGGAGGTTGGAAGCGGGGCCAGAGGACCACTCAGCTGGGATCCCAGGGAATAGTTCACAACTGCCTTCTCTTCCCCTCTCCCAGGAGCCTGCATGCAGGTCTTTTGCCCCTGAATCATACCACAGAGTAAGGAAGGGCGTGGGTTGTTCTTGGCCAACCTTCTGGAATTAGGAAACCCAGTTCCCACTGGTAAAGCCGGGCTGCCTGGCCTGCCCTCATGTGACACCAGGGACCACTTGCTGCTTGCAATGGGCTTAGCTGAGAGCCAGGCCCCCCCCTCTGTTTTCTGGCTTCTGTGCATGCCCTTTGTTGGCCTGGTGGGAGGGGCGTGGGCATCCTCTGGCTGCAGCAGCCTGGCTCTGGCTATTCTATGTCCTTACCAGGCCCATGTTCCCAAGAAGTGACCTTTCTAACATGATCCCGGGCCCCTGAACTTCCATTGCCTCGGAAGGCAAGTTCTCAGCTGAGAGGCTCACAAATAGATATATGTATGTGATGATGAGTACAGGAGTGTGGGCATGTGTGTGAAAGAAAAATAATTTTTAAAAATAGAAAAATAAGCCAGGCATGGTGGCTCACTCCTGTAATCCCAGAACTCTGGGAGGCCGAAGCAGGAGGATTGCTTGAACCCAAGAGTTTGAGACCAGCTTAAGCACAAAGTGAGACCTCTGTCTCTACAAAAAGAATACACAAATTAGCTGGGCATGATGGTGTGCACCTGTAATCCTAGCTACTCAGGAGGCTGAGGTAGGAAGACTGCTTGAGCCCAGGAGTTTGAGACTGTGGTGAGCAAAGATTGTGCCACTGCACTGTAGCCCGGGTGAGACTCTGTTTCAAAAAAAAAAAAAAAAAAAAAAACGAAAAGAAAAAAAGAAAAAAAAACAACTGTCATCTTACTGAGCACTTATTTTAACAAACAAGGCAGAATAGTACAATGATTATGAACGAAGATCTTGAAGCCAGACTACCTGGGTAGCCTGCTTCTTCCGTTTACCAGCTATATGATTTGGGGCAAGTTCTTCTTGGCTCAGAGCCTCAACTTCTCCATCTGTAAAATGGACATAAGAGTAGGACCTGTCTTATAGTGATGGGAACTAAACACACTGATATGGAAGGAAAGCACTGAGAATAGTACCTAGCACAAAGTAAGCACAATAAAAAGTGTTAGTTGCTTTTATTATTATCATTATCCAATAGCTCTGCACTACAAATTTGGAGATTTATTTAATTTAATCCTCACGATGGTACCATGAAGTTGGTGCTATTACTGTCCCCCTTTTGTAGACAAGGAGTCAGAAGTTCAGAGGTTAAATAACTTGCCCAATGTCCCACAGGGGTAAGTGGCATAGCCAAACCTCCAACTCTTAATTCCTGGAGTCACCTCACTGAAGGTCCTAACAGCAACCTAAGCCACAGGTAGGACACAATTAGTCTTTTTCAATGGGCAAATCCATAAAAACAGAGCCCACAGAGATCCATCCACCCCTGAAATCTGCAATAAATAGCAATGATAGAGCTTTCTCTTGTTTACTCCATCATGGCCACGGCAAAGGAGAAGCCAGAACAAACGGTGGGACAGCCACGAAAGGGCCTGCCTTGTTTTGCACCCCACGTGCCTCATCTGTCATCCTGCACAGATAAAAAGGCCCTTTGCCACCTAGTACCCAGGCATGAGGATATTTGGGATGGGAACCTGTCTCTGCCGGCAGGGACTCCATGTGGTTAAGACTGGGACATACATAGCTGTCTCTGATCTTATTTCAAGATGTTTTTTCCTTTAGCCATTGGTCAAAAGTTAATCCTTGACCCCATTCTAGATGGGGGCACCTCCATCTGTGTGATGTTGCTGATTGGGTGGTGGTATTTGTCACGGGCATCCATACGGGTGATCTCCAAACTGTCTTGCTTATTGTGCATGTGATTGCTAAAGTCTTCGGGGCACATGCACCCTGCATTAGAGAACACTGATCCAGTCAGGAACCATTACATAATTTTCTGAGACTGGTGCAAAATGAAAATGTGGCCCCAGGCCCAGATTTGGGAAGTCAGCCTCCCCTTTTCAGAGGCCCGTCACCACAACCCACAGCTGGTATGTGACCCCCAGGGATTACGACCTCCATGTCAGAGCTTGCTCAGTACCTGATTCTGGGATGAGGGAGAGGCCCCCATGGAGCTGACTGTGGAACACACCTTAGTTTCTCAGACCAGGGTGGATGGCTGCCACCTTGCCCCACCCTAGAAGCTGTGGGCACACACCTGGTCTTCCCTGCTTCTTTGCACGGAACACTGCCAGGGTGGAAGGTGACCGTGGAATGGGAGCCTTTCCTTGCCACTCTGACGGACCCTGCCTGGTGTGGAGGGCGGTGGCAGGCACAGCCCTAGGACAAGGAGGCTGAGGAGGCTGGGGCACTAGGTGGGAGGAATTAAGCCACTGAGAAGTCCTCCCTTCCAGGGAGGTAGTGGGAAGTAGGACTGTGCTCCAAGCCCGGGCACAGCCTCCATGTCCCATCAGGCTTCGCCACAAAACACACATTCAAAGATAAGATGATAAGAATTTCAAGCTGGCAACTGCAGGGCATGAAACTCTAAGCACGGGGCCCTTCTAGGAATGGGCCGCCACATCCAGGGCACAGCTCTCTGTTCAACAACCAAGTCCCACAGACCTGCACTCAAATGCCTCCCCTTTTCCAGGCCCCCTGAATCGTCGTTCCCCTGACCAGCTAGACGAGTCCCCCTCACTTACAGAATGAAGTCCTCACTCACTGCCCTCTGTGATGAGAGCTGGTTTCCTCCCCAGTCTCATCTGCCCCCTCCCACCCCACCCCTGTGCCCAGCCATGCCAAGAGATCTCATTGCCCTATGCCGCTCCTTTCTGCCTCTCCTCCTTTGCCTGTGCTGTCATCTGCTGAATGTCCTTCCCCACTGGCACCTGGAATGCTCCTAGTCGACCCCAAGAGTTTGTCTACTTTGCCACTAGCCTGGTGGAGTCTTTCCTGACCTCCAGGAAGAGGTGAAGATGGTTCCTTTTCTTTTGTCTCATTGCGCCTTATGCATGAACCTATTATAACACCTACTACATTTGTCCACCTATTTATTCAATATAGATTTGTGGAGCTTCTATTGTATTCGGTGTCAGCCTGGCTGACACTCTCTATTAGTCTGACTCTCTCTTGAGGGATAACCAGCCCCAGCGGTCATTGTCTGAGTTCTAGTCATCTTCATATCTTCAGAGCCTGGAGGCAAGTAATAAATATCTGTTGAATTAAAGAATGAATGAATGAATGAATATCTACTAGGGCCACCTCCAAGTCCCATATCTACTAGTATTTAGAGCCAACACATTGAACCAGTGTCTGGTTGCAAAGCCTTGCAGGCATGAAATAGGGGCCTTATTGGGGTGGGGTGGGCATTGAGGAGTAGGGTGATTGGGACAAGGCCGCAGAGGCCAGGGAGGCAACAGAAGAAAAGATGGGCAGATGCCAGAGCAGGCAGGGTCTGGAATGCCCAGGTAAGGATTTTGCACCTGACTCTGGAGGCAATGGGGGCCACTGAAGTTTTCACTGAAGGACCTTTGGCTCCTGTCGTAGGATGGGTTAAGGCAGCAGTCCCCAACATTTTGCCACCAGGGACTGGTTTCATGGAAGACCGTTTTTCCACAGATCGGGTAGGGAGTGGTGTAGGGTGGATGGTTTGGGTATGAAACTGTTTCACCTCAGATCATCAGGCATTAGATTCTCATAAGAAGTGCTCAAACGAGATCCCTCGCATGCCCATTTCACAATAGGATTCACGCTCCTATGAGACTCTAAGCTGCTGCTGATCTGACGGAGGTGGAGCTCAGGTGGTCATGCTTGCTTGCCTGTCACTCACCTCCTGCTGTGCAACCCGGTTCCTAACAAGCCGTTGACCAGTACCGGTCCGCAGCCTGGGGGTTGGGGACCTTTGGATTAGGGGATGGGGAGACAGTTCATTCATGCAGATGCTGATACAGGCGGAAGGGTAGTTTGGGCTCAGTAAGGTTCACTGCCAGGGCATGAGAGCAGCAGGGTGGGAAGCTGCAGAGAATATTCTAGACCTGAAGGATCAGTTCTTTACCACCTGCCCCCTGTCGCATTCCCACTGACTGAGAATATGTCCTTCCAAAGCCACCAAGGACCAAAGGTCATCTCTCTCCATATCACTTCCCAAGTTCTTTGGCCTTGATAAATTATTAGAAAACATAATAACACTTAGGAACCAGAGATAATGGGATGTTTGGTCATGGCTTTGAGGAGTGTTTATCTAATTTCTGATTATAATACTAGATTCATTCTCCGATTTTGGAGAAAAAGTGCATGCACATGCACACTATACAAAATATGCACCCTGTGTCACATCCACAAGGGAGCACATGCATGCAGTCTCAAAAGGACATGACACACACACACCACCCAGCTGTGTATACATGTACACACAGGGGCTGGAGAAGGGACAGGGCAGCTGTCGTCACAGTCACCACTCAGAGTGACTGTTCCTACCCACTCCTGCTAGGGTCCCACCCACCCTGGCTCCCCCAACCACACTTACCTGTTTGGCACTTGAATCTAACCTCACCCTGTTCCCTTGGGGACGTCATGCACCCTGATCTCACTCCCTCGATACCTGGACCCTCTAATCTCACCCCACTCTGCCTTTGTCTGACCCCATCCTCGCCTCCCCACTCCCAGTGACCCCACCCTGACTTCACACATCTTGACTCCCACCTTGACCTCATCCAACTCTGATTTTGTCCCCACTTTGATTATGGCCCCGCCTCGTACACAGCACGTGCTCAGGGCCATTTTCCACGCAGGCCTTTGAGGTGGGCTGCCCTTCCGGCGACCGTGAAAGAAGTGAGCCTGGCCCCGCGTCTCTGTTCTCTCCTCAGCTCTAAACATGATCACATTTTCTTCAGCTGCCTTCACTAATTTTGGAAAGAAAGTAGGATATAAATTAAATCAATAGGTAACTATATATACTCAAGTCTCCCCAATCATTACCAAAACCCACTTTTTTCATCTTTGTTTCCCCGACTGCCTCCCACACATAGGAACCCCTTCCGTTCCTGTCAGGTCTCTGCGGGCTACATGGCTGCCCTGGCTTCTGTGAGTTCTTTCCTGCTTGTGTTGCCTGACTCCCGCCCCGCCCCCCCTGCTGCCCCACCAACTTCTCCTCTCCTCCCTGCCTCACTGGCTGCTCCCCACTCTCCTCTTCCGCCATTGGCATCTGAAATGTTGATGTTCCCCGGGGCTCTAACGCAGACCCCTTCCTTGCATCAGACATGGCCCTCCCAATCTAGCCCATCCCACGGCTCCTCACACGGTTCAGCTGTGCACTGAAGCCCCCGCATCTCTGTCCCCAGCCCTGAGCTATCCCCTGGGCTCCACACCCTCGTAGCAAACAGATTCCAGACATTTTCACTTGGGAGATCCATGTTCAAAATGCAACCCATCACTTTCCTCCCACCCCAACTCACTGTCCTTGGTCCAAACTGCCCTTCCTCCCATATTCAGCATCCTGCCAAATGGCAATCCCATCGCACAGGTTTGTCTGGAAATTCTCCACAAGCTTGGCATCATGCTAGGCCCTCCACCTCTCTCTTTTTCTCTTCACTCAAGCTCAACAGTCATGAGGTCCTGTTCATTTCGCTTCCTTAAAGAGCCTGTTGGATCTGGTTCCCCTTTTCCACTGCCTTCGTCACCCTGGCCCAGCCACCCTTGGCTCATCCAGAAGACTAGCTGGAAGCATTTCCTGTCTGTTCTATCTCTCCTCCACATTTCCCCAACCCAGAGCAACCTTTCTAAGACAGAAAGCACATCATGTCTTTGAACCGCGTGGAACCTTCAATGTATTCCCACTGCCTGCAGAAGAAAGTGAAGGATCTTTACCATGCCATTCCAGTCTCTTCACAAAGTGGCTCCTGCCCACTATTTCTTCTTCCTGTGCCTTCCACCACCTCTGTAGCTCTGCCCCAGCCACCCTACTTCCCATCTCACCACACTCCCAACAGGCCACTCCTTCATGCCTTTGAGGATTTATCATTTTATGAGCCTGTTTTGTTCCAAGCACTGTGCTAGGAACTGGGGGTGCAGTGGTGAAAATCCAAGGGCTCTGCCCAAGGAGCTCACATTCCACTGGGGGAGACAGACAGGAGGACAGGCAAGGACAGAATAAAGTTGGGAGGGGGGTGGTGCTACTGAAGACATTAACTCAGAATGTGAGGAATCCAGAGCTGCTTTAGACGTGGGTGTCAAATGCAATGGAGAGGGAGGAGTGGATTTGGGGAGGCCAGTCTAGAGCTACTGCAGTGACCTAGGAGAGAAATCATGGTGCCTGGCAGGAGAGGAGGCAATGGGAATGGAAGGATCTTCAGAAAGTGGAACAGGCAAGACCAGATGACTAGTTCATTGTTGGGGGAGAGAGAGGAGTCCAGGACCATCCCAGCGTTTCTGCCTCAGGCAATTGAGGTGATGGCAGTCCCGTTCACGAAGGGAAAGTCGAGGGGGTGGGAACAGAGGTGGGCCTCAGCTCTGCCCTATGTCCTTGGTTTCTGTTGCTATTGTTTTAGCTAACAGTCATGGGTACATACTAGAGCCAAGCCAGGGCTACGTGTTTTGCCTGCTTTATCTGATGGAATCCTCACAATACAACGAATATCTCCATTTTATAGATGGGACTGCTGAGGCTCTAGAAAGTTAACTAATCTGCCTAGGTCCACATAGCTGGGCAATGAAAGAGTGAGGATGACAGCCCAGGCCTGGCTGACTCTGAAGACCCCCCTCTCTTACCAGTTGCATTATATCACCTCCCTGGATGGTAGCCCCTGCCTGCGGGTGTGAGGTTTCGTGGGGCTGCACTGGTCTTGCATCCAGGGCTACTCATTGGAGTTTTCACCTCCATTCACTGCTCCCAGCTCCTAGCTGGAGCTTGCTCTTCTCCCACATGGCTCTGGATTCGTGCAGGGACAGGCTTAAATGCTGGGGGCTCAGCTTGGTGCCTGGTGGCAACTCGTGATGAAGGGCAGGAATCCAGAGTTGGGGCAGTGATCTGACTTCTGTTTACATGTCTCAGAGCCAAGAGCTGTGCCCACCCAGGACTCTCCTCTCCCACCATCACCTCCCTTCCACTCTCTGAGCAGGGCCTGTGGCACAGAGGGCAAGGTGCTTTGCAGAACTTGTGGAGGCTAGGTTGGGAGAGCTGGCCCTGTGGAGTGGACACACAAGGCAGGCAGGGGGCGCCACAGACCCTGTGGGCCCTCCAGGGCGAATGGACCACGCCTGTAAGGCTGCACCTGATGCGCTCCCCTGAGCATCAGGCTCTGGAAAATCAATACCAATTTCCACTTTCAGTGCCCAGCGACACTCTTTCATCACATTTCACGCTTCCTCTGCATTGTTGGGACTGAGACAGTTCTCTGGCCACGGCCCCAACCCTAATCTCTGCGCTGGCTGATATGCCCAGTGAACACGTGGTCCTTGAACCTGTGGTCTGTTTCTCTACCTTGGATCTTGGGGTCGCCCACATGCCTGTCATGTCACCCGTAGACACACCCATCCCTACCTCTCCTTACACACATGCTTGACCCTCTGGGAATGAGGTTTTCAAGTGACCCACATTTTCCAGATAGTGTAATGTGTGGCCATTGAAGCACCAACAGTTTATCACTTAACCCTTTGGATGAAAATCATCCCCAGAAGTTTCTAGATCTCCCTTTACATAAAAAAAAACCTATACCTTTATTTCTTTTTATTAAAATAATAAATATGCATTATACAAAATTTGGCAACTGTAGGCCATTATGAGGAGAAACCATTTCATTCAGGAGTCATTAATGAAGAAGAAAGGGTACACAGGTGTGCATGCACATAGGGTCTGTAAGGATTTGCGTGCGTCCACTAAGAGGGGGATATATGTTTATTACAGCTCAAACACCACCTCCTCAGAGAAGGAAGGAGACCCCATGTCTCCAATCAATTTCTGTTTTGTACCCCTTACTATTTTCTTCATAGCAGTTATCCCGCTCCAAAATTCTCTGACTTCTTAGTTAACTATCTTGCAGAGCTGTGACATTGCACAGCTTCAAGGAATGCTGTTCGCATTACATTCTTCATGCAGGGTGCACTGCTGTCTCAGAGTTGTGCAGTGTGCAACTGTGTGACCATACACAGCAGCCTTGCGCCGTCTTTCATTAAAGTGTAAACTCCATGAGAACAGGGAACTTGATCCACAGTGAAAACGCCTTTGCAAAATTATGACTGAGGCAGCAAAAGAGATGTGACCTAACCGACTCCATCTTGGTTCTAACCTTTTAGCTGTCCTTGTTCCTTCCTGGGCGTAAGCCAATCTAACTTTGGAAGGAACTTAGTTTACAGTTTATTGTTTAAAACAAAGATGATAACAGCTCTTTCCCAAAATAAACCTCCTTCTTGCCTGGGACTAGACTGCCTTTGTAGGACTAACAAATTAGCCACAAGATTAGAAATTATGGTTTAGGAGTCATGAAACTGGAAGCTACAAGATTCTGACCCTCCCTAAATGGCTTCTAAGATCAGTGCTTGAGATATTTTGCAGACCTGCACTTGATGGATCAGCTGGCACCATCCAGATGGATAAACTTGTGGCCCCCATCCAGGAACTGAGTCAGTGCAAGAGGACAACTTCAACTTCCCGTGATTTCATCTCCTGCATAACCAATCAGCACTCCCGGCTCTTTGGCTTCCCCCCACCCACCAAGTTGTCCTTAAAAACTCTGATCCCATAATGCTTGGGGAGACTGATTTGAGTAATAATAAAAGTCTGGTCTCCCACTCAGCCGGCTCTGCGTGAATTACTCTTTCTCTATTGCAATTTCCCTGTCTTGATGAATCGGCTCTGGCTAGGTAGTAGGCAAGGTGAACCCCTTGGGTGGTTACAACAGTGCCTAGTATATAGTAGGTGCCTAACGTACAAAGTGTTTGTTGAGTGAATGAACAAACACAGTTCTGCCTAAGGATATAGCTTCTCATAGCCTCTATCTGGTCCCTCTCCTAGCTCCAACTCAACTGAGAATCAGGCAGGAAGCAAAAGGCTCTGATCTTACTTTGCGGACAGTTCCCATGCTCTCAGAGTCTATTTCATCTTCTTTCTCAAAACATTTGTAAGGTTTGGTTTTCTAGTCTTCGTGCTCCAAAGTTGATTTCCTGGTCTCCAGCTCCCTAAAGATTAGGAATAGCATGAGGAAGTGAGGGTGCTGTGGACAGACACCCCAACTATAGCCTGACATTAAGAGAAGGGACAGAGACACAGCACGCATCCAACCACAGAGCTCAGGAAACGCGGTGCTGGGGCATTCTGCAGCCATGATAGCCTCAAAGTGCATCAATATATTATATCTCCAAACACAGCGGCGACCTTGGCTATCACAAGAAGATTAAATCCTGTCTAGAGTGCTCTCTTTAGGAAGCATGGGAGGCATATGGTATTCATTTTTTATTCAGTTCTTTCAAGTGGCTCCTCACCCCAGCCATTCTGTACACTCTGGCCTATGGGCCCACACGAACCTATTTTGAAGACGAGAGGAACACAGCCGTGTTGTCTCCAGTGGTTTAGCTGATCTGGAAAGCAGAATCGTGGTTCTGCTCTCCCCTGTCCCCTGCACCCTCCACACCAGATTTTCTGCTGTTTCTCACCCACCCTGGCTCCCCAGGGAGTGGATTCTGGTGCACCTAAAGCAGATCAGCCTTTGCAACAATGATTAATTGACACCAGCAGTTTAGGGATGCTTATTTGCACACAGTTATGAAGTGTCACAATATGTCTCAAATGCAAGCGGCTTCTCTTAGAAGCAGAACGGCAGAGCGGGAAGCGCCAGCAATATTTCCTTAAAAGTTCATCGTAGGCAATGGGGTAGGGTGGGAAGCTAAACAAATCCGGGCAATAATGGAAATGTAGCATGAAATTGCTTCTGTAAACAACAACCATTCATTATTTGAACATTTTTCATAAGCGAGCAGGCAGGGAGAGGGACGGGGCAGCGGGTGGGAGGGAGGGGGCTGCAGCAGACAGGGCCCGTGTACCCACTGGAGTTTCTGGGCAGAGCTTTCTTGGGGCTCCCCGTGCCCATCTGTCTTCAGAAAAATGCCGAGGCCAGGCTCCGTTCTGCCCAGCGCCTGCCGTCAGGTTCCCTTTCTTCATTAAGCGGGATTGGCGCAGGCAGAAGGAATGTATGATTTAAGGAGGAAAGAGAGACCCACTACTTAATGTTGATTTGGCGGAGTGTATAACCCCGGAGAGAAATGTAAATAGCAGCCTGCAATAACATGACAGCCCACTAATCATATTTACAAACGATATTAAATCTGTCCGCACGCAGGCCTGCCTGCGGATTGGCCCGGCCGTAATTGTCATTGTAACCAGTGCCGGCTTATGGGAGGATTTAACTGCAGTGATATAAGGTGAGTCGCGGGCTTATTATGACTTTATTATTACCCGGTTTATGTTTATTAAAACAATTTGTCATGCAGAGCAGGAATGGAGGGATGGGAGCATTAAATCGTGCCGTACTCAACCTGGAGAGATGACTCCAGGGATGGATGGCAGCAGGCCCCGAGCCTCTACTCGGTGGCTTCTGGAGCTGTGGACCCGTCAGCACTGGCC
Source organism: Homo sapiens (assembly GCF_000001405.40). Taxonomy (NCBI): domain Eukaryota; kingdom Metazoa; phylum Chordata; class Mammalia; order Primates; family Hominidae; genus Homo; species Homo sapiens. The sequence continues at coordinate 8,315,335 of NC_000011.10, read as the reverse complement.
ACCCGGAGCCGTGGCCTGGCTGAGGAAGGCCACTCTAGCAAAACCTCAGAGCCGGGCAACACACAGCTGAAAGGCGATTCTGTGGCCCTAACTGCCTTTCAAATAGGAGTTGACTCAGAACAGTGATGGGAAGGACGAGGCCCCGAGTTATTGCTGGTGTTTGCAGGGATGGCCGTGAGGGCCACACCTGGGGCTCCTCTAGATGGCTGGGAAAGGAGCCAAGCCTTGCAAGTCTCCGAGACAGCCTGCAGAGGCTCAGCACAAAAGGTCTTGGAAGAAGTTTAATAAAAGCTGTTTTATTTTCTCTGGGGGTCCTTATTGGTTATTATCAAATTTATTTCATCCCCAATCTTTGTTCTTTGGCAAGGCAGAGAAAAGGGAAGGTGGTGGTGGGGGGGCGCTGAGAGGAATAGATCCATACGACTAGTAAATAATACTCCCTTTCCCCAATCCAATTACCTAAGGCAGAGAGGCTCCAGGAGGTTGGAGGGCTGAAGTAGCAGCTCCAGGTGCAACTGGGGCTGTAGCCTTGTGTGCAGACATCACAATCTCAGACACCTGCTCTTGCTGCCAACCCCAGGGAAGGCCCCACATGCGAGGGATGGAGGGGCAGGAAGCCAACCAGAACTGGGTCTGTCACAAAAGCTTCAGAAATGTGACCCTTGGTCAGAGTGCCCTAGAGAAGCTAGAGCCAAACTGTGGCAAGGCCAGTCTTCATGGGAGAGGTGGCTGCCTCTTAGCTAAAAATGTCCCCCTCTCTTCCGGGCCTCCACTAGTCCTTTCGGTGCCTCTGTATTACAGTACACACACACACACACACACACACACACATACACACACACACACACACAAACACACACACACACACACACACAGTTCCTCTGTGTATTACAGTGTATCAAATACAGCAGCATTGTATGTAATATATTTACATCTATATTACACAGTAATATACATACAATGCCTCTGTGTATGTTAGACCATGTGTGCCCAGGGACTGGTGAGAACAAAGTCTGGATTCCATTCTTCATTTGCCCCCTTGTGTAGTGCACAACCTACACAGCTGTACATGATGGCCCTACTCCCTGCCAGCAGCCTCATGGCCTGAAATGCGACTATTTCAGGAACTCACAAACCACATAATGTTTCCAAAGCCATTAGTGTCCTGGGCAGCAAAGTAGAGGGTCTCTGGAGGGCACAGTGGGGAATGAGAAAGGATGTTCCCATCATCACCATCTGCCACGATGTATTTCTCAGGTCTTGAGCCTCATGGTGGGTGAGTGAAGGATGGGACAGACAAACTGTGCAGCCTCCTTTCCGAGACTCTGAGCAGTGCTGCCTATGGGATGTGATTCTGGGTGGTCCCAGCAAGGCATGCTATGGGACATGGTGCCACCTCTCCCCAGGGGTGTGGCTACCTGGCTCCCAGTGGCTGCCTCAGTGGCAGGGTGTCTCTGTGGGGGTCACCACATTCCTGTGCTCTGCCTTTTCTCTGCCCAGCCAAGAGGGTCTGATTGGGCTTCCTAAGTCTGGCCTTTTGGGCACTGGAAGTGACCTGCTCAGCTGGAGCCCCACCTTCCCTCTGGGTGCCCTCCCAGCTCACATGCTCCCTGTGGTGGGGAACTCTCTCCCTCCAGAGATGCCTCTCTGGCTGTTGGAAGCCTTTCCCGGGACACCCCCACTGCACCCAGGGAGGACCCTGACCACGAGGCCCATCCCCGCGGCTCCCCTGCAGCTGCTCTTCCGTGTGGTGCTTCTGCAGGGGGCTCTGGCCCCCTCCCTGTGGGAGTCCTGTCTCCTGGTGCCCTGGGGTCCCCACTGGAGAGTATTTCCCTGCCGACAATGTCCCAGGCTTGTGCTCTCCTGTGAGTACAGCCTAGACAGGGGCTGAGTTGGGCCCCCACCCCCAGAGCCTGACCCTGGGGGACTTTAGCTAATTGTGGGCCCCGCTTTCTGGGCCTGGGGACACCTGTGGGCCTTGGGTTCCCTTTGTCTCACTTAAGAAAGGAGTCACGAGCAGTGGTTCAGAGAGGAACAATAAGCCTTTATTGCGGCTGCCCTTCTCCACAAACGCTCAACCTGCTGGCCAGCGGAGAGCCGTGCTGGCAAATTAAAAGTCTCTAAACTTTCTTTATGTCTCCTTGGATGCTCCAGCAGCTTTAACGCTGAACTGGCTGGCCTGGCTGAGAGACAAAGAGGCCAAGCTGGGGTCACGGCCAAGGCCGTAGGACAGGGAGGATCTCACTGAATGGTCCCCCACTGGCCCGTGGATGCAGATGGGGCGGGGTGGGGTGGAGCAGGTGAGGGTCTTGGCTGTGGTGCTAGGGGTCTGGGGCCCATAGGCTTGGGAAGGCCTCTTGGGGCAGTTGGCTGGACAGGGGTATGGGGTGCTGCTTCCTAAGTCTCCATTGTCTATGGATGGCAGACATGGAGGCTCCTCTAGCTGCCTCTGAAGTCCTCTCTTAAGGAAAGCACAGCCTGAAACCAGGGGCAAAGGAAGCCTGTTCTAGACCCCAGAGAGCATTAGCTCCCTTACCACCACTCTCCTGGGTGAGTCCTGAGACTGGGAGGTCACTAGAAGAGGCTGGAGGACCAGGTCTGTGCTACCACAGATGAGCACACTGCCCCTGCCACCTCCCACCAAAAACTTTGGCTCACCAGGGCCGGGTTGAGAAGGTGAGGCTGGGACAGCCCCTGTTAACCCTTGTGGTCCCGGCATTATCCACAGCACCTCTCTTCACCCTCCAGAGTGCCAGGGTTTCTTGTTGTGTGCCAGCTGGGTGCTGGGCCATGCCATCTTTGCAGGACAGCTGAGTTACAGCATCAGCAGGGAGTCACCTGGGCCAAGAAATGTCACCCCTCACCCCACAAAAAACGTGCCAGGATTTGCAGAATAGAGAGGAACTCTGTGGGGGTGTACTGACTTGGAGGGGGCATAAAGGAGCCTTCTGGAATGCTTGAAGTGACCGAGACCTTGATCTGGGTGGTGATTCCATGGGTGAGCACATACATAACAAGCCATCGACTCGCACGCTCTGCTGTATGTATATTGGACATTACGGTGATGAAAAGCAAATAGACATAGGCCCTGCCCTGAAGTACGAATGAATCCCAGCTCTCCTACTTCCCAGCTGGATGACTTTGGGCATGTCACCCAACATCTCTGAGGCTCTGGTCTTCATCTACAAATGGGGAGAACATCACCTACTTCTTTCCCACTAACCTGAGCCCTCCATGAGAACAGAGACTGCACCTGACTCTCCTCTGTGTCCTCCTTGACCCCTGCGAAGGGGCTGGCTCAAGAAATTGCCGATATAATAAGAGCCTCCTCCAGGTCAGAGGGACCTCACAGCTCCCCAGGAAAACATCTCACCTTATTTTACCAAAATCCTAGTAATAACATCTCTCTTGGTGCCTCCTCACATCCCTCCAACTACTCTTCCATAAGGGGCTTGGGGTTACCTCTTTCTTCCTTGGAGAAGTGGGGGAAAAACTAGGGGACTGAGGCTGCGGCAGGGCCTGGAGCCCTTGGGGGTGTTGGGCCAGCAGGGCTTGGTTTGGAGAGGGGCCAGAGAGGGGTTTGCTTTCCTTGGCAGGGGACGGATGGGGTAGAAGAGTGTACCTAGGACAAGGGCCCAGCAGTGAGACCTTTGCTGGGACTGATTCTCTGGGACAAAAGAGGACTTGGGTTTAGGTCATGGCTGAGGAGGATGTTTCCAGCACTGTGCACACCCGGGACATGGCCCCTGCCCGCCAGCACACCCCGTGTCTCCCAGGCCCCATCAGGCTGGACGGCCCAGGCTCCTCTTGGGGGAAGGGCCCCTGCCCTCCATCCCTCTATCTGATTGTCTGCGAGGCTAGTTCTTGGCAATTTCTTGCTCCGTTTCTTTAATCCCGGATTCTCTTCAAGCGCAGAAGGAAGAGGAAAAAGCCAAAGGCCGAGGTGGAGAATAGGGAGGGGGATGTGGGGGATATGGGGGAGGTATGAAAAGAGATGAAGGAGGTCACTCCAGCCTGAGGCACCCAGGTTTCATCCTAATGGGGACAGCAAGTGCCCTTGAGGGTCCAGAAGGGAGCTGGAGCCCCAGGCTGGGGCTGCGTCAGTCCTGCTCTTCAGCCTCTCTAGTGCTGGGAGGTCGGTGTAAATGGTTTGTGTGCTGACACTGCAGGGCTACAGTCATTTCTATAGGCCAAGAACAGAGCCCTGGGGTGAAGGTACTGGCACCTCACCTTAGTTCAGCAACCTCCTAGGCCCTGTGCTGAGACTCAGGCAAGACTCGGGCCAGGGCTCAGACACAGGCTAGGCCAGTGCTGAGGCGTGCAGGCTCCGGAATAGCATCTTCCCCACTGGCTGCTGAGAGCTGGGGGCCCAGGAGGGGCAGGGAGGGCCCTGAGAGGTCAGCTGAGCCAGCACACCTGCGCTCCTCCCGTGCCTTGCCCTGCCTCCCCGCTCAGGCCTCAGAAGCCTTTCTGCTTCCAGAGAAGCAGGGGCGGTGAGGGTCTGTGGCACAAGGGCGAGCCCTGGAGAATGGGGCTTGTGTGGCGTCTGCAGCTTCTTAGAGGAAAAACCTATTGAGAAGCTCAAATCATGGCAGTAATTAGGCTACTTATTTTGTAAAAGTCCAAATTAAATGGAAAATCTGGTGCTAATGAGAATGTTCCATTTTCTCCTTTTATTAAATCTAGCTCTGTGCCTTCTAAGAGTTTGGGAATAGCCAGCCCCTGATGTCTTTCTCACAGCCAGTTCATATCCTCTGATTGTGGAGTTGCTGAGACAGAACACACTCACAGGGCCTCCAGTTACCGGCTCAGTTGAAAAATGTCCTTCATAAGGCAGCAGCATTAACCCACCCCCAGCCACCCACACCTCCAGCCCTTCCCCCCATCTCCACCAACCCTCTCTGGCCTATCACCATCAGCTGCGTGGGCCCCCAGAAACCCAGACCCAACAGGGAGGGGCTGGTGTGGGTCCAGGAAAGCTGGGCTTCTGGTCTACCCCTTCTGGAGCCCAGCTTCTTCTCTAAAGAGCCTGGGACCCTACCACTTCCAGCTGCCTGCCTCCTGACAACAGTCCCAGGGAGGCTGAAGCCCACAACCTTCTGATTAGACTTGCACTTAGATCCCATAATTACCAATTAGGGGCTTCAGGCAATGCAGTTTGCCTCTCTGGGCTTCAGGTCCTCACCTGTCAATTGGGGGTAGTGCTACTATTAGCCTCGTAGAGTGTTGTGAGTGTGAGTGGAGAGAAGGCATTGCAGAGCACCTGACACACAGCAGGGTGCAGCACCTGTCTATGGCCAGGTCCCTCTGAAGCCTAGTCTCTAGCGAGAGTAGGGATATGCATTCTGTCACTCTAGTCTTTCCAGGATTTCCTCTGGAAGGTTTGGCGGGGGTGGGAAGGGAGGAACTAGAGGAGGAGAATGTCTTGGGATACACCCCCATGCCAGAGTAGGTATTGGGAGGAACAGCCTATCTGGTCCTGGCCAGTAGGATGCCTGGGCTTGGGAACCTGGCTGTCAAGGATAGGGAGGTCAGGGGGTGTATGCGAAAAATCATCCCATTCAAACAAAGAGATAGGAACAGACACATAGACAGACACACACACACAGGCTCAGTCCCAGCCCTCTTCAATGGGGCTGTCGAGGCCTTGGCAATGGGTCCTCAAGGAGACCTGCAGCTTGAAGCATAAGCCACACTTAGAATCTGCATTTCAATTCAATTCCCGGTTAGTCTACCCATAAGGGTTTACCAAGAACCTCAAGCGTTTCTAACACGAGGCTAGAAGCTGGGGAGAGAGCAAAGCCACAGCCACCACAGAATAGGCCCATCAGACTCAGGCTCCTCGTCTTGGTGATGCACATCCTCACCTGAAACTCAGATGTGAAACGTGACTGTCGCTTGACTCTTCTCCCTTCATCATCCCGTCCTTCATTACCCCCATCTATGGTGTCGACTTCTTTCTTAGTTTCCTACCTGATCATGCCCTGATCCCTGCCCCACAAGGCTTCCCTTCCTGCTATCTCATTTCAGCCTCCTCACCAGGATTATTGTAACAGTCTTAGCACTCCAGCCCTCTCTCCTGCAGGCCCCAGAGGGAGCCTCCTAAAATGAGCATTTGAATTTGTCACCCTCTGCTTCAATCTCTCCAATCACTGTAAAGCCTCTGTTATGTTCAGCATAAAATAAAACTTGGTTGTCCACGCATTCTGCATCTCTGTCACCTCCCCAGCCTACTTCTTTTCTGATCATGTCCCCCTTCAGCCCACTCCCCAGTCACACCAAAGAGCCTGTGGTTTCTCAAATGCTAAGTGACCTCTCATACTGCAGGTGGACTCCAGTTGCCTTTGCCTTCTTAGGATTTTTTCTCACTTCTGGGAACAGAATCCTTCTCTCATGTGAGGAGCCAGTTCTATGTGGTTTGGATAAGATGGGCAGGTGATCTAGTCTGTGATCTAGAACAACAAGAACACCTTATTCTTCTAGGGACAATGATTAATGTAGGAATGTGGACATGGCCCAAACAGGACCTGTTAGAATCTTCTCTGGGAATTTTGGCTTGAACTTACAAAAGAGAGCACCACTTACTTGTAATGGTAAGCCAACAGGAAGTGAGTCTGAGGTTTTTGAGGACCATCTGATTCACTGTGTAGAGAAAGTCTATCTGATAGATATAGAAAGAGATAGAGGCCAGGCACAGTGGCTCACACCTGTAATCCCAGCACTTTGGGTGGCCAAGGCAGGAGGATCGCTTGAGCCCAGGAGTTCAAGACCAGCCTGGGCAACATGCTGAGACCCCCATCTCTATTTTCTAAAATTAAAAAAAAAAGAGATTAAAGCTGGCAATTAATTAAGCTTCTGGATCCAGTCTTGCCTGAAGTCATATCACATGGACTGTTCACTTATGTAAATCTTTTTTAACTTTTTTTTTTTTTGGTCTAAGCTAGTTTGAAATCTTGACTAAGACAAGGCTGAATTGATCTACAGTTGATGTTCACACTGATGGCAATTCTCATCTCCCTTGTCTTATTGGAAAATAAGTCAAATCATTTTAAAATTCATTTCAACTCTCAACTCCTTTAAGAAGTCTCTTTTTCAACAACATGATTGTGATGTGATACCCCTACTCCACAGCTTAATTCCTACTGTGGCAATTACCATTTCTGCAACCAAATATGATCATTTTGATGGGAGGACTCCTGTCTAATTCAACTCTATATTCTCTGTACCCAGCACATGACCAGACACCAGGCAGAGGATAGAAAATACGATTCCATTAACATAAAGATGAAAAACAGTCAAAACTCATCAACACTGTTTAGGAACACATACACAAGTGGTAAAACAGTAAGAACAAAGCACAAAAATGAGTACCCTAAAGATAGGGCGAGGGATGATTAGATTCTCATAGAAGTTTGCAACCTAGATCCCTCACATGCACAGTCCACAATAGGGTTCGAGATCCCGTGAGACTCTAATGCCGCGCTGATCTGACAGGAGGCAGAGCTCACTGGCAGTAATGCTCACTGGCCCACCGCTCACCTCCTGCCGTGCGGCCTGGTTCCTAACAGACCACAGACTGGTACTGGACCATGGCCTAGGGGTTGGGGACCTCTGCCCTAAGAGTCAGAGTGGTGGATACCTCTTCCTAGGGAACAGGAAGAGAATACAGCTGGAAAGGGGTATACATAAGGTTTCTGAGATCCTGGAAATGTACTGAGTTTTGTTGTTGTTGTTGTTGAGACAGTGCCTCGCTCTGTCACCCAGGCTGGAGGTGCGGTGGCATGATCTCGGCTCACTGCAAGCTCCACCTCCTGGGTTCACGCCATTCTCCTGCCTCAGCCTCCCGAGTAGCTGGGACTACAGGCACCCGCCACCACACCTGGCTAATTTTTTTTTTTTTTTGTATTTTTAGTATAGACGGGGTTTCACTGTGTTAGCCAGGATAGTCTCGATCTCCTGACCTCGTGACCCACCCATCTCAGCCTCCCAAAGTGCTGGGATTACAGGCGTGAGCCACTGCGCCCGGCCAAAATGTACTGTTTTTTAATCTGGGTGACAGTTACATAGATGTTTACGGTATATTTCTTTAAATTCTGTGTATTAACATATTCTTTTATACATATTATATAGTTCACTACAATAAAGAAAATAAGTGAGGTGCTTTGGACCCAATTTTTTAAATTGTTTTATAACTTTATTGCACTGAAGTCATAGAATCTGTCACTAATATATCAAATTTTTATTATCTGTTAACGCTTCCTTTGTGTCCTATTATATAGTCAGTTTTTATTTATTTATTTATCTATTTATTTTGAGATGGAGTCTCACTCTGTCGCCCAGACTGGAGTACAGTGGCACGATCTTGGCTCATTGCAACCTCTGTCTCCCGTGTTCGAGAGATTCTCCTGCCTCAGCCTCCCAAGTAACTAGGATTACAGGCCCCTGCCACCATGGCCATCTAATTTTTTTTTTTTTTTTTAGACAGAGTCTTGCTCTTGTTGCCCAGGCTGGAGTGCAGTGGCGCCATCTCGGCTCACTGCAACCTCCACCTCCTGGGTTCAAGCGATTCTCCTGCCTCAGCCTCCGGAGTAGCTGGGATTAGAGGCATGCACCACCATTCTCAACTAATTTTGTATTTTTAATAGAGACCAGGCTTCTCCATGTTGCCCAGGCTGGTCTCAAACTCCCGACCTCAGGTGATCCGCCCACCTCAGCCTCCCAAAGTGCTGGGATTACAGGCATGAGCCACCGCGCCTGGCAAGTTTTTAAATGTTCCACTTGAAAACGAAGTGTACTCTTTAATTATTGGAAACAAGATTTTATATATGGACATCAAACAAATGTTAATAATTTTATCTGTTTCATCAATTTCTGGAAAAGGAGTGTTAAAATTTCTCATTACAAATGTAGGTTTGTCAGTTTCTCCCACAAGTCTGTCAATTTTGCTATGTATTTTGCTTAATATCCTCTGTCAATTTTCCCTGATAATCCTGTCATCTTTAAGGAGGTTATAGTATTATGAGCAATCAGGTTCAGCTTCACTATAGATTTCTATTCAATTGTTCTTCTTGTCAGTGAACAGTCACCCTCTTTAAATCTCAAGTTTTTTAAAACCATGACATCTCTTCTGGTTGCTATTAATGTCACTATATCTCATTTCCTTTGATTATTAGTATTTATGATCTTTCCCTATCCTTCTACTTTTAAGCTTTTTGTATAATTATGTTTTAACTATTAGGTCAGTTATAAACAACTTATAACTGGATTTTAAAAATCTTATCTGGGAATATCTCCGAACAAATGGGTCTAAGTCATTTAAATTTATTGTGATTACTGATAAAATTGGAGTTTTTAATACCACCTTTTAAAATTTTTACCATGTATTTTTCTGTTTCTTCCCCTTTCCTACATTCAATTGGATTTATTGGGTTTTTTTATTACCTTTTTTCTTCTCTCTACAGCTTTGGGTGTTACAACCTTTTTAAAAGTCTAAATTTAATCAATATCTTTATTCGCCTCCTATAATACAAAGATCTTTAAATGTTTTAACTCCAATCCTCCTTCCCATCTTCTTGCTATCATTATAAAATATTCTAGGCTGGGTGAGGTGGCTCACTCCTGTAATTCCAGCACTTTGGGAGGCCAAGGTGGGTGGATCACGTGAGGTCAGGAGTTCAAGACCAGCCTGACCAATATGGTGAAACCCGTCTCTACTAAAAATACAAAAATTAGCTGGGCATGGTGGCATGCACCTCTAATCCCAGTTACTTGGAAGGCTGAGACAACAGAATTGCTTGAATATGGGAGCCAGAGGTTGCAGTGAACTGAGACTGCACCATTGCACTCCAGCCTGGGCAACAGAGTGAGACTCCATCTCAAAAAAATAATAATAAATTCAAAATAAATTAATAAATTAATAAATTAAATATTTCTGCTTTACACTGCTTTTAACTCTTTCAAAAAATGTCTTTTTTGTAGTCAATGCTTATTTAGATTAATGAAATGTGTTTTCTAATTTATTTGTTCATCATTCCTTTTGGTTTCAATTTCCTTCTTAGTAAGGTACACCCCTTATCTTTTAATTTACAGAGAACTTTGAATAGTAAACTCTCTGGATTTTTCTCATGTTTATCTTGCCTTTTCTTCAAATAAATTATAAATTACCTGTTATTTTCTTTTGGTACTTCATGGATGTTATTCCACTGTCTTCTGGAATCAATTTTGTTGCTGAGAAGTCTGCTGCCAGCCCAACTGTTTTGCTTTTTTGGCATTCTGCTGCCCCTAGTTGCTTTTGTCTTTTATTTGATGTTTTGAAGTTTTCTCATAATGTGTGTAGTATGAATTTGTTTTCTTTATCCCTCTCATGATTTAAGGGATTTAATCAATTTGAAGACTCAACTCTTTCTTCAGTTACGGAAAATTCTTAGGCATTTTCTCTTCTAATATGCCTTCTCCCATTCTTTCTTTTCTCTTCTTTTGAAACTAGTGTCAGAAATATTTGAACCATCTTATTTCTGCTGATTCTTCCTTGTGGTGTCTTATTTCCTTGTGTCATTTGTAAATTTTTATTGAGCTTGTTTTTAGCAGGGGTTGTGCTTTTATTAGAGTCCCACGTGCTATAGTTGTCAAAATATTCCTTCTGAGCAGTTTCATGATTGCTGTTGCTGGGTTCCCTAGACCAATTCTTTTTTTTTTTTTTTTTTTGAGACGGAGTCTCGCTCTGTCGCCCAGGCCGGACTGCGGACTGCAGTGGCGCAATCTCGGCTCACTGCAAGCTCCGCTTCCCGGGTTCACGCCATTCTCCTGCCTCAGCCGACCAATTCTTATTCTCTCAGCTTGTGGACCCTTTCACACAGGTAGTATACATTCGAATTTTATACCTGCTTCTGTCCCATTCCCAAGGTTTCCATTTCTCATGGACTATCTATTTATTTATTTTTGAGATGGAGTTTCGCTCTTGTTGCCCAGGCTGGAGTGCAATGGCGCAATCTCAGTTCACTGAAACCTCCGCCTCCCAGGTTCAAGTGATTCTCCTGCCTCAGCCTCTTGAGTAGTTGGGATTACAGGCAAGCACCACCACACCTGGCTATTTTGGGGTTTTTTTTGGTGGAGATAGGGTTTCTCCATATTGGTCAGGCTGGTCTTGAACTCTCGACCTCAGGTGATCCACCCACCTCAGCCTCCCAAAGTGCTGGGATTACAGGTGTGAGCCACCACACCTGGCCTCTCATGGACTTTTTCCCCATTCATTGCTGCAGACATACAATACACTTTCCTGTTGCCTCCTGAGCTTGTGGGTTTAGTTTTTCTATTTCCATTTTTTTTTTTTTTTTTAAAGAAAATAGATGACAGCCTTCAGTGCTTCCAGCCACATACAAAAGACTTAGTTCCAGCTCTGTGTCTTTCATGGGCAAGAGGCTAAATCTCCAGTCCCTGCTTGGGTGTTAAATACCAAGCCAGCAGCCGCTATGCCATATATCTGTGTTTGAATTCTCTTACCACCACCACCAGCAGCATGGGATCCTACAGCATCCTTCTTGATTGCCATCTGAGTAATAAATACACTGTTTTTCTGATCCTGGAGATTTCCTTTTCTTGTTTTCATGTGGTGCTATATTGGACATCCCCATCCATTTCATTATCTTTGTTTAGAGGTTTAGTTTACACTAAAGAAGTTAGTTTCTTTTAAAAAAAAAAAAAGTTATCTTCTTTTAAGCATATAAAATATAGGTATTATTTTTATAGTCAAGATTTAATTGAATTTACCAACTTGTTTTTTTATCATTTCCTGTGGTCCTCCATGGTTTCTTGCAATCCATTTGCTTTTCCTTTGTGTCTACTTTTTACTACAGGGACATCTTTATGTTAATGAAGGTCAATGGGGGTGTATTCACTTAGTCTTTTCATGTCTATAAGGGCTTTTATTTTGCTTGCACTTTTGGATAACAGATTAGCAGGGTATAAAATTCTAGATTGATTGTTATTTTTCCTCAGCACCTTGAAGATATTATTTCGTTTTCTTCTGGCATCTACTGTTGGTGAAGACAACCCTGTTATTGGTCTTTTTTTTTTTTTTTTTCTGTGACCTGTCTCTTCCTTCTGGTAGCTTTTTAAATGGCCTTTTTAAATTCTTGAAGTTCTGAAGTTGCACTATAATGTTTCTAGATGTGGATCTATTTGAAGTTGTCTCACCCACTACAGAGTATAATTTTGAATATGAAAACTTACATCTTGATTCAATTTTCAATAATTCTTGACAATTATCTCTTTATATATTGCTTCTCTACTATTTCTTTCATTTGCTTCTTATGAAACTTTTATTAGATGCTTGTTGGCGCTCTTCAATCTAGCTTCCATGTTTTTCAGTTGCATGCGTGTGTGTGTGTGTGTGTGTGTGTGTGTGTGTATGTATGTGTGTATAACTCTGTCTCTTTGTGATGCAATTTTGGTGAATTTCTCCAATAGTAGTTTTCAATTCAATTCTGTTTCTCTCTTTAAGTGTGCCCAGTCTGGAATTTATTTCCTCTATTGAACGTTTAATTTCAATAATTGTAACTTTCCTCTCCCAGATTTTCAATTGATTCTTTTTCATAACACTTGATATTTATGCCTGTTTTTATTTTGTAACTTTCTTGTTTTCTTTTAATGAGTCTTTTACCTTTATCTCTTTGACCAATTAAACATGCCCAATGTCACTGTCAGACTCTTCAGTCATATTAATTTTATCTAGAGTGAATTTCTGTTTGGATTGTTGATTTTTTTCTTTGCAATAAATCCCTTTATATATACTTGGAATATTGATTTTGTAGGCTCATTTTAAGTGAGGATTTTCTCCCTTTCTTTTTCCTTCTTCCTCCTTTGTCTTTTCCTTCTCCTTTCTTCTTCTCTCTCCCCTCTCTGTTTTCACCTGTTCCCATCCCGAACCAGGTCTTATATAGTAGCTTACCATTCCTTTCCCTTGGATGTAGTGTGGGGTGTCATGCTTATAGTCACAGTCACAGAGTCAGCAGGCAGCTAGCCTTCGTTCCTGACCACAAAGTTGCATCTTTACTCCTCCCACCCTTTAGGAGCACCCCTGTCCCCTCTAACCTATTGGGATTGGACTGTCGACCTCATTGTTTGATGCTAGACCCAGAGCCCAGCAAAATTATGGCCTTGGTTCCATTTATCATTTTAAATTTCTATTCCATTTCTGGTTCATGGAGATATTAATCTTATTTTTGAACATGGCTATGAACTTTGGTGTTCTCTTTATATAATTTACTGTCATTGTTTCTTGTATAGATCAGACCAGATGATCAAAGTGTGAACCAACTATACCATCCTAAAGTTGACAATTCCCTTATCTCTATTCAGAAAATGTGGATCAGGAAAGTGATGGGCCTAATTTGTGTCACCGGGTCCAGGGTGTGCAGTGGAAAGACTAATTCATCTTGGGCTGAGTGCTTACCTTGTTGTGGAGGAGGTGCCAGGGCACCTGGGCTGATAACCTCATCATGGCCACATGGGGCAGAAAGGTGTTTCCAAAGGAAAGGAGGAATAGTTCACCAAAGATAGGAGATAGGATCATGTGCTGAGCAGAACACACTCATGGAGGCCACAGTCAATGCCCAGAGCCCTTCTCCTAGTCTGGAGCTCCTGGAAAGCTAAGACTTACCTTTATATTTGCATGTCAACACTTTGAGTGCCTGAGGAGGGCTGAGTGCACAGCCGGAGCTCAGCCAGATTGATAGGCGAATACATGAGTGCACCACAGGAGAGAATCAACCTGGAAATGCCCCCTTCCCCTAGCTTTTCTCCAAGGACAACAGAGGCTGAGAAGCAGAGCAGTAGGCATGGTCAGTAAATAAAGGTCCTTCAATTGAGATATTTTCTTTTCCTCAAGCCTCAGAGATATGTAAGTAGACAAAGAGGCCAGGGGTTCCAAAACAAAGGCAAGAGGGGCCTGGAGCTGAGCTCAGAGCTCAGGTGCCATCTTGTCTTCACATAGGAACAAGCACTTGTTTAAGCCCTGGTTTGAATAACCAGCCCAGAGTCATGGGATGCTGAGCAGGTGGGCAGGAGCTCTGGTGGCAGAGCAAGTGGGCCATAGATCCTGGAGAGCCAAGACACAGACCCCTGCCACCCACACCAGGGTTCTTGGTCGGGGGGAGGTTACAGGAGATTGGTGGGCTCCCAGGCAGGGCTCTGGGGCCACCTTCTACCCTGTACCCCCAGTCTCCCATTTCCAGGCCTGCTCAGCACTACCACTGCTGCTATCTCAGTTAATGGCATCTTTCACTTCATTTAGAGCTTGATTTGTTTACAAACTAATAAATATGATTTATAAAATGTGCCCGTGGTTTGCTAATTACTGCACATATGGCGTTTTCATTTTGTAAAACTGGCATTTGCATTCTTTGTAGATTATGACTTTGTGTCCCCAGTGCTAATTAGTCTGATTAGGCAGATAACTTCTCTGTTACTAGGCTGAGAGGCCGAAGGCTGGGGCACTGGGGGCAGAGGGGCTGGGGGTATGGCTAGCTTTGTGGGGAGGATACAGGGAGGCCCCAGGACTTTGCTGAGGACCCTGGAATGTCAAGCAGCCCATTTTGTGTCCTTCCCCAAATCCAATTAAGCACAGTTCATTAGTGCAAATTTCTTAATCAGGCCTAATCTTCCCACTGAATGCACAATTTCTGAATTGTCACAGAGCTAGGTCAGCTTGCGGGGGATCAAGAGGCTGGTCAGGCCTTTGGCAGGAGAGCAATGAGACGGCAGGCTACCAGGCCCTCCTTGGTGGGCCAACAAGGAGGGTGCATGGTGCCAGGCTTGTCCACAACCCAAGACCTTGGATGGCCAAAGGGGATCCCCAGGCCTCTAGACCAAATTATGAGCTTCAGACGGGAGGTCCCTCAAGTGGTCTATTCCACAGGATCTGTCTTCAAGCCCCAGGACAGCCTAGAGATAGTGCTTCTAGCTCCAGTGGAGGAGCAGTGGAAGGCTGAGAACCAGGCTCCAATCCCATGGGAGCAGGTCCCAGGAGAGCCACCTGCCTTTAAATGGCCTAGATCAGGAGCAAACGCAGCTATATCTAGGAATGAAGTCCTCTTTAGTTTTGTGGGATGTGTAACCCCTAAGTTTCTGTAAAATTAAAAGGAGGAGAGAGAGAGAGCCCCCTACAAATGACTGGTATTGAATCTCCTGCCATCTTGGTGAGCTTGGCCAGTGCCAGATTTAATCTGTGTTAGACAAATAAGAAAACATGTCATTGCCTGAATCCAAAGTAATACAGAGCAATTTGTACCTACTTCATTACCTCTAAGGGAGATGATATCCCCAAAGCATTTAGTGTAAAGTGCAACACATGTCTTTGGAGTATTCCTCCCAGAGATAGTTATATTTTAAGTACATTGATGAATGTGCAATGGTGGAATTACATTGGATATGCAGTGGAATCAAGGTTAGTGGGCTTTGGATGAGGCCACACCAAGGTTTCCTAAACTCTGAGGGCACCCAACAGAGGCAGTCCTTGGGCCCCAGCCTCCCTCCCCCTTGACCTCCTCAACCAAACATATTGAAAGCACCTGGCCACACATCGTCCAATCTCCTTTCTCCATTCAAGCGCCCTCCCGTCTTCTCATGTGGCTGGCTCCTTCACACTTGCTAAGGCTCAGGAGGCCTTCACCCCTAGCTGGATAAGTGACTCTGTGCTCCCTTGGTTTCCTGTGCTTTTCCTGTCACAACACTTAACACACTGGTTTGCAATGACTATATCTTCTCAGGTCCACGAGCAACTTGAGGGCAGAACTGTGGTTTCCTTACTCTCTGCCGCAACCCACATAGCTGACCCTGCTGGGTGGATGGAAGGATGGATGCATGGATGGATGGATCTCTATGGGTTCATCTCCTCCTGCCTTTCTCCCTGCTTGGTCCTGGGACTTGAGAGGGCCCTTGCAGGAGAAGGATGGGATGGAGTTAGGGTGGCAGCATTCACATGGGCTCTACTCCTTTGTCTCTTTGAGCGGGGTGGGGTCGGAGGCCTCACAGTCTCAGGCCCACCTGGGCCCAGGTTGGCCTTGTTCATGGAGTCAGGAACCAAGGAGGAGCCTCAGGACTGCTTATTGGTCCGGGGAGTTCTAGAGAGAAAGTCCTGATCTTGGAAGGCGAAGATGTCAGTTCTGGTCCTGGTCGACCTTGGAAGAGTTGCTTTCCCTGTCTGAGCTTTGATTTTCTCCTTTGAACAATTGGGATCAAATAGCCACCCAGGCTGCCTCCCTGGCCAATATGATGATTCAAGGAAGTAGCTGTCGACAGGAAGGGGCAGTGCATTTGTGCGTGTGCATGCATTCATGAATGTGGGTGCATATGTGCAGGGGAAGGAAGTGAGTGCCTAGCTGCCCTGGCAAGGCCAGCCCAGGCGGTGGCCTTTAGGAGAGCTGCTTTGCTTTTCAGTTAGGCACTTCCTCTAGACTCTGATGGGTGGGCCTGAGCCTCTCCCCCATCTGTAAGAGGATTGCCTTGCCCCATCCATTTGAACTTCATAACCAGCATCCCGGTGTGGGGATATGCTTCTTTCTCATTCTTCAGAAATCTTAATGCACTCTGCCTTAAAATTGTTTTGAAGTAATAAAGAGATTTTCACAGGCAACAAACGAGTCTCTGGACAGACTTAATCTGAGGCCAAAAGCCAGCAATGGAGATTTACCTCCCATAATGGCTCCTTTCAAGTGAGACAAAGAGGAAGCCCAATTTCCACTCCTCCCCAAGAGGAGGAGCAGGAGAGGGCACCCCAGAAACCCCTGTTCTGGGCCCAGAAGCCTTGTTCATGAAGGAAACTCAGCCAGCAGCTCCACAAGCGCGCCTTCAACCAGCTGCTGGGGCCACCTTGGTCCCGGCGCTGTAACACCCACTGCTTCCGTGGTGGCCTTGGCTCCAGTGCCCTGATCTGTTCTGATCCTGGCTGCACAGCCACCATCATACCTGGGGAGGGACATTAAAGCTGAAAATCACAGAACAGGTGTTAAGGGGGCAGGGCAGAGGGCCAGAAACCACAGCCCAGCATAGACCTTCTCCCAGCTCCCAGATCTACACACACAACCTCTCCCTGGACACCTCCCCTTGGATGTCCCAGAGGTGCCGCCAATTCACTGTACCCACACCTGGACTCCCCAGACCTGCCCTAGCTCCTGTGATCCCCTTGTGATCATCACAAGGGCATCACCCCCTTCCTGACCAGAGGGCATAGCCAACTGGCATCTGGAAGGTGGGACTGGGGAGGCTCACACCCCCAGAGACTTTGTGGCCTCAGCGAAGGGCCAGTGGGTGAGCTCCACCTCAACAGAAGTCACCGTCCACCCTCAGCTGGGGACCAGGTGGATTGGCACCTTTACCACAGCACATTCTAGGAAATAAAAGGATGAAGGGTCCACAGACAACCCCCAGGAGACCCAATTTCCTTCTCCCCTTATTCCCTTCAAGGTCTTCCCAGGCTACTGAAACAGTCTTTCATGATTCTGGCGCATTTAGTGCACCAAAGTTACTTTTTTTCTCTTTTTTTGAGATGGAGTCTCACTCTGTTGCCCAGGCTTTTGTATAGCGGTGCGATCTTGGCTGACTGCAACCTCTGCCTCCTGGGTTCAAGTGATTCTCCTGCCTCAGCCTTCTGAGTAGCTGGGATTACAGATGCCTGCCACCACACCCAGCTAATTTTTGTATTTTTTGTAGAGACAGGGTTTCACCATGTTGGCCAGGCTGGTCTCGAACTCCTGGCCTCAAGTGATTTGCCCCCCTCGGCCTCCCAAAGTGCTGGGATTACAGGCATGAGCCACCGTGCCTGGCCTACCAAAGTTACTTGGTGTGTTGTCCACTTTGGCCTTCTCTTCTTTAGATTAGGAAGAATGGATGGGGGTGATAATGCACACTTCTATACCAGCACCCACATATCTACCTATACTTACCACACGTATGCCCTGAATATGTGCACAGGTGCCAACACAGCACCTCCAAACATTTGTGGATATCCAGGCACACACGCAGCTGAGCGATTGTACATCCACATGTGCACACAGAGGTAGACCCTCCTGTGCTGGGCTTGGAGTCTCACTTTGCAGCCCAGGGGTAAAAGAGCATGTTGCGGGCCAAGAGTACACAATACTCCCAAATTTCTAGATAAAGCCTCAAGAGGAAAGGAAACAGATAAAAGGAAATTATGGCACCTCTTTCATGAGCTGGGGCCAGCAGCCCCCGTGGCCTCTGTTGGCTGCACATATGTGAGTCACGGGACACGTGCTGCTCTGGGGGTTGGTCAGAGCTCCTGCTGTGGGAAGCAGAGGGGCTCCCTGCCCAGAGATGCACTGAAGGCATCTTTCATGTCTCAGGACACTTCTCAAGCCTTGAGGGACAGCTATTAAATTGTGGGGAAAGGACTCACTGGATTGGACCTGAGTGTTGTTTCAAAGACCGCTGTTTTCAGGCTTTGTGACCTTCAGCGAGTCACTTAACTTCTCTGGGCTTCAGTTTCATCATCTGTAAGAGGGGGATGAAGGCACCTACCTGTCTACCTCCAAAGATGAGGTAATCGATGACAGTGAAAGTTCTTCAAAGCTGCAAAGCCTCGTATAAATTTGAGGGGTTATTAATATGTTCTGCTTCCAAAGCTGGCCTTCCCTCAGGAGACAATGCGGTGTTTTTGAACATGGAGTGAATTTCCCAAACTGTGCCCTCCCCCTCTCCAGTATTTCTGCCTTGGGTTGTCAAAAATGGTAATCTTCTCTCAGGCCTGAAATTATGAGCCTGCTTTATTGGTCAAAGGCCATAATAATTTGAGCTCTTATTTTATAAACTCATTTCTGCACAGTGATATCCTGATAGGAGCAGGAATAATAAATCACAAACATGTCCCCCAAGATTGCATTGTAAATGTCAAACTAGACAGGAAATTGTAATTAAAGAAAGGAAATTGCTACAAAGAAGCACTTGATTTTAAAATGAGCCAAGCATAGAATTTTCTAAGCATTTAATTATAGTCCAATTTCAACTGACTTGGCTTTTGCAGTCATATTTCTTATAACTCTTCTACATAATAACCAAATCTCCCTGCTCACATAGATCTGGCCTGTCAGAGGGTAAGGACGCTGTGTAAGTACAGGGATTAGGAACTTTATAGGGACAGTAATCATGGTAGAGGCTCGGGTGATGGACACAGGTGTCGGGATTTTAAATCAACCGCAATCGAATTTCCAGCCAACAGGGAGAATAACCTAACACCTGTGTGGAAGCAGATTTGGCCTGACTTCAGCTCAATGAGAAATTCACTCAGGCATTTGCTTCTGGGGAGAAGAGAGGCCCAGGCTTCCATGTTCTCTTCCTTAGACCCTCAAATATGCATAGGAATAACCCTCACCCAATCCACCCTACTGCAGGTCACGCTTTGCCTGGGCTGTAACTTGGGGCACAGGGCAACATCCCCACCTTGCAGCACTTGCATGTTGGGTAGTTTAGTTGTGTATTCAACCAGCTGTTCAGCATCCAGAGGCTTTGGAGACAGAAATAGAGTGGCCAAGACTGTAGGATGTGGTGCCAGACGAGCTGAGTTCAAATTCTAACTCTGCCACTTGCTGCTGTGAATTGGGCTAAGTCACATCACCTCACGAGTCTCAATTTGTACATTTTTAAAATGGAGATAGTGACAGTCTTCATCTCATACATGAATTAGTAAGTTGCTTGTATGTGGTTGATACTCATAAATGGAAAAATGAAAGTGATTATAATGGTTATTATGCCCTGAGTCTGTGTTGTGTCCAAAGAGGAAGATGGGGAAATTGATGGGCTATCTCGAGTGATGGCGGCGAGATAACTAGATGGGGCTGAGCCAGTACAATTAGTGCTGGTTTTGGGAAGTGGGGTGGTGAGGGGTGGCCAGGGGGCACTATGTTCCTACCCACATGATGAGGAGTGATCATACTACATCAAAAATATCTTGCTGGTCGAGGGATGATCCCCAAAGTACCCTGCACACTGGGTCTTCTTGCCTCTCCATCAAGTGTATAGGGCCCAGAAACTCGTTAGCTATGGTTCAAGTCCTAGTCCAGAGGGGAGGCTGCTCCCGGCTGCTTCCCCATGCTCTCCTGCGGGCTTAGCGTCTCCCACAGAAGGGGGCAGAAGGACTCAGAAACAGATGATCCTTCTTCCTAGAATCTTCCTTTTTTTTTTTTTCAAGACAATTCAGTGAGGTTGTATGCAGCAGGGCAGGTAAATTCTGACACCAGTGGAACAGGGCTGGTGTCTAAACCTTGCTGCTGTCTCAACGGAGACATTGCCCAAGGAAACACTGTGGATGGGGCCCAGCAGGTCTGAGTGTTGTGCTGATTTTGCATCATACAGGCACCAGGGAATGCCATTTACACAGAGCACAACATCAATGCCACCTCTTTGAATTGTGCAGCATACAACCTCCACAACTAAACACGGTGAACTTGGACTCTGGGCCCAGAGCTAAATTGGAGCTAGACTGATGGAGGTGGGAACAGGTTTGAGACGGGTGCATCACGGTTTGAAGATCAGGACTTGAAGTGAAGAGTTGACAGTCCTGGGAGTGGAAGCAGAAGCCAAGGGAGCGAAGTCCCAGAGAACTGTGAAGGTGAGTCTGGAACCACAGGTGCAGGGAAAGGGAGCTGATGTCCTCTCTTCCCTGGGTACCTCTGCTACATGAGATTTGGTTCATTCCTGTCTCCAGAGCAACAAGGGAGTGTGCCTTCTGAGAGAAAGCATTGAATGGAGCACCTACCTGCCCCCAGTCAGAACATCCCCATCTCGACTGGTGATGAGTCAAATGCAGGGATCACAGTGCATGGGGAGAGAGCGTGTGTGTGGCTGGTAGCATAGGACCAGGTCACTGAGCTGGGACCATCCTAGGGGAAAGCTTCTCGGCAGAGTGCCATTGGACAGGTCACGGAGAGAGTGTGTTGGAGTGTCACATGTGCCAGTGGGGAAAGGCATTCCAAGGAGGCAGAACAACCTGGGCAAAGGTAGAGAAGTGTGAAGATACTTTCATTCATTCAAAAGATATTTATTGTGACTACCATGTCTCAGGCACTGTTCTGAGCAGAAGGAATCTTTGAATGAACAAAACAGACAAAAATCCTTGTCCTCCTAAAGTTTCCATTCTCTTCCACGGGAAGAGAAAGATAACAAGTACCACAATAAACAAATTGTATGATATGTCAGAAGGTGATAAGTGCCATGTGAAAAATTAAGCAGGGAAGGGAAATAGGGAGTTCAGGGCAGGAGTTTCAATTTTACATTTTAAATAGAGACCTTCTTGGGAAGTCAATATTTGAGCCAAGATTTGAAAGAGGCAGAGGAGCAAGGCAAGCGGACATACAGAAGAGAATCCCAGGCAGAAGGAATTGGAAGTACAAAGGCCCTGAGGTTTGGCATGTTCAAGGGACAGCCATGAAGCTGCTATGGAGAGAGGAGCGGGAAGTAGTGGGAGAGGAGGGTAGAGAAGTGAAAGGAACCAGGTTACACAGGGCCTTGCAGGTGATTGTGAGGACTCAAACATGATCAGGCTCTTTCTGACATCACTGTTGAGAGCAGGGGGAAAGAGGTCAAGGATGGAAGTGGAAGGGGTCTGGATTCAAACCCCCGCTTGGCCACCTACTGGCTGTGTAACCTTGGACTATTACTTAAGTTCTCAGGATCTGTTTTTCAAATGTAACCCAGGGATTGATAAGAGTGTCAACTTCATAGGATTGTGGCTAGGTTCAAAATAGTGCATTCACCTACAAGAGTCATACACTTGCCGCAAGTGCCTGGCTTGTGGCAAGCACTACATGAGTGTTAGTCACTACTGTTTTTAAAAAAGGAGAGACAGGTCAGACCTCCTGGTCCAAAGCTCATTGAGGCTGGCGTTGGGAGGAGGGGATACAGAGGGCGGCCCTGAGGCCGGGAGAGTGGCTTTTGCAGTAACCCAGGAGAGAGATGAAGGTGACTGGACTGAGGGGTCGGGGTAAGAGGCAGGGGTGGGGAGAACTGGGAGGATTTGAGAGAAATGTGTGAGGTGAATATGGTTAACAGTCAGATGGGGGAGGTTGAGGGAGAGGTGGAGAAATGAGATCAGGCCCTCCTTGCGAGGAACACGGGTTCCAGCAGCTGCCTTCTCATCATCACTCTCCCTTCTGCCCTCAGGGTGTTCTTCTCAGGCAGGTCCTTCCTTCCCCTGCCCGGAGGACCCTCTACAGGTTCAAGTCCACACTCCTCTGTTCGGGAGTCAAGGCCTCTCTCACTCTGACCCTGGCCAGCTTCATCTCTTGCTGTTCTCTCTCTCTCTCTCTCTTTTTTTGAGACAAGGTCTCACTCTGTCGCTCAGGCTGAAGTGCAGTGGCGCGATCTTGGCTCACTGCTACCTCTGCCTCCCGGGTTCAAGTGATTCTCCCACCTCAGCCTCTCGAGTAGCTGGGATTACAGGCACCCTCCACCACGCCTGGCTACCTTTTGTATTTTTAGTAGAGATGGGGTGTTTAACATGTTGGCCAGGCTGGTCTTGAAATCCTGATCTCAAATGATCCACCCGTCTTGGTCTCCCAAAGTGCTGGGATTACAGGCATGAGCCACCGCACCTCGCCTCCCACAGCGCTCTTCAAGACATCTGTGTTCCACCCCTGGAGGCCCTGCCTCCTTCTCTTGGGCCCTTCCCTCCATTCCAGGCTGCCCAACCCTCACCCCACCCCCAATCTCCAGGGTCAGCCCCCCAGGACCCAGGTCTCTTGGCAGCAATGTGGGGATGTGTCTCGGCGGCCAAAACCCCCATTGGGGCAGGGATTCGTTGGCATTCCTGCCTCAGTTCCTGAGGTTCCTGCCAAAGGGCTCTCTGGCCGGTTCTTCCCCACGTGTGATCGGCTCTGCCTGGTCACCGTGTCCTTGGTGGCTGCATCCTGGAGGGAGCCTGCCCTCTTCCCCTAGGGGCTAACATCTGGCACCACCCAGGTCCCATCTGTAAAGGAGGCAGGTGTGCGCTCAGGACTGCTAGGGTCCCATACTTTGTGACCCTTTGGTCAGAAGACACCAAAGTCTTCCTCTATGACGCCTTCAGGAAAGGACACCGATTCCCAGTTAAGAAGACATGTTGGTGGAGGAACTCTAGGCACTCAGAAAAGGGGCCAGGTCAGCCAGCAGAGGCGGCACCCACGACCCCGGCCTGCCCCAGGGCCCTCGGAAGCAGTCTTCCCTGAGAGAGGGAGGGCCTCCAGCTTCCAGGTTGTACAGTCACACCGGGGCTTCATCTCATTCTGGCCAAGACTCAAGACCACATCCATATTGCTTGCCCTGCCCTCCAAGGCCCCTACCATCCCCACTGCTGCCCAGAGAGAACTCTGCAGCCTGGCCATGCCCAGCCCTCCTCTTGACCCTGTGGGCTCACCTCCCTGCCTTGCCCACACCTGTTTCTGCCTTCCTGGCCAGCTCCTGCAGCCCTCCTCTGGGAGCAGGTCTCCCTGGCCTCCTCCACCATCTCTTTGCTCCTACCCTCCCACACCCCCACCAGCCATTACTGGATGCTTTCACTGCAGAGAAAGCCTCAGGCTCCAAACCTCAGCCCTGCCTGCCTGAGGTCTTCCACAGGTTCCTATCAGGCCTCCTCCAGGCCACCTGCCCTCCGGAAACAGGGGCCACCTGCCTTTTCCTTCTCTATGTCCCCTCCTGGGACCAAACTCTGTGAGGCTGGTGTCTGACCCACATTCACTGAAAGGAAGAAAGAGCAATTGTTCTCCTGAGGCCTCATGCCCAGAGACAAGGCCTGACTTGGGGCAACCAACCCATGAGTGCCTTGGGCAACAGAAGCTGGTGATAGGGAATTTAGAGGGTCCAGAGGAGGCCCCTCGCAGTGGGCAAACAGGACCTTCGGCAAGAGGCCCAAGCCACATCTAAGGGAAAAGCAGAGTCCATTAAGTCCATTAACTTTAACACTGAAATCAATGTTGCAGCCACCAGAAGTAATTAGCGTAATTCACATTTCAGATCAGGAGATTTTTGAAAACCAAGTTTAATTACATTGAAAAATGACAACTTCATTTTCCCTCCCTGGATAGGTTCCCCTGATGTTCCCCACACTTTCATTAAAAAGAGGACTGGTCACAGGTGTGTGGGTTACTTTTTAATGCCATTAAGCAAAAGAAGTACTTTGGCTATTTCAGAGCTAATAAATTAGCTTGGATGCCCACAACACAGTCAAGTGTCTTTGAAATGTTCCCTTCCTTGTCTGAGGGGAGAGAGTGTGGTTTTAGGCCTGACAGAATCCAGCTGGGGATCTCAGGCAACCAGAGTGACTCTGATAGATCAGCAAACCCATTTTACAGATCAGTAAACTGAAGACTGGCCAAGGGAGGAGACCCACTTAAGGTCAGTTGTCCTGCCCTGTGCTTGGTGCAAGGGACGCAGAGATGATCCTTGCTATCGAGGAGTGGGCTATGATGAGCTCAGCACAGATGAACTTGGGGAATCAAGAAAGCCTGGCTAGGGGAGGTGACACAAGGTCTGAGTCTTAAAGGACCTGGGATTTAGCAGAAGAGAGAGCTGCCATTCCAGATGGGGGAGAGGTGAGAGCAGAGGCCCAGCAATGGGCAGGAGGTTCTGGAGTGTATCTGGGCCTGGGTAGAGGACGCCCACTGGAAGCGTGGCTGGGGATGCCGCATCTCACCTCTCTGTGCCTTCCTAGGCGGAGACCTCACATTCACATGAGGATATTGGGATTCCCAGTAAATTAAAGATGGCAGCCAGGAAGCCAGCCTGTCCCTACCTTACCCCATCCCATCAACGTCCCTGTACCACCCTTGCGCTACCTACTACTCTAGCAGCATTCCAGCCCTAGCTCAAGCACCTGATCCTATCTCTGTCACCACCCTCAGATCGGGCCCAGTCCCAGCAACTTAGCCTCACCATCCTTATTTTCAGCTTCCCTCAGATCAAATCTTCTCTGTAGCCTCTGGCCCTTCCAACAGATGCATGAACCTCCCCCACCCCTGACTTGGTCCCATGTGTTTGTTTAAGAGGTTGTTTAAGAGGCTGCCATGGTGCTAATTGCTGTGTTTATTCCTGCTCACCAAATGCACCCTGCTTTGCAGCATTTGCTTGAGTGGCTGAGTGGCTCTGGATGCCTCCTGGTCCTGCTTGTTTTTCTTTTGAGTGGGGTGGGAGGTTAGGGAAAGAGAAGCATTCTCTGACCTTGATTCTCAGCACTGTCTTTCTGGAGCCATAGACCGCAAGCAGGACTGGGGCCTGTCCCCATCTCTGCCCTGTCCTTCCTCTCCAGGAAGGGGCCCTGGGCTCTGCTGTGGATCAGAAGAATGTAGGTGTGCTGCTGGGTGCTAGGGCAGCATTTCCCTCCATGGAATCATGCCTCTGTTTTCCCAGCAGCCCCCATGGCCAGAAAAGCAAGCATTAGCTCATTGGTTGTACAGTCTGGCCTGCCCTGTTCTCTAAGTAAAGGAACAACCTAGATGAGAATGTTGTGCTTTGCTGGATCTCAGAAGATGAGGCAATAAATGTGAGCCATCCCAGTCTCCAGGGATCCCCAAGAGGGCTGCTCAGCCAGGCAGGCCCCCAGCTCCCAGCACCCCCTGCCTTTGCCAAGCTGCTCCATTGTGAGGGCTTGCAGCCTGGGGTGGAGGGGAGGCAGCCCCTTGCTGAAAAGCCCCAGCCCCCCTCCCCTGGGCCCTTCCAGCCAGGCCAGGGTCAATGGGATTAAAGGCTCAATTCACGCCAGTCAGTTCTCTGGTAACACGATTTCATTAGAGGCAGGCAGAGAGGAGAATGGACGGAAACAGCTGGTGTATAAATTATAAAGTCTACTTTGTACTGAGTGAGCACACCTTTCCCCAGCCACATGACTAATTAATGTGGTGGGGAGTGGACTTGAAGTCAAATTGCCTTTCCCCCTCTCTCCTGGGGCTTGGTTAACAACAGGTCCCTGCAAAGCTGGGAGAAGGGAAGATTATGCAAAGCTATCATCATATGAAAATAGCGTATTAACATACTGCCTGTGAGCTGTGTCCAATCAGTTCCCTCCCAGTGGCGTGTATACGAAACAATTAGAATGGCATTTTTACCACGCTTCTTTAATACATTTTGGCATTAATATAATCAAGGAGTGGGGGCCTAGACATCTTGCAGGCGCGGTTTTCTGGAATACCCCTGGGATGTGCGGGGGTTAGTAGGATGCTGGGCATGGGGTTGGCACGCAGGCTGGGCACCTTTGGACCAGAATCTGAGGCACAGTGCTCTGGTGAGATGCCCCAGACTCTGCCAGCCACCCACAACCTCTGTCTTCCTGGGAGCAGAGGCTTCCTTCCCCCAGAGCCGGGACCACAGACCCCCGTGACTACTCAGCTGGCAACAGCAAGAAGTTCCAGGGTCAGAGTGGTCGGTAGAAATGTCAATCACATATTTTAATCCTCTGCTCAAATTGCCCAATGACTTCCCATCTCACGTCCAATAAAATGCACACTCTTCGCTGGGCCATGATCTAGCCCCTGCCTACGTCCCCAGCTCCCCACATAGCCCACCACCTTCCAGCCTTCTTTCCTTTCCACACACACCCCAAGATCCTCCCTGCCTCAGGGTCTTTTTCCTTGCTCTTCCCTCTGCCTGGTATGGTTTTCTTTCTTGTCCTGTAGATCTCGGCTGTTCAGAGAGGACTTCCCTGACCAACCTGATCTAAATCAGCATCACTGTCTGCCTGGTTGTTTTGTTTCCTTCACAGGTCTTGTCACAGTAATCTCCAATTGTCTTGTGTATGGATCTGTCCCTGGCATATTTGCTGCTTCCCACTGGAATGGAAGCTCCTGAGGGCAGGGCCCTTGCGTGGTTGGACGCTGCAGTATTCCTAGCACTCCAGCAGCAACTAGCATATAGTAGGCACTTGGTGAATATTTTTTGGATGAGTCAATGAATGAATGAAAGAGCCCAATCCTGGCATCTGGAAGCTCCAGGGAAACAAGTAAGACCTGATGGGGATCCTGACTTTGCTGCCATCTCCTTTTGTGGCCTTGGGCAACCTGACTCCCTCTCTTATTCACCAAGCCTTCATCCAGCACCTGCTAGCTGTCTCATTCTGAAGAACTGGGAGAAGGAGAAAACTTCTGTAGTTCCTGCCCAGAGGGGCTCAATGCCTAATTGGAGAAACAAGTCTAGATTTGAGAAAAGATCAGCTAAGTTGGGACTTGAACATGGGTGTGCCAGGGGACGAAAAGGTGGGAGTCAAGGGCCTGGAGCCAAAGCCCCTCCCCTCAGGAGCTTCCATTCTAGTGGGAAGTAGCAAATAAGCCAGGGATAAATCCATACCCAGGACATTTATTACAGATGTTGCATAACTTTAGGCTAGTTGCCAAACTTCTCTGGAGCTCAGTTTCCTCTTTTGTAAGGCAGATCACAATCAAAGCTACTCTTTGAGCTTCTTGTATCCAACTGCCCATTTCAGAGATGGGCAAACTGAGGCCCAGGAGTAGGACAAACCCTTGCCTAAGTCACAGGGTGAGTTAGTGGCCAAGCCAGGACCAAAGCCAAAACCAGAGTCCCTGTGTTTCATTGAGGTAACAGACTCCCTTCTTCCCCCTGTCACCAGCCTCCTGAACAGATCTAGTTTCTCTAGGGTTCCAGTTGGCACCTGCCCCCACATCCCAGAGAAAGAGCCAAGAGCCCTGAACATGCTCCTTCTCTCACAACAGGTGGAGACTGTATCTGAATGAATGCACCTCCAGGCCAGGAGCCTCCTGGGCCTGGCCATGAGACATCTGGAAAGTGGCCTGTTGCCACTCCCCAGATTTCGTATGAACAGAGTTTCAGTTCTGTGTGCAAGACCCAGCACAAACAAGGCCGGCTTGAGTCCTTCCTCCCTTATCCTGCTCGGACGGCCTAGGGAGCTCGCCTCACTGAACCCTGGTGTCCAAACTCAGTGTAGCCAACAGGGGTTCACTGAGTATCTACTACATGCCAAGCACTGTCCTAGGGGCTGGAAATGCAAGAGGGAGAAAACAGACATAGTTCTTCCCATAGAGCTTCCATGTAGTGAACAGAGACACACTCTAATACTATGACTGTAACTACTCTGAAATATTTGAGTAAAGATAAGTACTGTAATTACATAGCAAAGGAGAGGACAGTCACCACGGGGAGGGCTGGTGGATAAGGGACATGTGGACACAGACCTGGATGAAGTGATGGGTCCAGGAACAGAGTGTGGAGAGCAGGCAGTGGGAACAGAAAGCCTGGTGGCCCTGAGCTACGAGGATACTTGGCATATTTGGGGGAGAGCCAGGAGGCCTTGTCTGTGAGAACAAAGTTAGCTAGTAGGAGATTAGGAGGGAGACAAGGCCAGGGGGCAGGTGGAGGAGGGAGGAGGAATGGGGAAGATCATATAAAGCCCTGGAGAGGACTTCTGGTTCCACTCTGTGAGACTCAGGAAGCCATTAAGGAATGACCTGATGAGACCTGTTTTTAAAAGATTACTCTGGGCAGGGTGTGGTGGCTCATGCCTGTAATCCCAGCACTTTGGAAGGCCGAGGCAGGTGGATCACTTGAGGTTAGGAGTTCGAGACCAGCCTGTCCAACATGGTGAGACCCCATCTCTACTAAAAATACAAAAATTAGCCAGGTGCGGTGGTGGGCGCCGGTAACCCCAGCTACTTGGAAGGCTGAGGCATGCGAATCGCTTGAACCTGGGAGGCAGAGGTTGCAGTGAGCCGAGATCGCGCCACTGCACTCCAGCCTGGGTGATAGAACAAGACTGTCTCAAAAATAAATAAATAAATAATAAACAAAAAATTAAAAAAAGATTACTCTGGCTGCTAGGTGAAATGGTCTAGAAGATGCGAGAAGGTAGGCAGGAAACTAATGCAACAATCCAAGCAAAGGATGATGGAATCTTAGCTTAGGGCATCCACAGTGAGAAGCAACTGGATTCTGCATATATTTTGAAGGCAGGACTGATACGGTTTGCTTTTGTGTCAGACAGGCTCAAGAGATACAAGAGAAACTCTGAAGGTCCTGAGGTGACGTTCCCCTTTGGAGAGAGGAGCCTCCTTCCAGCCTGATGCAGGTGAGGCTGGCAAAGCACTTCCTTGGACATTGTCCCTTCCAGCCTCCAACCAACCCAAGAATGGCAGGGCCATGGTGTCGGCTCTCCTAAGGCACACAGAATAAGAGGCCCCTTCAGGATGCAAACCCAAATCTGATTGAGTCCATGCTCTCTACTAAGTTGGATTTTCCCAAGGCCTTGACCAGTTCTCCTTCCATGAACCTCTGCCCTTGTTCCCTCTGCGGTCCTCTCCTGCTCCTGCTCTGCCCTTAGGCCTGAGGGTGCTGCTTCTGGGTGGGGCTAGTGGCCTCCAACAGCTCAGAAGGATGAATGTCTAGCCTCGTTCTCCCAAGCAGGGACATTCCTACCAGGCGGGAGGGATAGATGGGGACAGACATGCATTCCCTGCACCTCAGACATTCCTGCACCCATCAACTTGGGGTCTGAGCAGGATGCCCACAAGCCCTCACATGGCCCTTTAGTAGATTCTTCCTGGATTTCACCTCACCTAACACACCAGGAAGCAAGCAGCTCACCCCCTAGCCCAGTTCATACCCTTTGGCAACCTCAAGTTGGAGACCTATTGTAATAAATGCTGGCATTTCAATGGAGAATGTTTCCAGAGACCAGGAACTCATATACCTCTTACACTCTAATTGTTCCTGTTTCACAGAGGAGGAGACTAGGACTTAGAGGAGTGAATGACATGCCCAAGGCCGCAGAGATGAGCAGGGCTTTGAACCCAGGCTATCTGGCTTCAAGGCCCAATCCATGATGGCTGCTGATGGGACTCTCAAGGGTTGAGGGCAGACCCCCACCCATTCCCCTGAGCTGACAGGGCTCTGGCCCTATAGTCCCTCACCCACACACTGGGAGTTCCCCAGGTATAGTCACTGGGTCTTCGTCTTGAGATTCCCAGTGCCCAGCACAGGGCGTGGCCAAGGGGAATATCTATGGAGATGTTGACATCAGGTGCCTCTCTAAACACTTTGCATATGCATGTTAGTTCATTTAATTCTCAAGACAACCCCAAGAGACAGATACCACAATGATCCCCATTCTACAAATGGGGAAGATGAAGCCCAGAAAGGTTAAGTAATATGTCCAAGGGCACACAGGTCACACCACTAATAAGTGGGAGAGCTGGGATTTGAACCCAGGTGGCCACACTCTTAACTACTCCTCTATATTGTCTCTCTGAAGTTGCTGGTGCTGGGTGCTTGAGAAATGATTAAGTGAATGAAAACTCACTAAGTGTCTGCCATGTGCCTGGCATTAAGCCAGGCACTGGGGACCCAGAAATGAAGACGCAGTTCCTATTTCCAAGTTGCCCACAATCTTGGGGGAGAAGATGGGAGAGGGAGACATGTAGAGGTAGACAGATAATTGCAAGACCAAGTGGTCAGGCTGAGGACAGAAAGAAGACAGAGAACGTGGAAAGGTATAACACAGTGCAGCCTTGAAGGGCAAGTAAGACTTAGCCAGGCTGGGGCAGGCAGGAGGAGAAGGAGGGCACTCTGGGCAGTGGGAACAGCCTGTGCAAAGGCTTGCAAGGGGCAGAAGAACTAACTTCCTAGGCTCCAAGAACAGCCAGTAGCTGGAAAGACCAGCACAGAGCGGGTATGTGGGAGCCTGTGGGACCATGGGAGGGATGCTGAGGGATAACCAGGAAGGGTACTATGTATTGTATACTACACACACACACACACACACACACACACACACACACACACATACATACATACACACCCTGCCTCCTTCCTTCTCTAGAATCTAGGAAGCTCTACGTAATCTTTTTCTAATTATGAAGCAGACTCTATAGCAGAAATCTAATTACAAATCACCTAAAAGTTGTTCCACACTGGAATCCATGCATTATGCATTCCCTGAATTATGCACTGGGCTCCTTCCGAAGGGGAGGGAGGGAAAGAGGTCTGCTCTCCAGCTACTGGGTTCCAGCGACAGCAGTGCTTGGGATCTCTTCTAGGCCCTGAGAAACCAGAGACGCTCACTGGCCCCAGCCTCCATTCAAGAGCTTTGAGAACTGAACCTTGCAGGAGCCACCCTAAGGGGAAAGCAGTACAATCGACTTGGCTGTGGGTGGCTGTGGCTTCAGGAAACACTGCCTTAATTAGGCCTGTGGTCAGATCCCAAATGCCCAGCGCCCACATCTGCCCCTCAGAAGCAGCTGCCCTGTTCCCAGGATGGAAGACCAGCCTCCTCCCGCTGGGGTCTTCCTAATGCTGCCCTGCAGACCTGTGCGGGCCCTGGGCTTGGGAAGCTGAACGCAGGCCTGGGGCCTGGTGATGCCAGAGGTCTGGACATGCCGGGCAGCAGGACTCGGAAGGGGCCGGGCCCCGGGGGCTGTGGGGGAGGGTGCTAGAGACGGAGCCAGACCGTTTTCTTCCCCCCTTGGGTTTGAACGCTGGAACACAAGCACGCCGGCTGGGCTCCCAGGATGCTCTGCTCCTGAAGTGGCATCTGTTGCCTCTTTCATGTCTCTTCAGGCTAAGTGGGAGCTGTCACGTCCGGAGGGCCGCCTCCGCCCCTCGCCTCCTCCCCCGCCCTCCCTCCCGCCTCTTCCCACCCCCTAGCCCCTCTCCACTCCAGATCGAGGGCGACCGGCGTGGGCTGGGGCTGGGGCCGGGGCTGGGACTGCCCGGCCACTGGGGGGAGGGGACGGGCCGTGTGCACAGCTCCAGGCAAACCAGTTTGGGAATTAAGGTCATTAATTTTCCACTTTCAAGGGCTGGCACCCAGACGGAGATAAAGTCAGCATAAATATTCCGCCGAAGTTTCCTGCCTTCCTGTGCTCCCCTTCTCCTCTCCCCGCTGCCAGCCCATTTATCTCCATGCTGTCAATTAGAGGCAAAAGCAAAGAACTAATTAGGAACTGTGCAATTTTAATTAGCTGTTTTGATAATTAAACTAATTGGTTCCCTTGTGTTTCCGCAATGTGCACGGAGCACTTTTTTGATATCTGGGCTGCAGATTTCCCAGCCGTTGGTTAATTAGTCACTTTTGCATTAAAAAGGAGCCTTTCTTAATAGCCTTAATTTGCAGTTGAAAAGAGAATCTACCGTCAATAATTTGTGTAATTGGTAACTGTTTGATTGTAATTTAGAAGCACAGCCGGACGGCTCGGCATGCCTAATTCCTAATGACTAGGATTAAAGTTGGATTAAATGTGGGGAAGGGGAGAGGTTTTTTTTCTGTATAATTGTTATGCAGTGGGTCTATTTCTGGCAACTCTCATATTAATTGTCTGAGCGCTTTAAACTTTTCTGTGGCAGCGGAAGGAGAAAGGAGGGAGGGAGCCCTGTGCCGACTCCGCAGGCCACCGAGCGGAGGGACAGGGGAGCAGAGCTGGTGGTGGCGGTGTGACGGGGCAGGGAGTGATTCGTGACTGAAGGATTCCGCAGGCAGAAGAGGGGAGGAGAGAGGGGAGGTGCTCTTGTGCACTCAGTGGCCATTGCCAGTTTTATTAGGTGACAAGGAAGGTCAGGGAGTGTAGGGTGCTGAAATAAGAGCCATTTCTGGGCCTAGACCATGAAGCTTAGACTTGGCAGTGTCCTTGAGTGTGGGGACAGGCACCTGGGGGCACTGTCCCTTCCACCATGGCATATGGCTTAGTCACAGCACCCAGAATAGCCATAATAGAAGGGACATTACTGGTTGTCCGGCCACACTTTCTTTTCCTCCACCCATGCATGCTCTAACACACATAATACTTCCTAGCATGGAGTTCTGAGGGCCTGCTGCACTCACTTTTGGCTGAAGGGGAGGGAGCATGGGGCCAGGTGGGATGCCAGATCTAGCAGCAGGAGAGGGCAGATGCTGATGGCCCAGGGAGTGGAGAAACATGTGAGAGCTGAGTGAGAATAAGACGGAGAGACAGGCAGGGCACAAAATGTGAAGGCATTTCATAATTCAGGGTACAATTGTATGGTTCTAATCACCCATCCATCCGTCCATTCATCCATTTATTTCTCAATCTAATACCTCTGCAACCATCTGTTCATCCAGCCAGCCACCTTCTTCTCAAATATTTATCTACCCACCTACCCATCTGCCCATCTATCCTTCTTTAAAATTTCCCATCCACCAACCCATCTACCCACCCACCATGTATCTATCCATCTATCTGTTCGTTTGTCTATCTATCCAGCCACCCACCTATCCATTCTTCCTATTTACCTATTGAATAGCCCATCTGTGTCTGCTAATACCAATCCACTTTCCAGTGGATTTCCACTTCTACCTATCAATTTCCCAAATGTTTAACTTTCCACTATCCTTCAGCCCATCCATCCATTCATCCATCTATTTACCCACACTCTCTGTGTGCCAGACTTGAGTTAACTTATTCCTTGGGAAACACTTTTTATTTGATATATATGTATATATATGTGTGTGTGTATATATATATATGCATATATACACATATATATATATATTTAATTTGAAAAGTACTGAGATCATAAGGGCTGGCTCCTAAAATGGGTCCTTCCTCCAAGAAGGAAGTGTGGAAATGGCGGAGACCACTGAGGACTCGAATCACTATAGAAGTTTACCTAGAGGAAGACAGATGAAGCCAAGCCATGGAGGACAGGATGGCAGGGGGAAGTCAGAGACTGACATGGCTAAAGCTGTGCAATTCTGGAAGGGGCAATATAGAGAAAGGAAGGGAGCCATGTTTGGAAGGCCTTGAAATGTTGGGCTTTGTTAGCATGCTGTACCAGAATACAGAAGGCTGAGCAGGGCCAGGTGCATAGTCTCCAGGACTTCCAGTGCCCGCTCCTATAAAGGCCCTCAGTGGTCCCTAGCCAAATGCTTTCCCTTGGTGGAATGCCTGCAGTTCCCATGTGTCTGCCTAAGGCTGGAGCCCTTTATGCCTTCCACAACCAATTATATGTTAGTTGGGTTTCTTTTGGTTGCAAGTGATAGAAACCCAACTTACTCAGAACATCCGAGCCAAGAGAAGGGCAAGAAAGGGGCTGGTCTTCAGAAAAAAATAGAATTAGGCAACAAAACACTATTGGACTATGTCTGTCACCCATCTCTACTTGTCTCTTCATGCTGGCTTAGAAGAAATTTATCTACATGGCAGAGAATACGAGTCTCGAGTCTTGACTTTCACATCTTTTTTTTTTTTTTCTTTTTTTGAGATGGAGTTTGGCTCTGTCACTCAGGCTGGAGTGCAGTGGCGCGATCTCGGCTCACTGCAACCTCTGCCTCCCGGGTTCACGCCATTCTCCTGCCTCAGTCTCCCGAGTAGCTGGGACTACAGGCGCTTGCCACCACGCCCGGCTAATTTTTTGTATGTTTGATAGAGATGGGGTTTCACTGTGTTAGCCAGGATGGTCTCAATCTCCTGACCTCGTGATCCGCCCGCCTTGGCCTCCCAAAGTGCTGGGATTACAGGCGTGAGCCACCGCGCCC
Organism: Homo sapiens; assembly: GCF_000001405.40. Lineage (NCBI taxonomy): Eukaryota > Metazoa > Chordata > Mammalia > Primates > Hominidae > Homo > Homo sapiens. The sequence goes on along the minus strand of NC_000011.10, from coordinate 8,280,843 downwards.
GGCCTGACTTTTACATCTTATAACTTTAGCCACCAGAGAGAAACAAACCCAACTCCCTTGGTCCCAAGTTCAAAACTCCTAGTGGGAAAACCCACTGGGCCAACTTAGATCAGTTGCCCACTTCAGGGTCCAAAAGGCCATGGGGGTAAGATTGTGTAAGAGCTGGATATCTTTCACAGGAACATCGGAATAGAGTAATTGGGTAGGGGGAAGTACTTAGAAGGTGGGGGAGGAGGGATTCTCAACAGACAATTCCATATTTGTCTATTAGAGTGACTGCTATGGTTTGAATGTGTCCCCAAAAGTTCACGTGTTAGAAATGTAATCCCCAATGAAACCGTACTGAGAGATGAGACCTTTAAGAGGGGATTAGTCACGAGGGCTCTGCCTTTATGAATGGATTAATGCTGTTATCTTGGGAGTAAGTTTGTTATGGAGGGAGCGGTGTTCTTATAAAAGATGAGTTCAGCCTCTTTTTTTTTCTCTCTCTCCTTCACTGTGTTCTCTTGCCCTTCTACCTTCTGCCATGGGATGACATAGCAAGAAGGCCCTCTCCAAATGCAGGCCCTCAACCTTGGACTTCCCAGCCCCCAGAAGTGTAGGAAATAAACCCCTGTTCTTTATTAATTACCCAGTTTCAGGTATTCTGTTATAGCAGCACAAAATGAACTAAGACAGTGACCATGAACCTTGGCACCCAGCATGAGACCTGGCCTTAGGATACATGAGACAGTGTTGGTTGTTAACAAGAGGAACATGAAGGAGAATGGGAGGCTTTCAGTCCAGACTAGCAAGCAGAAGTTTCATCCCCACCTGCACTCCTTGTGATGGTTCTGCTGGCCTTAGCAGGTCTAGGCTTATCCTAGACCAATTGGTTCTAGGCCAGTAGCTTCCAGCTCCCAAGCTCCTGTTAAGATCACCTCTAGGGAAATGCTTATGGTCAGGCTGGGCTAGACTGGACTCGGAGGCCGTCCCATGGGGCACAGGTTTGGGTGTTATCACATTATTCTAAGAGTTGCAGAGCCAAGTTGCTAGGACCCTCAGGCAAGGAAGGCATAAAGTAGGAGGTCCTAACCTGTTGAGCCAGGGACCCATCTGTGGTCCTATGAGGTAGAGCTTGGAAAAAGCAGCCCCCAGACCTTTTTTTGTGTCCATAGGCCTGGACCACATCTTTAGTTTCAGAGAGTCTGGTCTACAATAGCAGAAAGAGAGAGTGAAGGGTGAGCCTTGCCAGATTCCCTACAGTTGGAGCAGCTGAGCTGAAACGTAAGGTCAGGATAAATACCCATCTGGGCTCAACTGGAGGCCCTGAACATGAAGCAGCCTTAGACATAGGCAGTAGCCTATCCTAATCCACCTGCCCTTAGCTCCCTGGTCCAGCCAAAAAGAAAGAACTTCGGATGCTTCTTCATGTCCTTCCTTCCATCTCTCCCAGGATCAGGCCTTTCGTGAGCATCAGGGAACTTCTTGAAACAAGGAGAAAGCAGGGAGCACATCAAGGCTCAACCTTGGCTCCAGGTTTCCATCCTGGGAAGCTCTTTGGAAACAAGGAGCCTGGCAAAGCAGAGTCTAGAATTGGAAACTTGGAACTTGGAGAACACATTCAGACTATTTATTGGTGGGGAATCAGAGGATCAATGTATTCATTAGGAAAAGGGTTAAGCTACTATAACAAAGAGGTCCTAAGTTACAATGGCCTAAAGAAGATGGAACTTTATCATTTATCTGTCATAACAGGAGATAAAAAGTCTAGGTTGGTAGGGCTACTCCACAAGGCCACTTAGAGACCCAGCTTCCTTCTGTCTTATTTCTCTGCATACCTTAGGGTATTGATTAATCAAATCCGGGTGCTCTAATATCTATATTCCATCTATGGAAAGTGGGGAAGATAGGAAGCTGTGGATAAGCAACTTGTTTCTTCATGCCGGTATAGTCTTTGTCTTTCCCCAGAACAAATTTATCTACATGGCAGACAACATGAGTCTTGACTTTTACATCTTATAGCTTCAGCCACCAAAGAGAAGAAACCAACCCAGCTCTCTGGGTTCCGATGTCAAAACTCCTACTGGGGAAACCCATTGGTCTAACTTGGGTCTCTCCCCTTGTAAGCAAGAGGTGAAAATAGCTTATATCTCTCTTCTGCCTACAAATGAGAACTAGTAACTTATCTATAGCCATTGCAATGGAAGCTGGAAATACAGTCTCCAGTGCCATGTGCCCAGGAGGAAGGGAAGACATGTTGGATATGCCACCAGTAGTCTGCCACACTCAGGAAGGGGAAGTTACACAGTGTGAGATCTGCAAGAAGTGGAGTCAGAATCACGATCTAGGCCTAGTGTCACCAGCAAGTCTGCAGCTCCACTTCTACCTGCAGGCTCTGAGGGTTTGAATTAGCATCCTGTCCCCAGGTGTGGTCCCCCAGGCTTTAGAAGGCTCAATCTAGTACAAGCCCCAGGTGGTAGCTGTGACCTCCAGTCCTGATAGGACTCAAATATTTCTGACTCACCGCAAGGGGTGTTTGAGCACAGGGGCTTGGAGAAGCCCAGGCAAGTCCTAGGTAGCAGCAGCTATGGAGGAATATGTGCTTCCAGGGTTTTTTTGTTCTGTTTTTGTTTTTGTTTTCTCCTCCAAACTTGTATCATTTTGGAGTTGGCAGGGCCTCTCAGACAGGTTGGATGCTGGGTGAGAAGGAACCCCTTTGGCTTTTTCCATCATGGGGCAGGGGTGGGGCAGGAAGACCCCACCAGAGATTGAGGGAGAGAGACCAGGAAGGGGACTAGGAGTGCCCTCCCATCAGTCCCACATACCTGGGCCCCTGCCTGCAGCATGGAGAAGGACTGTTTCTGAGATGCATGTGCTGTTGGGACATGCGGTTGTAGCTCCAAGGGGACCACCTGCATGTGGGTGTGTTCACTCTGGTGAGCCGGTTGGGAAACAGTCTGTTTTCTGGGAGTGAGTCACAGTGCTCAGCCCCATGGCCCAGTCGGTTGGCGTCCATGAAGCTCACGGACCAGCACCAGCCTCCAGAGCACGTGGCACAGCTGGCCCCTTAGACCCAGCCCAGGATCACTCCAGGTCTCCAGTCATCAGTGGACAGGTGATTAGGAGGGTGGGAGAGGGAGGAGACGACCCCTAGTCACATAAAATCAGGGTTCAGATTGAGAGTCTGACATTGCAAGTCAAGCTGTGTGGGGTTTGGTTGCTGGGGTATTCGTAGCCTCAGAGGGGACTGTGGGCACCCAGGAGCCCCCTTGGTAAGGGTCTCTGAAAGGTGGGAGGTGCAGAAATGAAGCCATTTGGAGGTGGGGAGAGGTCCCTACAACAGCTGGCTGGGGAAGCCTGAAAGCTCATCAGCACCTCAGACGTTTTTGCCATAATCAAGTCTCAGAGCAAGCTAGTTGGCTACATAAATGAAAGAACGGAGGGAAATATTTGAGCCAGGCAAATTCTCCCAACAGGGGCTAGGGTGGCAGGTGTATGGAGTAAGAGTAAGTTCAGAATATCTGAGTTGGATTGGACCCCTGAGACCTTCTTCTCTGACCCGTTTTTCTCCCAAGGTAGGAGGCTGGAGAAGAAGATGCAAACACTTATAGCTTAATAGTTTTTCTTTTATCGCTGTCACACAAATAATTATACAAATAACTATGTAATTAACTAGATCATTGTGATAAGAGCTATGGAGGAAAAGCACAGAGGGCCCCATGTCAGACTATAACAGGGAGGCCTAACCTAGTCTTGAGGGGAGAGGCCACCCTGACATTTAATCCTGGATCCAAGGGATGAACACGAGGTGGTCCAAATAAAAGGGGGCAAGAACATTTCAGGCAGAAAAAAATGGTGCTCCTGCAGGCCTGGAGACAAGTGGTGGTTCAGACAATGACAAGGGTAAAATGCTACATCATAGGAGCAAGGGTGGGTGTCAGTGATGGGAGACACTTCAGGAGAGCCTGCTCATACAGAGCCAAGTGGACATGCAGAGAGAGGATGGGGGCTTGCTGTGGAGAGCAACAGGAAGCTTTGAGGGTTGGTTGACGAGATCTGATTTGCATTTTAAAAATATCTCCTGGCTGCGCATGGAGTAATAGAGGCTGTATCATTGAGGCCCAGGGTGGACTTTGGGTGGGGGCCAGTAAGGAGCTCTTGCGGCAGTATGCAAGAGATCATGGCGACTTGGACTAGGGCAATAGCAGTGACTGATTGGAGGGTGTGTCAAAAACAACTCCCATTTAATTTCTAAATTGAAAAAAGTATAAATTACTCATACATTATAAATAATGAAAAGATAGGTGTATACTTTTTTGTTTGAGTCAAGGTCTCACTCTGTTGCCCAGGCTGGGGTGCAGTGGTATGATCATGGGATCTTGGCTTACTACAGCCTCTAATTCCTGGGCTTAAGCGATCCTCCCTCCTAAGCCTCTCGAGTCACCGGGATTACAAGTGTGAGCCACCATGCCTGGCTCAGTGTATACTTTTTCCTTCACTCTTACCTTCCATTCCTACTCGCTAAGGTCACCAGTGTTGACAGCCTGAACAAGTGCAGGCTTTCACATCTTTCCTTCATGTGCATCTTAACAGAAAGAGGCTTTCTTTTGAATGGGATAATATTACTTGATACTCTGCAATCTACTTTTCCCACTAAACAGAACATCACAGATGTCCTTTGCAAGTCAGTTGCTCTAACTCATTTTTAACAGTTGCATAATATTCTACAGCAGAGTTGTAGGACAATTAATTCAATCATTGATTGGCACTGATATTCGTATGGTTTCCAGTTTTCTGCCACCACAAACAATGCCGAAATTAGGATCCTTATATATAGGTGATTTCCCCTTATAGGATGGAGTCCCAGAAAGAGGATTTATAAGTCAAAAGGCATGTACTTGTTTAATAAATAGTGCCAGATTACCTGCCCCAAAAGTAATAGATCGTGCCAGATTACTTGCTCAGTAGCAAAGGAGAGTACATATTTTCTCAAAATTTTAGCAGATCTGGACATTTCACTTTTTAAAAATTGCTTGCCAATCTAATGAATTTAAATAATGAAAACTTATTTTGCTTTAGTTTGCATTTTCCCAATGAATAATGAGGGTAATCATTTTATTGACCATTTAGATATTTCCTCTCTGAATGGCCTGTTCATTCTCTTTTTCCATGTTTCTTTTAGGCTTTTGTCTTTTATTTACAATTTATAGAAATTCTTTGTATATACAGCATATTTTGCAAATATTTTCCTAAGAAATCATTTGTATTTTTCTTTTGTTTATGCTATCTTTTGCCATAGAAGTTCTGAAAATCAGATTTAGTATATTTATCTTTTCCTTTGTTAGCCGCAACAAATTTATTCATGTTGTTATCCAAATCTATTAAATTTTTCTAATAAAATGTCTTCCAATATTTTCAATGTTTTATTCTTATTTTAAAATATTAAGCCACTTGGAACACAATTTTTATGTTTAGGGGAGGTAAGGATCCTATTTGTTTCTTCCAGATGAATAACCAGTTATGGCAGCACCGTTTATTGAAACACCTTTACTGAGATGTAATTCACATACCATACAATTCACCATTTAAAGTGTACAATTCAATGCATTTTAATATATTCACAGATTTGCAAATCTCCACAATTTTAGAACATTTTTATAACCTCAAAAAGAAACTCTGCACACCTTAGCTATCACAGCCCTACTATCCCCAGCCCCTAGCACCGACTCATCTACTTTCTGTCTCTACAGACTTGCCCATTCTGACATTCAATATAAATGAATTCATACAATACAGTCTTTTGTGAATGGCTTCTTTCACTTAGCATTATGTTTTCAAGGTTCATCCATCCTATGGCATGTATCAGTACTTTATTCCTTTTTATGGCTGAATAATATCCATTTGTCAGTTCACGAACATTTGGTTTTTTTCCCACCATTTGGCTGTAATGAATAATGCTGATATAAATATCAGTATACAAATTATTGTGTGGACCTATGTTTTCAGCTCTCTTGGGTGTACACCTAGGAGCAGAATTTCTGGTTATGGGTGACTCTGTTTAACTTTTTGAGGAGCTGCCAGGCTGTTTTCCAAAGTGGTTGCACCATTTTACATTTCCGCCATCAGTGTTTGAGGGTTCCAATTTCTTCACGTTCTTGCCAACATTCGTTATCTAAAGTTTTTCATTCCAGCTTCCTAGTGGGTGTGAATTGGTATCTCACTGTGGTTTTGATGTGCATTTTCCCAATGACCAATGATGCTGAGCATCTTTTCAGATTCTATTGGTTTATTTGTATATCTCCTGTGCAGAAATGTCTATTCAGATGGCACTACCACTTATTAATTTTTCTCTGATGAATTAAAATGCAACATTTATCATATATTAAATTCCTTTCTGTACTTGAAACTGTTTATTGTCTCTTTGTTCCTGTGATCTATTTCTCCCTTCCTGACTTACACCACACTATTTGATTATGGTAGTTTTGTAGTATGCTTTATTATCTAGTAATGCAAGTTGTATCCAATTAGTCTTTCTTTTCACATGTTTTGTTAACTAGCCACATATATTTACTTTTTAATTGCACTTCAAGTTAAATTTTTTTCAGTTCTAAAAATTTTTAATTTGGGATTCTAATAGAAATTGCACTAAATTGATATATTAATTTTGAAAGGATTTACTTTTATGATAATATCTTCTTTTTTAGAAATATGGTTGTCTTTCTATATATCCAGATCTTGTTATATGTCCTTCAATATGCTTTCATGAGTTCCTTTAAAGAAGACCCTTATCTTTGTGATGATTGTTGTTTTTAAATTATTCCTAAATATTTGCTTTGTCACTATTGCAAATGTTCTATTTCATTGCCATTTCTAACACATCATTGCATTTAGAAAAAAACTACAGCTTTCTATCTATTTATCTTGTATTTAACTACCTTCTCAATTATCTAATAATTCTAGTAACTTTCACACTAAATTTTGTTGGATTTTTGGTTATATAATCGCATAATTTGTAAATAAACATATTTTTGTCCTTTCAAAAAACAGCTGTTTATTTTAAGCAGTTCATTTTCTTGTCTTATTGAGTTAAAGTCTCAAAAAATGTTGAATAATAATGATAATGGATATTCTGTCTTAGTTCCAATTTATGGAAATAGTTTCAGAATGTCACATTTATTTATTTTCTTTTGGGTTTTGGTAAACAGTCTTAACAAATTGAAGTAGTTTTCTTCTATTTCTATTTTGCTTAATATTTTGTTAGTAATATATGCTAAATTTTATCAAATGATTTTGGACATATATTACTATACTCATATTTTGTTCCTTTATTTGTTGATGTAGTGACTCATACTGATAGAGTTCCTTATGCTGAATCATGTTTGTGGTGTTAAAATAAACCCTCCTTTGTCATGGTGTTTTATTCTTTTGATACTTTTTTTTCATGTCAAGATAGCTAATATCTTATTTCAGCTTTTGCACTCTTATTCAAGCTGTTCTGTGAATTTTTTTTCTTTTAAAATTCAATCTTTATAAGGTTTGGGATTAAGAAAATGCTGGCTCATAAAACAAACTAGGAAGCTTTCCAAATTTTTCTTTTGTCTGGAATAGTTTAAATAACATTAAAATCATCTGTTTTTCAGGTTATACAAAACTCATTTTAATGTAATCTGTGCCTTGTGGGGTTTTATTTTAATTGTGATAAAATACACATAACATAAAATTCACCATCCTTACCATTGTTAAGTGCACAGTTTAGCAGTGTTAAGCACATTCACGTTGTTGGGTAACCAATCTCCAGAACTCTTTATCTTGCAAATCTGAAAATGCTATACCCATTAAATTCCCCATTCTCCCCTCCCCTGAACCCCTGCCAACCACCATTCTACTTTTTGTCCCTATGAATTTGACTACTCTAGGTACATCATATAAATGAAGTCAAGCAATATTTGTCTTTTTGTGACTGGCTTATTTCACTTGGTATAGCATCCTCAAGGTTCATCCATGTTGTAGCATGTGTCAGAAATTCCTTCCTTTGAAAGGCTGAATAATATTCCTCTGTATGTATCTACCACATTTTGTTTATCTATTCACCCATTGGGGAACACTTGGGTTGCTTCCACCTTTTGATTATTGTGAATAATGCTGCTATGGACATGGATGTAAAAATATCTCTTAAAGAACCTGCTTTCAATACTTTTGGTTTATTTCCAGAAGTAGAATTGTTGGAGCATATGGTGCCTTGTGATATTTTAATGGCATAGTTTTAATATCTTTTTAAATGTATTCTGTTTATTGGCCTATTTGGGATTTCAACATCTTCTATGCTCAGTTTTGATAATTTTCTACTTTGCTCGAAGTCATCCATTTCTTCCAGGTTTTCACATTTATTTTCATAGGCTTACTCATATTATTGTTATAATTTTTTAACCTTCTCTGTACCTGTGATATATCTCTTTTCTTATATCTAATATCATATATTTGTGCTTTATTTTCTTAACTAGGTTTTCGTGGAAGTTTTTTTTCCATTTTGTTAGTCTTTTCAAATAACCAAGTGTTGGTTCTAATTTTCCCTTTTAATTACCTTTTCTATTACTTGTTTATTTTCTATTTCATTGTTTTCTGACTTCATTAATTTTCTTCCACTTTTTTGGTTCAGTTTATTCTTTTCTAATTTCTTAGATTGAATATCTAGTTCATTTTCTTCCAGTCTTTTTAAAAAATATTTCAAGCATATGAGGCTATATTTCTTCCTCTGAGTACAGCTGTGTTCCGTAAGTTCTGTATGATATGCTGTGTTTTCTATTTTCATTACTAGATTGGTAATTTCTGTTTTGATCTTATTTTGATCCAGTACTAATTTAATGGGATGTTTCTTAATTTTCAAGCAGTTTATGCTTTTAGCTTTGAAGTTGGCTTTGTTTGACATTAATATTGCTGTTTCTACTCCCTCTCTGCTTGCATTTTCTTGGTGTATCTTTGCCCATTGCTTTATTTTCAGTCTCTTTGTCACCTTGTTTTGGGAGTATTTCTTGTAAACAGCATTTGGCTGTATTTTATTTTTAACTTACTCAGACAATCTGTTTTTTGATAGGGAAATTCACTCTCTTCATGTTTAGTGTAACATACTGATATACTGACCTCCACCGCCATTGGGAAAAGCTGGCGGTTGCACCAGGGACAGCTCCCCTATTATTGTTCTGGTCCATTCTTTCTCACACAGCCTTTCCCTTCATGCCAGTCATGCAGCTAAGACAGGTTGGAACATAAAGGCATAAAAATGCCAAATACCAGATCCCACAATTTTACAGTAATTAGCCCCAAATTCTGATGTTCCAATTCTCCTCTCCAGGATCTTCCTCTCCAAATAGTTGTGAGACCTAGGAATGCTTACTCATGTGACCCAAGTGCCCTCTGGACACCACTAGATTTTGAGTTCTGGATAGACATTTTCTCTCTAGCAGTCCCAGGGTTGGGAGATGGGGGTTGATGGATTATGAGAAGAGACGCCGTCTGTATAATTAGAGCTGCTGCCTGATGCTCTTGCCATCTTGCCCGAGCTGCTGTTAATGCCACCAAGTTGCTAATCCCAGCTGCTCTTTTCCTCTTGGCCCAGCAAGGTGACACCTCAGCTTCTAATGACCAGCTGTTTCAGAGGGGGCTCCCATAGCCAGGCTGCAGGGCTTCTAGTGACCCAGTTTCTCATTTGCACCACTGCCCTCTTCTTCTCAGAGTGATGGTCAGGGGTGAGTTAGGCCCCACCTTGCACCATACTTGGAACTGTTCTTCCTCTAAACTCCTGGTCTTGCTTCTCAGTCTAGTCCACCCATGAGGATCTCCTCTCAGGAACCTCATTGTCTCTCTGCCAGCAGGCCCCTGCTGAAGATCTCAGTCCTCATGATAGATCTGTCCCTTCAACTTTAGCTTTGAAGTTGGCTTTGTTTGACATTAATATTGCTGTTTCTACTCCCTCTCTGCTTGCATTTTCTTGGTATACCTTTGCCCATTGCTCTATTTTCAGTCTCTTTGTCACCTTGTTTTGGGAGTATTTCTTGTAAACAGCATTTGGCTGTATTTTATTTTTAACTTACTCAGACAATCTGTTTTCTGATAGGGAAATTCACCCAGCTGTGGACTGAGTTCAGTGTCTTTCACCAGGAGTTGGGGACCCATATAAATGCAGAGATAGGGCGGGGCATCTGCTTCATTATCCCTGATCACTCCATGATGTTTACACTCTCTGAAATTTCTCTTTCTCTCTATGAAAACCAGGAGGCTGGTCTTTTAAGTGCTCACACAGGCCCTTGCTGCAAGTGATGGTGGGAACAGGGAGTCTGGGTGCTTATGCCTCAGGCTGGCTTCTCTGAGTGTGAACTCTGGCCAAGCAGAGATGCCCAATTGCAGGGCCCCGCTAGTCTGTATGGTGCTTTTGTGCGAAGTAGCAAAAGGTGCCCTCTCTGGGTGGGTGCAGTCCGTGCCAGCTACATGGCTTGGAGGGTGGAAGGATGCAGAATTTCAGGCCCTACTTGCTCTTTGACAAGACGCCTTAGCACATGGAATAGCCAACACCCATCTAGGCAGTCACTCCTGGGGAATTGAGAGCAGCTGATTTGGGAGATCATTCTGAAGAATCTCTCTGCACAGTCCTCCTTTCTTCACCAAATTGAATATAATTCATGCAGTCATTTCACAAACTTTCCCAGATACTATGTGGGTCTGTTTGGGAGGATAGAAGAGAGTGGGAGGAATCAGGATGAGCTCCCTCCCTTCTCTCTACCCCTCAATCAGAATGTGTTTTGATAAGTGGGGGCTTGGGGACAGTATAAAGGTGACTAACTGCACCTCCCTTACCAATTAAATTTTTTAAAAAGCTGCTATGGAGGGAGCGAATATTAGTTTCCTGATTTATAAAGCCAAATGGATTAAGCTCATTCATTGCCCGAGGAAACAAAAAGGAAATCTTCAATACCTCTGTGCACATTGAGAATAGGGACAATGCCGGTCTTTAGAAAGCAGAAACCTAATTTGGGGGAATCAATTACCCTCTGTGTCCTGCCTCTGTGGGCTCTCTCACTGGTTCTCTCAATAGATTTCCTGGGAGGTAAAATGTGGAGAAGTTGATCAACCACAGGCACACCCTCGGTACAGCCTTGAGACAGGAGGTGAAGAACTAGGTCTAGGGTGGGTGGAGTTGGGGGTTCCCGGGCACAAGGGTGGGGTGGGGAGGGTTTTGGGATAAAAGTTGAGAGTAGGGGCGGTATTGAGAGGGGCAGTGAGAGGGCAAAGTGGGTGGTGGTGGTGGGAACCTGGGGTTTATAACTGGGGGAGAGCAAAGCCCAGTTGATGCCTGAACAGGTGACCGGATGGAGAGCACTGTGGCCCAGCCTGGGTCCAGAGTCACCACCGCCTCCTGATCCTCTCGGATTTCTCCTCTGTGATCTGCACTTTCCCCCGTGGGGCTGAGCATGCCGCGGGGAATGGCTGGGCAATAATGAAAAAAGAAAGGGGATGGGGCGCCTGCCACGGTAGCCACGGAGTCACATTCACAAAGTCACACACAGAAGCACTCTCGCGATCTCATACACATTCCTGTGCCGGGTCCCAGTCCAGGCCCACTGTCCCCAGACCCAGAGTCACGCCCAGCCTGGCGCACTCATTCAGAATCACAGGCACGGAGCCCACACTCCTACCCGCACACACCCACCCGCAATCGCACGCGTCCCACCCCCACCCTTGTCTTGAGCTCACACAGTGGCTCACCACCCCACACAGCCCTCACTCTGGCATGCGGACACACACACACACACACACACACACACACAGCCCCTCACACGCACACACTCTGGCTGTGCTTTTGTGTTTTGTCAGAATTAATGAGAAAAGTTCCCGTGCCCTGCGGGTAATTAGTGTCCTTGGAGTTAAATAAGCTAATGGCGGGCACCTCTGGCCCAAGCAATTATGTTTGTGTATTGAATAATTGATTCAAAGGGGGGGGAAGGGCCGCTAATCAGATCTGAGCATAATGAATTGATTTAATTAACAGGGGAATCTGAGGGGCCCTGGGAAATGCAGCCTTCACTCTGCTGAGGCGAGTACGGCCGGCGCGGAGGAAGGACGCGCGCGCGGCTCAGGCTCCGGCTGCGGCCCGGCCCGGGCAGCTGCTGCTCGCGAGGCTCCCGCGATCCCGGCCTGGCCGTCTCGCCCCCGCGCCTTCCCCCCAGTCCCTCCTCCTGCGCTCCCTGCCCGCGGGGCTGCGCTCCGGACTCCGGTCCGTCTGCCCCCGTCGGCGGTCGCGGCTCTCCGGACTCGGCGCCCGCGCGGGGCCGGCGGGAGCAGCGCAGGCGGCCGGCGGCGGGAGTCGGAGCCACGCGCCCCTCCGTATCCTCGGCGCTAGTCCGGCTGGAGCCGTCGGGACCATGGTGTTGGACCAGGAGGACGGTAGGTGCCCGGCGCCCGGTGCCGGTGCCCGGGGGCACGCGGGACGTGGGGCGGAGACTGCGGCGCTGGCCCTGCGGAGTCCACCCCGCTAGCGGCGGCAGAGCCCTCAGCACCCGCGGGCCTCCTCCGGCTGATGGGTGGCTTCCCGGAAGCGCGGCGGCTGATGTGTGCGCCGGTGCCGGGGTCGGCGGTGCCAGGCTCAGCGCCCGGGCTTCGGCGGCGGCGGGATTAGGAAGTCTCCCGGTCCCAACGAGGCCGCCAGCCCTGCGCGCTCCGGCTGGGAACTTTCTCACGGACTCTTGCCGCCTTGCGGGCATCCGGAGCGCCTCTGCGACCCGCACCGCGGGCTTCCCGGCAGTGCCCACTGCCAGCCAGTCTCCCAGCCTCTCTGGGTGTCTGCACGTTCCCCTTCCGCACCCTACTGCGGAACGGATCCCAGCGGGGTGGTGGGGGTGCCCACAGATCCTGCAGGTGCAGGGGTGAGGGTGCCGTCAAACCAGCACTGTCTCTGCGGTCTGGCACTCCGTAGCTGCGGGATGGCTGACAATTGTCTCCGCCCCTGGCAGGGCTAGGGAGGGAACTGCCATCAGTTCACCCAGCCTGGCATGTTGGGAGGTGCCACGCTGGCTGGGGTAGGTGGGTGGGCCATCTAGTCCAAAATATCAGGTTCAACTAGAGGCGGTTTTACCTTGAAGCTAATGAAGTTTAGGGTCCTTCAGGTTCCTTCAGCTGCCAGGTCCTTGGTGGTAATTTGGTATTAGTAGTCTTGTAGTCCTTTTCTTAAAGAGCCCCACGCCCAAACTACAGTAAGCTTTGGACCTCACAAAATTTCCATCCATCCCTGGGTCCAACTCCTACCCTTTCCACTGCCAGTCTCTTGGAAGAACTCACAGCTCTGGCTGACCCAGAGACCATCCGCCGAGGCTGGGACAATCCCTTAGTGCCTGAAGGACGAAGTGCTGGGGCAGGAGGCTGGAAGGTTTGGGGTTGAGAGGCAACTTCTGGGCTGCAGGGAAAGGGTCTGGCTGCCTGGCCTTCCTCTCTGGCCCAGCTAGTCCCTTGACCCATCCTACCACCACTCACTATAGTGATCAATTGTCCTTGTTTGCTCAGGACGATCTCAATTTTAGTACTGAACATCCTGTATCCTAGGAAACCCTTGAGTCACAAGGCAAACTTGGACAGTTGGTCAGTGCACACCCAAAACCTTCTCAGGGCTGTGGTGCAGGGGTAGGGGAGATTTCTTTGCTATGGTGCAGATTTGGCTTAGGCCTCCACAAGGCCTAACAATCTATAACTGCTGCTTGCAAGAAGGCCTGTCCAGGCTCTCCAGAAACCAAAAGAGGAAAAGTTTGCCGACTGTGCACTTCTTCACTCCAGCGGGTTGCAAATTCCTGTGCATTGGCTGCTTTTGTGTAAGCAGGGGGAAGGGAAGGGCATCTGAACATGGCCAGCAGGCATCCTGATTGCACTGCGAAGTCTGTAGGTTTACTCTGTCCTGTCAACTGTGGTGGCCACAGAGAAGGGGTCCTCGTCACCCCAATACCTCTCTGAGCATCACCTGTGTGGCTAGCTTGTAACTCCGTCTTGGAGGCAGCTGCATTGTGTTGGGAGCAGGCCCTCTGGCTGAGGCACATCTGACAGTCTCCACCAAAGACTTCTGTAATATCTAGTCGGCCTGGGCCCTCAGGCCCTGGGTCCCACTATCTCCCACCCCCACTCCTAATGCAGGAACTCTTCCTCGGGACTTTCCTGCCAGGTGGAGGGGCAAATTGCTGGGACCTGCCCAGATATTTGTAAGACAGCCAGTAGCACCCACTTTCTCCTTAAACTAACCTTGGGGATTGATAGTTGTCCTCTCCCTGCCATTCCCAGAGGCATTTCGAGGGCATTTTGGAGCACTCTTGGCTTGTCGAAGTGAGAGTACATGCTCATCACCTGTGGAATGTGTTGGGGGAAAACTACCTCCCCCAGCCCCAGGGGATCTGAGGATTCCACTCTGGTGCTGTGGGCGTGTCCCTGGACCTAGAAGCAGCTTGGGTGGGGTGAGCATGGGGGTGGGGCGAGTATGGGGGTGGGAGTTACTTGCTTGCCCAGTGAGTGGAGAGAGGCCATCAGATGGGGTGAGTGATGTTTCTATCTGCCTCTGTCAACCCAGCAAGCCCCTTCCTGGCTGGAAGCTCAAGCCACCCAAACCCTCCAAGACTTGCTGTGAAGGTTCCTCTCCAGATCAGTTTGGGAGCACCATGCTCACAGCTGGGGGTGCAGAAAGAGCCACCTGTGGGCACACACAGCACCAGTCCCCTGCTGGCATGCCCTACCTGCTTCTGCAGCCCATTGCTCAGCACCCCAGGCCTGCTCCAGTCCCTGGGTTTGGGGCACAGGGCCCTGACTCCCCAAAGGGATGCCAGTCATGTGGCTGCCAATTAGGTACCTTGGAGGCTGAGGTGAGCTGGTATTCAGACAAACTCGTGGACAAGAGAGTGGAAGAGTGGCCACAGCTAGCCCAGTCCTGGTTTGTGGGTCAGGGCCAGCCCCTGAAAGTGAGGAGAATCTGCCCCTGGAGGTCAGTAGTAAGGCTGCATGCAGCCCCGATGGAGTGAACGCCTCCAGTAGCACAGAGGTTTCTACGGCAAGAAGTTGCCCCTTGCCAGCCTGTCAGGCCCTGTGCTTGCTACACTGTCTAGCCCCCAGCTCTGGTGGGTGTGAGGGGCTGGCACCAAATATGCCGGTGGCAGCGGTGCCAAAGCCTCCCTCAGACCCTGAGGGCATGGGTCTGGCGGCAGTGGCAGGGGAGAGATCAAGCTCGCAGTCCTGAGGCTGGTGAGTCTGAGCAAAATGATATATTTAACATCAAATATACTCAAGGACTATTAGGATTAAGTATTCAAGATGAAGGGGAAAGTGAAACCCTCTGAGCTGCAGATGAGGCATCTCATTAGAAGCAGCGCTTTTCTGTTTTCTCAAAGCCTGACTTCCCTGCCTAGCAGAGAGGAATATGGCTGCAGCCCGCTGCTCCCCATCCCTGTCAAGCACTGGGGCCTCCCAGGGCTTAAAGGGTAAGACCTAGCCTCCAGGTCTCCTTCAAACCAGATAATCTCCCCCCATCCCCCTGCATTGTCTGGAGTGCCACAGTTTACAAAGCACATTAACATGCATTAGCTCATCTGACCCCCACAGCAACCATAGATACAGGAAGAGTAGGTCTCCCACCTCACAGCCAAGGAAACTGAGGCCCAGATAGAGAAAGAGACTTGCTAAGGTCCACTGTTGGTAATTGGCAGAGATGAGATAGAATCCCAACTGGTGGCCCTTCAGCCCGTTTCTCTTTCCCTGGGTCTAGTCCTCAGAAGTGATTGCCAGGACCAAGCCTCCAACACATCTGTCTGGAGCCCTCCTTGGGCTGAAGAAAAATCATTATTTCTATCCCACCTTGGAACTCTGTACTGTCTAGGCAAAGAAAAAAGACTTGGGATTTAAAAGTAGGTGGCCTTCCGGCCAGGCGCAGCAGCTCACGCCTGTAATCCCATCACTGTGGGAGGCTGAGGTGGGTGGATCACGAGGTCAGGAGTTCGAGACCAGCCTGGCCAATATGGTAAAACCCCGTCTCTACTAAAAAATACAAAAATTAGCTGGGCGTGGTGGTGTGTGCCTGTAATCCCAGCTACTCGGAAGGCTGAGGCAGAAGATTCGCTGGAACCTGGGAGCCGGAGCTTGCAGTGAGCCGAGATCACACCACTGCACTCCAGCCTGGGCAACAGAGCAAGACTCCATCTTAAAAAAGAAAAAACAGAAAGAAAGAAAAAGGAATGAAAAGAAAAAAAGTAGGTGGGTAGGTGGCCTTCCTAGGGTAGGCAGCCAGAACATCAGCCCCAGGATTCTGGGGAGAAGCAGGGTCCAGGAGAAGAGATGGGCACTGTCTCTTTTCCTGCCTTATGAGTTACAGAGCAAGAATCGTCAACTCCATAATAGCAGCAGGAATCTTTGTTTTGTTCAGTGCTGTATCCCTAGTGCCTTAGAACTGTGCTTGGCACATAATACATGCTCAGTAAATATTTGTAGAATGAGAAAAGCTTTCAAGGCCATGCCTGTGCTTGCTTCGAGAGAAGTTGAGATAAGCTCTCCCGCTCCATGGAGTCAGGATGCTTTTGGGGGTGCTGCTGGGGTCAGGAGTAGTGCTGTAAGACTCGGTAGGATCGTTTGTGCCCTGAAGAGGGTTAACTTTGCCAAACAATCCGGGAAGCAACACGAAACCCCGGGCAGAACTGGTAGGAAGGAAAAGGATGTGATCAGAGAAATATTGCTCTGAAGAAGAGACAAAAATCAAGGCTGAGGGTCTGGGAGTGACAGATGGGATGCGTCCTCCAGACAATCATTGAAGACCACGACCCTGGGATCGGAGCAAAGACGCTCACCGAGCTAGGACCTAGAAGCCTCCAGGTGGCGCTGCGGAGCCGGACAGCCGTGCGTCTCCACTCCCCATTAACCCGGGAGGGTGGAGGCCTCAGGAAATGTGTGCATTTATGCAGTAGCAGGAGTGCAAACCTCATACATTGAGGGAGAAAGGCAGCGGGAGACGGCCACGAGATTCCCCCATCTCTTTGAATATAATTTTAGATTGAGATTCAGATTAAATCCGAGGGGAAAACACTTTATGAGGCTGAAAGCTGTGTCGTTGCCAGAGACAGGGTTATGAGCTATCAAATGCAATTACATTAAGACAGATTATACTGGGCAAATTGAGCCATTTAGAAGGTGAGAATCAAAGAAACGGCTCTGATCCTCTTTTCCCCCTTCTCTCTCCCTCTCCCTCTCTCTCTAAATTGCAGTTCGTAGTTCCTTCCAATTCTGAGGCACAAAAGTAGGTGAGACTGCTTTTGTATCTGCGAAGTGCTTCACTCCTGAATGTAATTCTAGCTGAGTGCAATCTAGGTTAAGAGCCGGACAAGCGGGTAATTAGAGCCCGCTAGCTGCCCGAAGACCGGCCGCCCCTCCAAAGCGCGCCCCGAGTCGGCGCCCTTCTCCCGGCCGAGCCTAGCTGCGGCTGGACACGGAGCGCCCGAGATGATGGTGCTGGACAAGGAGGACGGTAGGTGGCGGGCCGGGGTCTCGACGCCCCTCACCCCCTCGCCCCCTGCCGCGGCGCGCAGGCACACACACGCGGGGACACGGGCGCACACCTGCTGGGCTGTGCGGGGATTGCGGGGCGGGCGGCGCGCTGGGGGCCGGGGCTGGGGCGGGGGGAAGTACCGGGGGACAGCCGGGCGGAACTTGCGGGGGGAGGAGGTCGAGCCCCGGGCTGCACGCGCCCGGGGCCGCACGCCCCCCGGGTCCCGGCCGCGAGCCGAGGAGCTGTGCACTGGCCGTGTGCTGCGCCGCGGGGCCGCGCGGAGGCTGGGGCTCCCTTGCGATCTCCGCGCCGCGGAGGTTCGCTCTGAGCATTTCGTGTCTGAGGCTGCTGCTCTCACCGCAGCCATCACCCTCGCGCCAGCCGCCGCGTAACCCGAGAGGCGCTGAGCGCCGAGCAAATCAGCGGCTTCGGGGAGAATCGGGCTCCAGAGCTCGGGGCAAGCGGGAGCGCGGGAGGACGGCGCGAGCGCCAGGGTGCCCGGCAGGCGAGGGGAAGGCGGGTTGGACCCTCCGGGGGACATCTGCATGAGCGTGACTCGGTGAGAAAGAGAGCCGCCTCTTGTGCCGGCCCGCTAGCTCCCTGTCTCTCTGAGCGCGGAGGCGGGAGTTTGGCCCAGAGGAAGAAAGTGTCCCGCCGCCGGCCGGTAGCACTTGTGCGGGAGCGGCCTGCGAGAGTGGCACGGACCTTCCGTGGTCGAGCCTCAGTGCGCCCTAGAAAACTGCAGGGCACGGGAAAGGTCGGAACAGAGGAGCCCATGGCTGCTGGAAGCCACTAGCAGGTGGTCCCATAGACCCCAAAGCCTTACTGGCAGGGAGTGCCCTGCAGTTAAGTGTCCTAGAAGGCTGGGGATCCCAGCCCCCTTGGGGGGAAAGCCAAGTGGGTGCCCTAAGATGAGTCCCCAGGGTAAGGAGAGAGGCAGTACCTTGGCTGTCCCAGGACCTCCTGCCCTGTAGGTGAGGCCTGTGTGTTGGTGTTGCAGGGGCATTTGTATGTGACTGTTGGTGCCCACGCTGCCGCCGGCGTTCTGCCATTGGTGAGGTACCGAAAGGGTAGGTTTGCTTTGAGTCAGCGGGAATCCTCTTAAAGTGACTGTAGTGGCCATCCTCTGCCCTTCCGTTCAGGAGTCTCTGCTGGGCCTGAGCCCTCTGTCCCTGGGGCAGCGTTGTTATTGATGTGGCCAGTTGGTGAAAATGCAAAGCTAAGTGACTTGCTCAGGGTCACACAGGATGTTCGCATTGCCGCTGCCAGGTGCCGATGCCCCCAGGCTGCTACCGCCTTCTGAGACATCCAGCAGGGAGGGGGAATTTGAAGTATCTGGCCTGGGGGTGGCATCTAGGAGGACCTGTGGCTCTCAGTATGTGTGTAGGAAGAGAGAGGATGGGGGGAACCTCAGTGCTTCTGGGCTAGCTGGGGTGGGACATCATCTTCAATATGTCTTCTCTATTCACGGACCCCTTCCCTGGAGCCCCATGTAGGCCATCGGAGAACTTCATATAGAATGAAAAGGAGAAGAAGGGGTCTGGGGTTGGGCCAGACAGGGAGGGAAGAGACCTTGATTTGGTGCCTTTCATCACGAACTCCCCATGTTCACCTTCCCTCTTGGTAAAAATGAAGGGCTTGGAGAAGCCAGGGGAGAGGGTACTTCCTTGGTACCTGGAGATACTGTCACTATGGGGAGCATGCAAGGTTCATCTTTAGCAGAGGTTATTTGGCATACTTGGCTCCCCAGGCCCAAGCCAGGAATCCAGAAGACTCGGGCTCTGTACGTGAGAGGCCTCAGGCCAGGGAGATTGGTCTCATGCCAACAAGATGACACCCCCTACCTGCACCCAGGATCTTGCTCTGCCCAGGCACCACATGATGCCTCTGGCTCTGAGATAATACAAAGGGTTTCAGATGAGCCTTGAGTGAGAATGGATTTCTGGAGGTCATTTTAGCCAGCTCCCTGCCTCCAAATTGCAGTGTACCTCAAGCACCCTGGGCAGATGTTTCTTCTGGTTTCTGCTAGATCTGTGGAAGAGAGCTCCAGATGCCCCTCCATCCCCAGCCTGTCCAGCCTAAACAATATGGTGCCCACTACCATGGAGCTGCTGGGCTCTGGGGTCCATTACAGCACAAGCACATCCACTGGTGTCCTAAGCAGCCACCTATTCTTGTCCTACCCAGCCCATAGCTGTCTTTCAAAAGCGACGTTTCTGCTCATGCATCTGCACTCCACTCCCTATTAAGAGGAGTCTGGCCTCCCATAGTTCCAGGAAACCTTGAAGATGGCATCTTCAATTGGGGGAGGGAGAAAGGTTCTGGATGCACTCATCTGCTCCTCCAAACCAACCACCTATCTTCTTCTTGAACGCTTCTGCCCTCTCAGCAGGTGGCTATCTGAACTGGGTGGCAGCATTCCCCCACCCCCCGGCTCCCCCAAAGGGTGCGTTCCCTGCATACGGCACCTTTTGTCTGGCTGCAGCAGGGACTCAGGGCTGCTATTAACCACCCCCAACGCCTTTTCTCCACCTGACAGCATCTTGTCTGGAGAGGCTGGGGCTCCTCTGGTTGAAGTCGGGTCTGCCAGCTGCCGAGGACCAAAGCTCCCGCTCTGCTGGGCTGCAGGGCTTTCATGTTGCACTTCTGAAAGATAATAAAATATCAATCGTTTTGCCGTAGCAACGGGTTTAAGAGACTTTCTGAAGTATTGAATCGTCAGAAAAAAAAAATTTTTTTTTGCTTTTAAGCACAGTGCATTATTAATAAAGTAATCCATTAGGTCGAGCAGTGAAGGGTCACCACAGAGACGGAAAGATCTGTTTTGCAAACGGTTAAACTTCGGGTTTTAAGATTAATTGCTTTCATTTGGATGCTTGCTCTTGGCCTAGCCATCTCCACTTTACTGGAACTCAGGGTCCGGGCTTTCTACATGCTGCTGGGTCTGCCTGTCAGCGAAATGGAACTGAGCTCCAACTTTCCCGGAGAAACAGCCCTTCTTCCCCTGGCACCTGCGGCTTGGGCTGGCACCAGGTGGTGAGCTTTTTGGGAGGGTTAAAATCCCAAGGGAGCAAGGAGAGCTACAGCTCTGAATGCTACCCAAGTCAAATGAGCCCCTGGGCTGTTCGAGAAGAGGCCTTTGAGTAGGAGCAGACAGCAGAGAGTCTGAGAGGGCCCAAGAACAGTGAGAGCTTTGGTCTGTGGGGGACTGGGCAGGAGAGGAGGCTGGGGCATCCAGCTGGGGATGCTGGGATGCTCTCAGGTGCACACAGGAGAAGGGCAGGGCTGGGTATAAACGGCCTTTGCAAAGGCCCAGCAGGAAGGTGGGGGTGACCACAGGAAGCAGCAGGCGGGTTGTGGAACTAAACACCAGACATGATTCCTAGGGCATTTTTAATAAGTAAAAATGCCCAAGAGAGTGAAGCTGGACTGAGGAGGACCAGACAGCGGAGTCTTCAATTGTTAATGACTGCTAGGAGCACAAATTCCACAGCCGACTCAGTTAATCCACCAGAGCCGGCGCATGGCTATGCTTGGGTACCAACCAGCCCTTGCTGGGCCACCAGTAGGATTTCCTAGGATAGACACTCATGTTCTAGACCACAGAGAATCCCAGGGGCCTCTCCTGGCAGAGTGTGCTCATGACCGTCCCAACCCTGGAGAGGGAGGCAGGCCCTGATGCTGTTCCATGCCAGAGACCCCAGCCCATCAGCAGGAAGGCGGAGCCAAGTGGACACTGCTGCCTGCTGAGGCCTGGTAAAGGCCTTGTGAGTCTGGCAGGGTGGGGACCAAATTGTGCACTTGCCCAGTGCCTAGAAGCAGGGGAGCGGGAGGGTTACCATCTGCATCTACCATGACCAGCCCCAGCGGCAGCCCTCCTTTCTGCTGGGAATGAGGCATCACATCCTGAGCTGCACATACAGCCGCTTCCCCTTCCTGCCCAAACTTAGCCAGGCAGAGTGTCTGTAAAGATGGGTAACCCGCCCCCCAACCCCACACACACACCCGAGCCTTGGGTGAAGAAGCAGGTGCTTCTCTCTGTTCCCTGCTCTTCCATTCATTTGCTCACACAGAGCAGCACTAAGGGGGGACAGGGAAACAACATAAATTGGTCTGTCGTCCGGAATCCATGTCTCGCTAATGTACCCAGATTAACTCAACTGTAAATTGTCTCCTTGGATGGCGGTGTCTTGCTAAAAGTTTCCCATATGATTCATGATTTGGATTGCTTTTAACGGCTATTGGCTAAGCAAGCCAGTGACTGTACAAGGTGATGCAATTGGCATTAGCGAGGGGAGGCACGGGAGCGTGTAATGCAGTCAATACTGCATTAACTACTGATGCCCAATTACAGGGAGCAGGAGAGAGCCT
Source organism: Homo sapiens (assembly GCF_000001405.40). NCBI lineage: Eukaryota > Metazoa > Chordata > Mammalia > Primates > Hominidae > Homo > Homo sapiens. Next base: position 8,258,945 of record NC_000011.10, on the reverse strand, counting down.
TTCAGGAGCATTAGGACTGGGGGAAGCTGAGATCACTGGCCGCTGCTCGCCTAAAAGCTTCACCCTTTGGATGCCGGGGCTCAGTGCTGGCATGACCACTCACTTGGCCTCTGTGGCTGTGGGAACTGCCTTTTTCTCTTGCTGTCTGTTTCTGAACATGTCCTCAAAGATGCCTTTAGCACATGAAAATGTATGTTTCCCTAGAGCTGGGACCCGCTTCTCATCCCTCCCGAGTAATTGATTCCTTACCCCCACCCTGTGTCACCCTGTGTCTCAGAGTCAGACCAGGCAGCTGCCCCATAAGCTTCCATTTAAGGAACTTCACAGCAGGCTCTATTTGTGGGCAGGACCAAGAGGAGGTCTATTTTGGTCTCTCAACCTTGGAACAGATGGATGATTGCCAGTGAGCACTGGCAGTTGACTCCCTGTGGTCATGGGCAAAGGAAACACGAGGTTCAGCCATGGCCCAGGGCGAAGCTGCCAGAGTTGGGAAGTGGCCATGGCTAGACGGGCTGGGCTGTCTGAGCAGAAGACAGAGCCGTGATGGTGCAGCTAGGGAAGGCTGGGGGTGAGTGCCTTGAGCCACGTTGGGGTCTAGAGCAGATGCAGGCCCAGGGAGTTAGGAGCTCCCTCCAGAGCTGTGCCCCCATATAGCAGGGAGGCCAAGGCTGTTGTTGGATCCATCTCCAGGGTCCAGAGGGCCTCCCAGAAAGCCCTGATCAGGGACATTGAGAAGATTGGAAGATGTTAGGGCAGAAGGTAGAGGTGTCCCAGTGTGCCAGGCACTGTTTGACTTGTTGCCACCTCTATCATTGCACTAAGCTATGTAGGTCCAATATGTCCACTGTGATTTTGTGTTCCATGTCCACCCAGTGTAGAGGTTGCTTTGCTTCCAAACCTTTGCCTCTCTACCTTCTCGTCTCTACAGTGAGAACAGCCATATCTAATTGGCAGGATTGTATTCAGGATTAAGTGAGGTACTGTCCATGTACACATTTGATAAGCCAGAAAGCCTCATGGCTGTGTGGAGCAACATTGCTCCATGCTCAGTTACAGTATGATCTGAAATAACTCTGTGTCCAGTCCAGTGCTTTGTTTGCTGGCAAGCACTGGGCCTGCACCCTCACTCTGCCAGTTTATTTATCATGGTCCTTAATCATTGCTGCCTGGGAGGCAGGCTGACCTCACTACTCGCCCACGTCCAGATCACCAAGACAGGTGGCACCTTGGGAAGAGGTCTCTAGGACCACTCTTTGCAAGTTCCTCCATTTATAGGGGGAAGGTTGAGGTTTAAACAGGGCAAAAGGGCTGCCTAGGGTTCCATGGGGAATTGGAGCCTAGAGCATCAGCATCTTTTTGCCATGCCTTCTGCCCTAGCCCTGAGGCGTGATGAGGCTAGGTGGTAGAAAACTCTGATTACAGCAAACATCAGCTGGACTGGGACCACGGACCACGTGCTTGGGTGTCCCAGTTATGCCCCTTGCCAGCCTACTGACAGCCCAGAAGATGCAGTTCTATCCTCAGATGTAAGGTGAAAGGTGCTGAGGGACACTCACCTGTCCTGGGCCTTTGGAAGTGGAGAAGCCCCAGAGGTTCCTATGGCATGTGTCCCATCTTGCTTGCCTGTCCTGTCTGGAGTTGGAGGACACTGAGACATGCAAGGTGTCCTCCCATTTCCAGGCTTAGCTCTTTGTGGTGCTGCTAGAGTGAGTTTTCCCAGCAGGCCCATATTTGGGATTGGACTACACCAGTGGAGTCAACTTGTCCTGGCTTGCAAGAGATTCTGTACATCTGTTCCCAACTCTGAGTTCAGAGACACTGCATTGGTAGCTTGAAGTCAGCCACAATGGGAGTATTTGTACCATGGATGTTGGCAAACACTACAAATCAGGGCATTTTCCCAAAGACTTGGTCGTTAAGCATGCATCAGCACACCACTGGATTGCATTCATCTGGGACTCTGGACCTACCCTTTTCTCCTCTGCTACCACCATTCTCATCTCACCTGCTATCTTTCTTGTGGTGCTCATTACAACCAGTCTGACCCAACCTCTGCTACCCTGGCATCCTGCCTGAGGCCTACTGCTGCTTTGACCATCACACTAAACTATGCAGGTTTAGTATGTCTGCTCTGGTTTTGGGTTCCATGAAGACTCAGCATTTGCCTCTATTCCCTTGTTCCTATGTCCTCCTTGCCTGGCATGCCCTTTCTCCTTTAGTTGGCTGAGGCTTCTCCCAGGCCATTCCAGGCCATGCTCAGAGACACATCCACCAAACCTAGCAACAAGCTTGTTCGCTACTGGTGGGAGTGTGTTCGTTTTGTGTTCTGTCCAAGGCAGGAGTTCACAGTAGCTGATACAACTGGGGGCAAATTAAAAGCAGGTGGTGTGAGAGGAGTGAGCAGATTGGTCCAGGTCGCAGAGGCAGCTGCCCAGTGTGAAGGCCCATGGGCTCAGGTCACTAGCTCCTCCCTCCTGTCCCTTCCCCTGGAGGTCAACTGGGCTTTCTTGAGTGGCCTCCTGTCTACAGGTGTAGTCCGCTAGCATGATTCAGAAAACCTGGGTTTTGTCCCAGCTGACTGCTGTGTGACTTCAGCGCACTGGGCCTCAGTTTTCTCATCCCTACAAAGGGTGAAACACCTAACTGGCACTTTATGTCCAAGCACACACTTGATAAACCAGAAAGTTTCATGCTTGTATGAATTGACATTGCTCTCTGTACAGTTACAGTATCATCTTTTGGCTTTGGCCTCTCAGTCTTTAGGAGTCATAAAACACTATAGCTATCATTATACTGAACCCGTACTTAAAAGTGCAGCATTGGCCGGGCGCGGTGGCTCACGCCTATAATCCCAGCACTTTGGGAGGCCGAGGCGGGAGGATCACGAGGTCAGGAGATTGAGACCATCCTGGCTAACACGGTGAAACCCCGTCTCTACCAAAAATACAAAAAATTAGCCGGGCGTGGTGGCGGGCGCCTGTAGTCCCAGCTACTCAGGAGGCTGAGGCAGGAGAATGGCGTGAACCCAGGAGGTGGAGCTTGCAGTGAGCCGAGATCCCGCCACTGCACTCCAGCCTGGGCGACAGAGCGAGACTCCGTCTCAAAAAAAAAAAAAAAAAAAAAAAAAGTGCGGCATTGTGCTATCTGTATGTATCAATTAGTTATTGCTGTGTAATCAGTTACCCTAAAATGTAGAGCCTTAACACAATAAGCATTTATTTAACTCAAAAATCTGTGGGTCAGTGATTTAAGCAGGGCTTGGCTGAGCAGTTTTTCTGGTCTCAGCTGGGCTCACTCACATCTGGAGGATGGAGGATGGCTGATCAGTTGGATGCTGGGCGTGACAAGACTGCATGGCCCTCATTAGCCAGAAGGCTTGTCCGACTTGTTCTTATGGCAGAGACCGGTCCGGAAGGTGTGGAAGCACAAAAGCCTTCTCTTTTTTGAGACATCTCACTCTGTTGCCCAGGCTGGAGTGCAGTGGCACAATCACAGCTTCCTGCAGCCTTGACCTCTTGGGCTCAAGTGATCCTCCCTCTTCAGTCTCCCAAGCTGAGACTATAGGTCCATATCACCATGCCTAGCTAATTTTCGTATTTTTTGTAGAGATGAGATTTCATTACGTTGCCCAGACTGGTCTTGAACTCCTGGGGTCAAGCGATCCACCTGCCTCAGCCTCCCAAAGTGCTGGGATTACAAGCTTGTGCCACTGCGCACCACCACACCCAGCCTACACAAGGCTTCTTGAGGCCAAGGTTTGGCACTGGGATCTTGTCGCTTCTGCTGCATTCTATCGGCCAAAATAAATCACAAGGCCAGCCCAAGTTCAAAGGGTGGAGAAGCAGATTCTGCTCTTGAAGGTAGGAGGTGAAAAGTCATATAACAAATGGTGTGGCTGTGGGGAAGGGTAGAGAATTGGGGCCATTTTTGTAATCAGTCCACCAAGCATCTTCCATGTATAATCTCATTTAATACCCATAAGAACCTTAGGAAGAAGCTACTATTACCCTCATTTTACAGATGAGAAAATTATTGTACAAAGAGATTGAGTAATTGGTTCCAGCTCCCACAGCTCAAGAATGCCAGGGCTGGGCTGTGAACCCAAGCAGGCTGACTGCAGAGTCAGTGCGCTCACTCTCTCTGCTCTGTCTGCTCCCTTTTCCAGCTGTCAGACGTGGGGATGGAGAGAAAGACACTCAGAGTTCAAGGAAGGGTGACGAACCTGTGAGAAGATGACTTGGGGAGGGAGGAAGGTTGCTGTGGGCAGTTTGAGTGGGGCTGCCATGGGAGCCCAGCTCCATTCCTCCCAGGGCCAGCCTCGGTGGGGAGGGACCATAATCAGGTCAGTCCCCGTTGCCTCTTTCAGGTTTTCCTCTCTGTCCTGCAAAGCCACTAGACGGCTTGAAAGGATGTGATGTTCTGTGTTCCCTGAGCTGACTTAGACCTGAGCATATATGCAGATGCAGCCAGGTGAGAATCAATTCATTGGTTGGCCCCTAGCCTCAAAATGGGGTGGTAAGTGGGCTGGTGAGAGGCCTGTGTACATTCATAAACCAGCTGATTGAAAAGCAATATTTCAGATAAATACAAGCCAGCGATCTATCAGTGGTTGTAATAAAACCCAGGCTTCAGGCTGTGATTTTATTTTGAAATAATAAGAATTGCTTGATTCTTTTTACTTGAGTTACCATGGTAATTCCGGCGTGGAGCAGTGTTATATTGATTTAGAAAGTGGACAGTAATATTTCTTTTGTGTTATTCTGTTTCTAGGCCTTGATTTCTAATTTCCACTTGGAGATTACTTTTATAAATTTCTTAAGTCCTTCCACTTTTTTTTCCTCTCACAGTATAATTTTCCTCTCATACGCCGCTATGTTCTGAGCTTATTGGTTTGCTCTTATTTTAAATTAAACTTGCTGGTTTCAAATATTGAAATGACATCTTTGTCTGTGTCTGTACTTTGGTTTAGCAAAATATTACAGTCTGACGCATTCTGCTTAATAATTTAGGGGAGGCATTCTGTCGGCCCTCACTGGGTGCTGATAACTTATGACTCAACCAACGCAGGCCTTAAACTCCTGACATTTTAATATTGTGTGGCGGGAGTGGCTGCCCCTCTTCTCTGAGTCTCGGCGGGGAAAAATTCGTGGGGTACCCCAGAAAGGAGTTTTAATAATTCAACTTTGCTGGTTGGCACGGTGACTTGATAGAGAGCAGGAGGGAGACCCACTCTTGCCAGACAAGTGGGAGCAGTGCTGGCCTGGGCTCCTACAGTCCTGCTCCATCCTGCGTGTCCTCTCCCCTCGATCTTTAAAAACCCCAATCCTGACGACAGTATCCAGGAAGGACTGTGTGGGGCTACCTGCGGGTGCCATCAGAATGTTCAAACTCTCTGATTCTCAGTTTTCCTATTTGTAAAACAAATAGGAAGTGGGCTTTGAGTCACACGGGTTCAAATCCTGCCTCTGCTGCTAAGTCATTCTGATGAGTAAATTCTAATAATAATTCCAAGTAGTAAAATGGGTATGATCACGTTTACCTTTTAGGTCTGTTGAAACTTGAACAGGCAAAGCTTCTGAGAGTCTTGTAGATGACTGGTGCCATTTCTCTGTCCTCCCTGGGGTACTGGTGAGAGCAGGGGAGACAGGGGAAGTGGATGTGCTTTGGAAAGCTTGCCCTGCTCCAGACAGGCCTGGAGTTCCCAGCTTTGGGAGGATTGCTCTTTGGAAAGGATCCACGGCTGTGGCTCCTTGAGGACGTGAGGCAGCTTCTCCCACTTTCCTCGTCTGCCCAGCTGAGGGCAGGGGGCCTGGGTAGGGCAGTTGGAGACAGGGCTCTGTCCTCTGGGCTCCTCTCCTCGAAACACTCCACATCAAGGCCTGTGCTCTAGGAGGAAGTTCACAACAACACGGGTTGTCAGGCAGAGAGCTGTCTGCAGGGCCCCCTCTCAATGGCCTGAGGAGAGGACCCTTCTCTGCAGAGTATATATGCCACTGTGGCAGTGTATTAATTATCTACAGCTGCGTAACACATTCCAACACACATTCCAAAATTAGCAGCTAGAAACAATACCTACTTATTCTCTCGTTGCTGTGGACCAGTAATCTTTACTTGGTTCTCTGCTCCGGGATTTCTCTCAGACTGTGATCAAGGTGTGTCACCTGGGGCTGTGGGTTCATCTCAAGATTCATGTGGGGTTGTTTCAAGCTCAGTCATTTGGTGGCTGGCAGAATGCGGTTCCTCACGGGCTGCTGGACTGAGGGCCTCCACGCCTTGCTGGCCATGGTGGCCATGCCGTATGGGCCTCTCCAACGTGGCTGCCTGCTTCCTGAAAGCCATTGAAAGACAGTGTCTGCTTACAAGAAGGAAGTCTGTCTATGAATCACAGATGTGACATTCCATCACCTTTGCTGTGTTTCCTTCCTTGGGAGCAAGCCACTAGGTCCAGCCCACACTCAAGGAAGTGGGGCAGATGATACAAGGGTGTGAGTGCCAGGAGGCAGGATCACTGGGGACCATCTTAGAAGGTGGCCTGCCATGAGAGGCCAGCCTCTGGAATAGCAGCTGCCTCCAGAGAGAATGCCTCACCAGCTCCATTCCCAGGAGGACTCCTGGGTCACCTCATGCCAGGGAAGGGCACAGATGTCTCGGAGTCTTTCATTTCATCTTCACAACACCCTTGGGAGGCTAAGAGGACAAATACTAGCCCCATTTTGCAGAGGACTAGGTTGTGTCCAGAGAGGAAAAGACACTTGGCTGGGATACCCCAGCAAGTTGGCATGTTGAAGAGTTTAGGCGAGAAACAGGCCCCGCCTGCCATGAGCCTGGGGAGGTGGCGGTAAAGACACTCACAGGCCCTCCTTGGCTGTAGCTGTGGGAGGGATGGTGCTGAATATGTGTGGACACACACACATGCTCACACACACACTCACACACATTCACACACACACACGCACACCCCCACACACGCACACCCCCACACACAAACACACACTCCCACATACATTCACACACATTACACACCCACCACACACCCACCACACACTCCCATACACACCTATACACACACACACTCACACACATTCACACACACACGCACACCCACCACACAGGCAGACACATGCACTCTCACACACACTCACACACGCACTCCACACCCCTCCACCCCTCCACACACACCACACACACATACCACACCCCTATACCCCCCCCATACACACCACACGCACACCTACCTGCACAGGCAGACACATGCACTCTCTCTCTCTCACACACAAACACACACCCCTGGACCAGCGCCGGGGGCTGCTGGATTTTTTTCTCACAGATGGTCAGTTTTCCAAGGCTGGGAGGGCCCTACAAAGCCACCCCAGTGGGGTCTCTCACCCCAGGGCCTCTCTTCTCAGTCCGCAGGGATGATACCCGCAGAGGAGGTGAGGGTGGTTCCTTCCTGAGCCAGCCTCCCCGCTGCTGTTGGATTGAGGGCCCCGCTTCTTTCCTGGCTGTTACGGGGCGGTGGAGGCGGCATTTTTGAGGCAGGCTGGGTAAAGGTAGTGTCGGCAGTTCCTCACGTGGGAGCAGGGTGGAGGAGGCTCTCCTGTGGGCTGGAGCACTCCCATAAACAGGCTGGTGAGCACGGGGCTGGGAGCCAGAACTGCTGCATCCACATCCCAGCTCTGCCACCACCTCACAGTGTGTCCTTAGGCTGGTCCCTTCCCCTTTCTGGGTCTTGGTTTCCCCATTTGCATTCCCAGGGTGGCTGCTGGCTTCATACCTTGTGGTGCCATATATGGAGACATGACTGTTGGGGAATGGGTGTGGCAGGGCCAGGCCAGCAGAAAGGAACTCCCAGTGAGGTCTCTTTCTCTTTCACTGGACTTCTGGGGTTGGGACACACAGTTTCCCAGGTGAGAGCATCTGTTGCCCTTAGCCCTCCACACTTGGTCTTGTCACACTCGAATCCAGGTGGAAGGCCCTGTCCCCTGCTGTTTCCAGGTAGAGTCTCAATTAGGAGGTAGAGGGGACCCCTGGAGCAGGTTCAAAGCCTGGAGGCCAGTGAGTGGAAGTCATAGCCTAGGGCTGAGAGTACCCCAATTACATCCTTTTATGGCTGGGGAAACTAAGGCACTGAGAAGCGTCTGCTTCCTTTCTCAGCTGAGTGTTTCTGAAATACTTTCTGAGTAGAAATGTCTGTGCCCAGCAGAGGCTGCATCCGACTGGCATGGGGCCTCGGGCTGCACCCCAGCTCTTTGCCTGTCAGTCAGAGGCTGTCTCTTCCAGGCAGCTGCTCTCCCCCGAGCCAGAAGCTGTTTCCCATCTGTGAGGCATCTTCTTGGCAGGGGCCAGGGCTCCAGGGAGCAGTGGGCAGTGGGCAGGGCTCCCTCAGGCACCTGGTTCCAAGCTGGTACTCCACCCAAATGCAGAGTTCAATGCTTTGACCTGCCTTTGTGCCCTGAGGATGTTTTCATGCTATTCTTTGATCCTCGGAGTGTTTATCAGATCACTGCTAAAATATGCCTTCTACATGAGCATAAGATCTCATTAGTATTATTGAGATATTATTCTCAAAAAAAAGATCCAGGAAGAAATTAAAATTGGTTGAAATAATTAACACAAAGTAAAACTGGCGACAACTAAGACTGCACCTGGTAAAGTATGTTATTGACTAAAAATTGACAGAAGAATCAAATCTTCCTGACAAAGTTTAGATCTGCAGAAGTTGGCTCAGGAAACATTTTCTGGTAGAAATAATTGCCAGAAAAGAAATCCTGACAGTGGCAAAAACTCTAATTTGTGAGATCTACAGTGAGCCAAAAGCTGATCGTAAGCCAATAGTCACCTTCAACAATTTAAAAATAATTGATCCCGATGAAAATAATCTCCACAAAAATAAAAAAAAAATGGGGAAAGGTGAAGAAATGGTTTAACATGAATGAATAGAAAAGTGATCAAGGAATTAAATTGACTTAATGAAGCTCATTAAGAGTTACTTTCTTGATGAAAAATCCTCAGTTTTGGTATAATTTTTATCAAAATGTAGATGTTAAGGGCTAGCCCCTGCTGGTAGATGCTTAGTAAATATTTGTTGAGCGGATAATGAATGAATGAGTTTACAGGTGAAGGAGGTCAGGAGAGGATTGGAGAGAATCATAAGGATTCCTTTGTCTCAGAGAGAGGACAAGGAACCCCAAGTTCAAGACTGCAGAGGCCATTGTGACTGGAGCTTGGGGCATCATCAGTGAGGCTGCAGGGTGGTCAGGGTTGGCAGCGCTACATTGTGCAGAGCCTTGCAGGCCGTGGGTAGGAGTTCCAGTTTCTCCACATCCTTGGGGCACATGTGCAGGTTTGTTACATGTTACATGGGCATACTGCATGATGCTGAGGTTCGGGGTATGACAGATCCTATCACGCATCAGTGTCTGTTGTTCCCATCTTTATGTCCATGTGTACAACGAGACACCTTTGAATGGCTTTAGGTAGAAGCAAGACTCATGCTCAAATTTACATTTTATTAAGACCATTTGGTTTACTCTGTGGAGAGCAAATGGGAGGGGATAAAACTAGAGGCAGAGAAAGCAGCATATGATGGGGAGGGAGGGGTTCTTTTTCAGCTTTATAGATGGACCTCTCCTCATCCCTCTGGCTTCAGACGGCCCCACACTCCTGTCTGCCTCCCTTCAGTTTCGTCCAGAGCTCGCAGTCTGGGTCTGTGCAGGGTGAGGCAGGTGAGGGTCTGGGTTGGTCAGAGGAGGCAGTTGAGGTCTAGGAGAGAAACTGTGCTGAAGCTGTGGCCTTGGGAATGGGAGCTCATCTGAGGTCTACTGGTGGTCAAGATCCTGGCTGGAGCTGCTCAGCTCCCCGTAGCAGGGCTTGAACTTGTGGCCAGAGCTGGAGTTGAGCTCCAGGGAAGGTAGACCAGAGCCCCTGGCTGCAAGCCTGTCCTTGCCCAGCTTTGTCCCTGAGGCCCTTGCTTGCCCAGCCCAGCTTTGGCCTGAAGGCTTCCCTGACCCTTCACTTCCCCCTCTGCTGCTGTCAAGACTGGACCACAATCCTGGCTTTCTAGGCTCTGAGGGAGGGAGCCAAAGACTGTGGGCCTGAGGCAGGTAGGAGGACAGTAGGACTGGGAGGCAGCAAGTCTAGACCTATCCAGCCACCCATGGATCAGTCCCTGACTCCTCTGACCTCCTCTGATCTGTCTGTAAAGTGTTTCTTGGCCCTCCCACTCTGGGCCAGTGTTCTTTCTCCCGAATGGCTTTCATGAAAGCTGCTGATTCTGGGAAAGAGGCGTGGCTCACGGTCTCCCTACCCTTACCTATTTCTACTCCAGTCCACCCCCAGTTATATTCAACTAAGATCAGTCCAGAGAAGAGCAGAACTTGTCTGAGGCTGCAGAGCACCTCTGTGGAGTCTGGGAACTATGCCTAAGGTCTTGCCTCTGCAATGAGCTGTCCCTCAGGGGAGAGGTCTGTATAGTGGTCTGTCTGTAGACTCAGGTGTCTATGTGGTGCATGGGCACCACTCCTGCCTGGCTGCCCAGGGCCTGGAGACCCACCAGCCCACTCCATGCTGTCTCAAGGGCACACACTCTTCTCCCTGTGGTCCATACTACCAGGAATCCTGCCCTCCCTTCCATGGCAAAGGCTTCGGACTCACTCTTCCAAGGAGAGAGAACCCCCAAGAGCACCAGCTCAGATACATGCAGATGTGAAATCTTTAGAATTCTTTGAAATTGACGGCAGCGGCATGAGGGCCTGACCGCTTGCTGCAGGGGTAGCTGTCTTTTGACTTGGGAGGTAACAAGCATGGACTGTGGTCCTCTGACTGTGAGATCACGGGCAATCTTGCTCTACCACCCACTGCTGTGTGTTATTGGGCAAACCACTTAACTTTTCTGAGCCCTGGTCACGTAAGTTAAGACCCAGAACATCCTCCCTGCCCCCTGCACAGAACTCAAATGACAGAAAATGTTTTCATGTGTTTTGCCAGCCAGGCAGCACTGTGCCCACCCGAGGAGGTGTTGGTGAGAACACAGTGGCTACATAAAGGGAAGGTACTTGCAACATGTACTCCTGCCACCCCTTACCTTGAGAAGTCTTCTCATCCCTGGGCCTCATAGAACTTTGGGGGAGAAATTTAGAGAAGTTCCAAGGGTAGTTTCCCTAAGGGGCAGCTTCCCAAGACAGCATTTCATGTTGAATCCATGTAGACTCAGGGAACTGACCTAATGACTAGAAAACGAGCATGTGTCCACTTGCTTCAAGGCCCAGATAGTCCTTTCAAGTGACCAGACCTGTCCTGTCCCCTCCATAGGGCTCTCTCCATTGTGGGAGGATTGGAGGCTGGTCGCCTCTGCGGAGATGAGGCCTGAGCCGCTGTGACTACTCTCAGTCTATCCCTGCTCATTCCCAACTCTGGGGCAGGCAAATGCCCCTGCCCCAGTGTGGCCCCAGCTCCCCCTGCTGGCCAGGATGCTTCATCTTTTTGGGTTGTCCTCTCAGATTAGCTACAAAGGGTGCTGTCCCTAGTCTGGGCATGGTGCTCTCCCCCTTCAAAGGCAGCCTCGTTGCTTTCCTTCCTACCCTCGTGGACTGGATCTAAGCTGGCACATCCCTGTGCCAGGTGGGGCTCACAGGCCCTGGGAGAGGGCAGCATCCCTTACCCAACCCTGCCTGGGGGAGTCCTTACTATGATGCTATTCATTATGCATGTAGCATTATGCACATACTGTTATGTACTCGTGGTGTCCAAGGTAGGACAAGCTCAAGGTCCTGAAAGAGGGACCCCCCTGCCATGGGCATGCTCAGTTTGCAGGTAGGGCATAGTCCTTGAAGGATGCAGAAATTTCAACAAAGAGAGACCTGGGAAGACAAAATGAGAATGCAGTTGTGGAAGCAGATGGGCCAAGGAGAGTGATGGATCCAGTAAGGTTTGAGTTTCCTGGGGAGCAGGGCTGGAAAAGTGGATGGAGTCAGATTTCTGGATGTGGGGGTCTGGGGAAGGAGGTAAGGGGGTGCTCTGGAGCCCTTTCATCCCTTTCATCCCAGCAGGGGGATGAGGTGACCAGGGCCTGCCCCCTGTGAGGCTGGCCATGGGGCCTCCCAGGTCCCCCCACCTGGCAGCTTCTAGCTGCCACAGGTTATTTCCCCCGCTATGCTGACCCCAGGACTGAATATTTTATGAACTGGTTTCTCCTGTTCTCAAAGGAATATTTATTTGTTTTTGTTTGTTTTGTTTTATAATAGCTTTATTGATTTATCATTTGCATACCACAAAATTAACCTTTTTAAAATAGATACTTTAGTGGTTTTTGGTATATTCACAGAGTTATGCAGTCATCACCATTATCTAATTGAAAAACATTTTTATCACCTCAAAAAGAACCTTCAGCCCATTAGCAGTCACTCCCCATTCCTCCCTCCCTGGCAACCACTAAACTACTTTCTGTCTGTATAGCTTTGCCTATTCTGGACATTTCATATAAATGGAATCATGCAATATGTGGTTATTGTATCTGCCTTCTTTCTTGGCATAATGTTTGCAAGGTTCCTTCATGATGTAGCATATGTCAGTACTTCATTTCTTTTTGTGGCCAAATCATATTCCATTGTATGTATATACCATGTTTTATTTATTCGTTTGTCAATTGATGGACATTTGGGTTGTTTCTGTTTTTTGGCTGTTGTGAGTAATGCTGCTAGGAACGTTCATGTACAAATTTTTGTTAAGACCTATATTTTCATTTTTCTTGGGGATATACTTAGGAGGGGAGTTGCTGGGTGATATGGTTTCGATGTTTGTCCCCTCCAAATCTCATGTTGAAATGAGATTCCCAGTGTTGCAGGTGGGGACAGGTGGGAGGTGATTGGATCACGGGGATGGCTCCCTCATGAATGGCTTAGCACTATCCGCTTGGTGATGAGTGAGTTCTTGTTCAGTTCACTCAAAATCTTGTTGTTTAAAAGAGTGTGGCACCTCCCCCATCTCCCTTGCTCCCAGTCTCACCATGTGACTTGCTTTTTCCCCTTCCTCTTCTGTCATGATTGGAAGCTTCCTGAGGACTCACCAGGAGCAGAGGCTGGAACCATGCTTGTACAACCTACAGAACTGTGAGCCAGTTAAACCTCTTTTCTTTACAAATTACCCAGCCTCAGCTATGTCTTTATAGCAACACAAGAAAGATTAACACACTGAGTCATATGAAAACTCTGTGTTTGGGGATATTTGTTTTTAAATTCAAATGAATAGTACATGAGTGTTTAGGAGAGAAGCCATCCTTGGTTGTCCGAACTTCCGGAAGGGAGGCTGCCCTTAGCCTGGTACTTCCCCAGTGAGATCCTGGGGTTCATTGGCACTTTGGATAAATCTTTTGCCTGCTGGCTTCAGTTTTCTGATCTATGAAGTGGGGTTAGTACGGATCTTTGCTCACCTCAAGGGCTTCTGTAAATAGCTACTACTTGCCTAGCATATCAAGGATAGCAAAGGACTTCTGCTTGCTTTAGGTACTTTCATTCTTCAGCCCTACAAGTTGAATGTTATTGCTCTAGTTTTGCTGATGAGGAAGCTGAAGCTCAGAGAGGCTAAATGACTTGCCGGAGTTCACAATATGGGTCGATGGCAGAGCCTGAACTTGAACCCAGGCTCACCAGAGTCCAAGTCCCTGGCCTGAACCCTTGCCTCAGATGTGTCTCTAAGCAAGGCAGGGCCCAGACATGGCCAGTTGTAGGCTCTGAAGCGGAGCATGCTGTAGGAGGGCAAAGGATGCTACAAAAGTCCATTTTGAGCTGTGTGACTTTAGATAAGTTGTTCCACCTCTCTGAGCCTCAGTTTCCCCATCCACAAAATGGAAGCAATAATTACAACTTACAGCACCACAACAAGGACTTGGGAAGATGCTGTACATGAAGTGCCGGGCATGATACCAGGCACACAGAAGGTAGTTGGTAGAAGGTTATAGGGCACACGAGGAGGGGTGAAGAGGATGCAGGGTACTGTGGAACTGTCGGGGAGAAGTGGCTGGCTTCTGGGCTGGTCAGAGCAGGCTTTAAGGAGGAGACCTTGCTTGGGCTGGCCAGGAAGGTGAGCAGAAGGTGGAGAGTCCCCTGGGAAGGCCCAGTGTTTACTGACCTGGTGCTGCTGAAAACCATGAGGGGTTTCCAGGGTTCTCAAGAGATCTCCCATGTTGGGAGTTTGTGGACAGCCTCTGCTGGTGCCCCCAGCCCTTACCCCCAGGCCAGCCTGCAGATGCCTGAGAGGGGGGCTCACATGACTGCCTCAGTTAGCCCGAGTGGTAATAAAACACTTTAAGTTTATTGTGACATTTGGATTTAATTAAAAAGTACACACTTAGGGAAGTAGAACATAATGGGGAGAGAGGCAGGGTGGCTTTTCCCCTCCTTTCTTCCCCAAACTAATTAGCGTTGTATTTTAAATTGTTTATGTGCTGCTAATCATCGTAATAAATCATTTATACTGAAAAAGACACACTCGGCTGTGCCCGCCATGCGGGTTCCGCTCACAGGGCTCTATCGTGAACAAATTGATCTGGAAGTGAATTTATTAACCACTAGGGAAGAAATCATTAGTGCTTTCTCTAAACATTCCCCAGGTACGCTTTATTGCTGCAGTTTATGCTGTAACTAAGAGGAGCCTTACCCAGGCCCATGTTGTAATTTCCTTGCAAAGCCAGCAGCCCACTCCCAAGCTGGGGGCTAGGAGGGGCTGGGGAGTCCCTGCCTCCTCTCCTATATGTGATCTGGTGACCCCAGCCTCCTTTCCCGGTGCTCCTTATTCCAGAAAGGGCTCCCTGTGAAGCCCCTGCAGGCCCGAGGCCACGGTGGCTGTATTCTGTTGTCTCTTACCCACAGGGTGGTTCACACTCATTCATGTTTATGTGTCAGGAGTATGGCTTAAAGTTGGGAGCTAGCCAGGGGTTTGGAAAACTCTGGGGCTGGGGCTGAGGGAGTCAGTGATCTCAAAGAATCTTGTCATAGACCAGCTTCCCCACCCAGAGATGGGGAACACATGCACTGTGAGCTGATGATAGGCTGGGAGGCACAAATGGGGCTCAACAGGGACCCAGGCAGGAGTGGGGGGCTGCAGCCGAAGCTGCCAGGAACATCCTCTGTGGGCTCATGCCTCCAAAGGCCTTCCTACTGTGGGCCTGGGGCCCTTTCTAGGGTTTGGCTAGAGCAGTCTGTTCTGGCTTGGTGAGGCCCACTACCCCGTGCCTCCTTGTCCACCTCACCTGGGTGCAGGGCCCAGATGGTACTTGTACTCCAGACATGGTCTGACAGATGACAGACAGCATGGCTGTCAGCTCCCTGGCTGCAGACTCTGTGCTCTGGATAATGCAGCCTGCGGCCATACCAGCTTGCCCAGCAGCCGGCCCACCCTGCTGACTCTCACACGGGATGACACTTTCCCTTTGCACTTGGGAGCTTCAGACCACTCTCACTTCACAGGGGCTGCACTGCAAGACACTCACAGCAGGCTTTCTCCCACCAGGTTTCCGGAAGAGACATTCACTTCTGAACAAGGATCTTCTGCCTGGGAGCCCATGGCTGGTTTAGGATACAGATCCCAAACTGTCTGATTCCAAAGCTTGTATTCTAAACAGCTTCATCTACGGATGCTCCCTGAACCTCCTCAGCCATGCGGGGGGCTGAAGGGAAATCTGGCTCACGTGGGCCTTGCTTTCAGCGTCTCTCTCTCTTATCCAGGTCTGCAAAGAAGGGCTGAAGCAACCCCCAGGGCCTCAATAGGAAGCCCCGGGGCAATGCCTCAGGCAGGCATCCCAGAGGCAGTGCTGTCTCAGCCCCAGCCAAAGGGGTTTCCATCCCTGCCGCTCTTGGGGGTGGGGCCTGGATTCTCCCTCTTAACCCCCAGCCCTTCCTCCCCTCACCCAGCCCCGTGGCTAGCAGATGGGCTCTGGCGGCTTCAAGAAGGAAGCAGGACCCGGCAGCTGCCTAGGTCCAGCTTGCCGGGAGGGTCCCCTCTTTGTGCCTGGAGAACACATTTAAAAGTTTGAATTCAAAATTGATTTTGAAGGGCCCTAATCTCCCATCCCCTGGTGCTCATGGTGTGTCTGCAGCTCCTGCCAGACTCTCGTTTTCTGGTTCAGCGCGCTGGTGCTCACGTCCCTGATGCTGTGAAATTGAGACTCGTCTGAGAGTCCATGTCCTCCTCCTCTGTGGAGACTGCAGGCCTCTTGGGAGCCCTGTTTCATTAGATGGGTGACGCGGGCTTTGCGGGTGCCCAGGGAGCAGCTGAGTTGCCGTCAGGGGAACACAGCTTCCAGATGCTCTCCACCAGTCCCCACAGCTGTGCAGCTTCAAGCGGCATCCCGTTAAGGAACACAGGGGCTGGCTCCAGCAGCCCAGGATGGGATGGGGGTTGGTGGAAGCTACAGACTGAGAAAGGCTTGGGCCTGGGGCTTTTCTGTAGCAAACTCCAGGGGTCGCTTCCTCCCACTGGCCCCCAGAGACACAGACTATGCTGACAGGGAAGAGTAGTCATTTTTGTAAGCCAAAAAGACCCTCAGGCAGGGAGCTGGGGAGGCTAGGTCTGTGCCAGAGGTGACAGCCAGAGCTGCTGGAATTACAGAGATACCCGCTACCCCCTGAGGGCTGAGATGGGTATTTATGTGTAAAGGGAGGCACGCAGTGGAGGCAGGGGCTGGAGGATGCGTTTTTGCTGCTCTTTTATCTAAAGGATAAAGGGTTTATATTTGCATGAGAGCTGTTGTTCCTCAGCTGGAGCCCTGGGATGGCTTCTCAAAAGCCTGGATTGTGGCAGCCATGACCCAGGAGCTGCTGTGGTTGAATCTGCTTTGTTTGTTAGGGCCACATAGCTACAGGTACCTAGGGGGTGTGGCACAGGGGCAGCAACAAGCCTGATTAAGGCTCCATCTCTAGGGGCCCTGCCTATCTGAATTGGCCCACTCTGGCCAGCAGATTCTTGCCAGTAATATCTGGATAGATTCCATTCAGTCTCTTCATGCATGAATTGAGCTGATGGCTAAACAATGACTGCTGTGGGGCACAACACTGGGAACACAATAGTGGACAAGGCATGTAGGGCCCCAAGAACAGCCTTCATGGGGCTTTTGTTCTTATGAGAGTACCCAAT